>NC_000005.10:113140110-113443140 GCF_000001405.40 Homo sapiens
CTTCTGGTGCTTTACTTGTATCTTTCCAAGTTGGATTTTCTACTTATCTCTTTGGGACATGATGATATTTGACCACTTTTAGGCCTAAAGATAAAGATGAATGAAGTAGGAATGGGACATGATTATATTTGCCACCTCCTACCTGGGATGAAATAGTTACAGAGTCTCCAAGCAAAATAGGACTTGCTTTATTAGATGAGGAGGGAGAATTGTTTCTGTAGGAGGGAGAGCTCAGTGGAATTTGTAGTTTCCAGGTATTTGAATTTATTTGAATCTACCCAAATGTCCCTGTTCAAATTCTCACGATTTCACCTTTTCCTACCAATGCTTAATCTTCACTTAAGAGATCTGACGTGGCCATGAATTCAACTCACATTAGCATCTGCAACCTGCAGTATCTGATTTTTGGCTACATTAGCACTGTGACTGTAAGGGATGGGAGTCTTTTAGGGCAGTCACAGAAGGTGCCTGGTGCTTTGATTGTGACCTGAGATAGAAAACTATGAGATTGTCATTTTCTTTCCTTAAGCAATTCAGGATAGCTTAAGTGTGGATATATCATAGCTTATATAAACTATGCCCTTAATAATGATTTTTAGCTTCTCCAATAAATTCTTAACTGAGGCCAGATTTAAGTGACACCAAAGTCTACAATGGTACCACCACTGTGTCTGTCCAGTATGACAAGCAATTCTGTAGACCGTGGGTATGCTAGGGCAGTTAGAGTTCATCCACGGTGCCTAGTTCCTACTGCATTTGGCCCATCACAGCATATTAAGAGCTGAGACTGTGATGGTTAATTTTAGGTGTCAACTTGACTGGATTAAGGAATATCTGAGAGAAATGTTAAAGCGTTGTTTCTAGATGTGTGTGTGAGGGCGCTTCCAGAGGAGACTGGTGTGTGAGTTGTTGGACTCGGGGAAGATCCACCCTTAGTGTGTGTGGGCACCATCCAACTGGCTAGGGGTCTGGATAGAACAAAAAAGGAAGAGAAAAGACAAATTCACTCTCCCTCTTCCTGGAGGTAGAATACTTTTCTCCTGCCCGTGGACATCAGAACTCTTCCTGCCCTTGGACATCAGAACTCCTGGCTCCGTAGCCTTTGGACTCCAGGACCTGCACTTGCATTCCCCCAGGTTTTCAAGCCTTTGGCTTGGACTGAGATTTACACCATCAGCTTCTCTGTTCTGAGCTTTTCAAACTTGGACTGAGTCATGCTGCCAGCATCCCAGGATCTCAAGCTTGCAGTCAGCCTGTTGTGAAACTTCTCAGACTCCATAATCACATGAGCCAATCTTCCTAATAAATCCCCTTTCATATCTTTACAGATGTCTATCTGTCTCTACGTTCTATTGGTTTCTGTCTCTCTGGAGAACCCTGAATAATTCAGAGGCCAAACCAATTTGCTGGAGTGCTGAGGGCTGGGGAGATGCCTAAGCCTCAGGAGCTCAGAGGACAAGGAGAGCCTTTGTCTCATTGGTCTACACGTCTAAGTGCCTTCCAGCCTTGCAGGGAATCCCCTCGAGGAGGGGCCAGCTCATTTACATAACAAAAACTGGCAGAATTTAATATGACATCTCCACAGATGTAGTCTTCCTTTAAATTAAAGGCACCAATAAATGTTTGTAGTCAAGAAGCTCACTGCATTTCAAAGTGAAGCAGTTTGGTCATTACATTCAATTTAAACATCTTGAAATTGAGATTTCTAGGTGATGTGTATTTTTTCATATTTTGTATTTTTCACAACTTACTGAGCCCATTTGCTTTCACTTTCTCAAGTGTTTAAAAGTGCATAAAAATCACAAATTTGCCAGTGTCCTATGCCAGGCTCCTTTACATCTGCTATAATCATTCTTTTGGGCTAAAAATTCTTCTCTGCTCATGTACTTCTAACCTACAATCACTGTGAAGACCAATATACAATTTAAAAGCCTTGAGGTTCTAAATTAGAATATGCAGTTTATTGTGTGGCTCCAGCTCAGTGCAAACTTTTCCACAATTTTGCCCAGAAAACAGATGCCCATTAGTAGCCTCATCAAGAAGCCCCGCCATTACTGTGACTCTTGGTGTTGGAACAAAATGCATCCAAAGTTTCCTCTGACTTCTAGAAGGAGAGTTTAAAGTAGCTGCCTCTGAAACTGTTTTAAAATTGTGGCTTGTGTAAGCATTTGGTGAACAAAGCGCTCTTTCTCCAAAAAGGTAGGTGCCAGCCACTTGCTGTCCTCAGGCTGTTCCCGGAGCATCGCCAGGAACATGAAAATGCTCTCATCCACGGCTTAGTGTCATTTAAAGCAAACCTCTCCTCTGAGGAACAGGGCAGATACAACCAACTAATCACTGTGGCAGGAGACTTAGAGGCCAAGTGATTAATAAGTAAGGAAGGCAGAATCCCTACCAGTTATTGTTATGAAAAGAAAATTCAGTAAAAGCAGAGATATTCTGGGTTCTGACCCACCTCTATCCTCTCCTAATTTTAACTACAAGGCAGTCACTCTCTTTAAGCTCCAGCTTTTTCACCAGTAAAATGATGGGTCAAATCTTTCCCCCTGCCTTATGAGTCCAGTAAGAGGATAAATCCATGTTGGTAGAGCAATTTGAGGTAAGCTCAAAATATAATCAGATTATCTGGAAGCCTACATAATGCTTAGTTATAAGCTACATTCATAAATCTCTCAAAATCTCCAAGGGAGGGACACAGTTTGCATATTTAGTATCAACCCAGTGAATCAAAGCAGCAGCAGGGATGCTCGTCTCTAAGATGGAAGGGGCTCCATTTAGAACTCATGACTAAAGCATTTCACTCAACTTCTGATTTCATACCCTTATCAACAAACTGAGGACCACAACCTCCACCTTGTCTACTTTCCAGGGCTACTGTAAGGACCCAAATCAGAACAGAATAAGGGAGGTAAAAGCACATGATTAACAAAGCAAAGAGAAATATACACTTCAAAAGCCTTAGATACAAAGAAAACATCATTATAATCTAGTTTATAATCTACAAACTAGAACTTCGGTCTTGGAGTTAAAATAGTTGGGGCTACTTCAGCTCCAAGATGGAGGGTTTAGCAGAAGGGGCAGAGTAAAAGCCGAATGGAGCCGCGTACCTGATGGTGGTGCCTTGCAGACGGTCTATCTTCTTGTTGAGCTCCGCAATGACGCTGTGGAGCTCTGTGATGCGTTCCTCATAGCGAAGTGTCGTTCGCTCCTGGACATCCTCATGCTCTCTCATGAGGTGGGACTGCTCGCACTGGGAATAAGGGAAAAGGACAGAAGTGCTGATGAATTCATGCACCTACAGGTGGATGATTCCAAGCTTTGTGGCCTTAAACCATTACAACTGCCAACACTGAGTATGCCCCAAATAAAATGTATGTCAGCTCATCGGCTGGCAATCCCAGGAAACATATCAATGGCTAAATTTTATAATTCCCCCAGTGGATACTGGAGTCTTTGCCTTTCTAGCACTCCATCTCTCTTTGGGAAACAGTCCCTTTGCCATTGCACACTGTCCAAGTGGGGCTATTCAAGTCCCCCACTTTCCCGTAGCCAAGAAACAGGCAAGTGGTCCAAGCTAGATCCATCAGATACCTTCTGCAGGGGATTTCAATCTTGAGCCAATGGATGTAAGGTTGCATGGAGTTGATTCAGAAAGCCTTGAAGAGCATCTCTCTTAGTTCCTGCTACCTACAGCTCCCTTCCCAAGTTCCTTTATGGCTGTTCAGTTTCCCTTTTTACCAATTCACCCCTCCTTTGCTGAAGTTTGTCAGGGTTTGTTTCAGCTATTTTTCAACCAAATAATCCTAAATGGTATAATACCACTTCTTATCTGGATGGATTATCTGCAAATTTAATGCTTTCCAATATCATTATCTCCCAGACTACAAGCTCCTGGAAGGCAAGGACTAGGTTTCTCATTATTTAGCCTAGCACCGGCAAATGGCCTGGTTTACTGTGGGTGATCTAGGAGTGTTATGGAATGAATGGATGACGATATATCATCGTCATGAAAACTGCTTAGCAGAAATAGTGATAAAAGAGGCAGAGGAGCTTCCCTTGCTCAGCATTTGATGGACTAAGAGGCAGCAGAGTTATAGAAACATTTCTGTAGCCAGAGTTTAAATCCTGAGGAACCTGTTCACCTCTCACTTCTCTCCACTGCTCTCAATCCCTTCCAGTCACTGTGCATTTAATCTCATTTACATAATAATAAAATACTCCTCAGTGATGGAACAAGTAGCCTAGCTTGCGTCCTTGTCTACTACACTCGGCTTCGATTAATTTCCTGTCAGCAGAGGAACTTTAATTTCATCTTCAACAAGGTTTTCTTAGTGCCAAGAGCCATATGTGCTTTCCAGCGTTGCAGGTTGGCATCTCCAGTGAGAGTAGGACTTCTCACCCGCTACCTCCCCTGTCCCTCCCTAAATCAGCTAAGCTTCCAATGGCATAACCCAGGGCAGGGACAAAAGGCTTTCAACGATAAACTGAACATTATACTAAGCCTAACTCCATACTGAAACAGAAGTACTCAACAAAGAAGTCTGACAAATAATCTGGTATCAATCATGGTAGGGCCTGCACCTCAACAACAGCTGGATCAGTATTTATGTAACTTCCTGGGGGTTACCTTGGAGCTCCAGAAACAAGATTGGAGGCAACAAGGTTGTTGAATGCTTTATCACAGCCTTAGAGGGATACTTTCAGGAAAATACTCATGTGAACTACTACTCTTAGTGACAACCTGAAACATCAAATAACCTCCACTCCAGGTCAAGCACACAAAAAATAAGCGGGAACAAAGGCAAGGATCAAGGTTGAATGAGGGGCACATCTAGTGGAAGCTTTCCTAAACAAAGATGCTGTAACCAGCCACAGACACTCTTTCCATGAAGTTAGGCCTTTCTCATCCATGATCCTACATACTTAAGGAAAAGGAGAAGTCCACAAAAATTACAGGATCTCAAAGGCATTTCTATCAATAAATGAAAGAGCTTCATATTTCTCTGGAACAAACCAAGAACAGAACACTGTTCCTCTCAGACCTGCAGCACATCTACAAACTCTTGCTGTTAGCCTCTGTTCCCAACCTCAGAGTGTGTGCGTGTGTTCATGTTGTATGAACATGTACAGATGTAGTGGACACTCTCATGCAGGTCACCAGTTCCAGATCTTAGTGTGACTGTAGGATAAAATTCTGTCTCTGACCTGGATCTCATCAATGCTGTGACTCCTATGTTCCCATGTTGCTTGTTCCTCCTCTTTTGTTTTCCATATTCCGTCTAGGGCTACAAATTACTGTGAAACATTTCCACTTACACACTCAATGAGCTCTCACTTTCCCTTATTTCTCTACTCCTTCTTTTTTCTTTGATGTCCTTACAGGTCAACAGGCCACTACCACCACCTGGGCTGACAAGAAACTACAAAGTCCAATGAACAATGAAGATGTTCAAGGGTTTATATAGAGAAAGGCACACCATCAATAAAAACCACCAAAAGACCACCCTTCAGCATCCCTACTGACTGATATCAACTGCCTAAAAGATGTAATCCTGGCCAACCAGCAGCCCTCGCTGCTGCTCTGCCTATGGAGTGGCCATTCTTTTGTTTCTCTAATAAACTTGCTTACACACACACACACACACACACACACACACACACACACACACACACAAACACACACACACACACACACAAAAGACCCTGTGGGGCTGCCCAGGATACCAGATGGAGAGGGAGAGCTTGCTCTCTGGTATTGCACCATCCTTCCCCTGCCTCTAACTGAGAAGCCTGCCTGGAGGATACCTGCATGAACAAGAGGCAACATGAAGCCTGGTGATTCAGTCAGATGGAATAGGGCTTGTAGCTAAAGGAAAAAAAGACTCAATGTATATTTGAAGCTCAAGCACTGATTTAGGAGAAGTAACAAGAATATATTAGAGGAAAAAAACCTCCTTTAACTAAGGGCAAAGGTATTTAGTTTACATTCCTATATTTTTCCGTAAGTTTTAAAAAAATAGCATACAATGTAGTACTATAATGTAATACTTCCTCTACACAGATCAGACATTTCTTAAATGAGACTGTGCTGGGTGCTACAGGGGAGGTGATTACAACACATTTTGAAGGTAACTGTGGTCACAGCTTCCAGTGGACTGAAAGAATCCCAGACTTCTCTTCTGGAGAACAAATACCCCTCTGATTCCTGTTTTTGCCATCAAGGCACTGAAGCTGTTGCAGCTGCAATCTTCTCTCCTCTATGTCTTCCTCCCCCAGCTCCCTGACCTGAGTTTATATCCTCTTCACCATTTACCTAAAAATCTTGGCTGGTGCCTTGGTCTCAGACCCTGAAACGCCTCTGTGAACTCTAGGGAGCATGAATGTTAGGCCTTATGATACCAAAGAGAGCTAGGAAAGCCCAAAGAGCTCTCTCTTCAACCCCCAGAGAGGATAAAAACAGAAAAAGAGACACAAGGGGGTGTAAAACAGGGAATTCAAAGTCTCTCTAGCTTCCAACAAGCCAGCTTTAGCTTCCAAAGTCAATTATTCAGTGATAATTTACTTAGCGGCCTCTGGGACCAAAGGCAGTTTCTTCTACTACAACTTGTAAGTTAGAGACTATTTTCTTCTCTCTACTGGACAGAGACACCCCATACAATTTCAGCTGAACAAAATAAAAATTGGTCTCAAATAATATGCTACTGCTTTTTTTTCTGTCATTACAGGTAATTGCATCCAGGGTTCTTCCTCCTCCCAGCCCATATTCAATTTTTGACTGAAGGTACAGTACCACAAAGCCAGAAAGCCTGTGGTTGCAGTGTCTTGCCTGCCATAAATTTCTGGAGGCCATTATCATTAGGAGTCTAGATTTGTCTCACAACTACAGACTTTCAGTTTGAAAGGAAAAGAAAAAAATGATTGACATTGGATATGACGAAATTTTGTTTTTCCCAAATTTCATCTGGTGCTAAATACATACCCGGAGTTTCTTCTTGAGATCTCAGCTTTCCTATCATGATGATGAAGCAAATTAAACATGCATATAAATACTTGTGTCTAGCCACATAAATTGGTGAAATTGCCTATATGCAAAAATGTGTAATAAAAACAAGCAACATCGTCATTTCAACCACTGAGAATAAAATCCTTTAGGCTCATCCCTGCTATGGTGCAATCCAGGGATAAAGCCCTGAGTCAGCCTTGAGACAGTCTGGCCTGAGAACTTGAGCCCCTGTTGGAAAAACCCTGTGCAATGTGGTGATGCTAAGCAGCTTTATGGTTTTGTTAATGTTCTTCACCGGGTTTTATCTTACTCCACCGAGGCCACTGATCTTTAATCATCGCATTAGTGTCAGCTGTCAAACCTAAGAGCATTATGAACTAGGTTCTTGGAAAATGCAATGCCATCATTAATTTGTTAACCCTCTCAACCATCCCGTGAAGGGGGTTAGTACCACTCTCTTTTAAAATATGCTAACAAGAGATGTTACCCTCTCAAGGTCACACAGGATTTGTCACAACTAACACTATTCGGGGTATTTCCACCCTCACTCTAAGTTCTTGCCCAGGTTCGCTCGCTAAGGGGAAAGTGGACCAGCTAAACAAAGAGGCACCAGCACAAAAGGAAATGCCATTAAGGAGCAAAGGAGCTAGAGGAGTTTACCAAAGAGAAGCATAAACGAATAGGAGAGGAATGGAATGAGGCGACCCTAACAAAAATACATGCCGACTACATCTCAGAAAAGTTATCTCAGAAAACAAGAGAAAAAGAAAAAACTCTTTCCATTTCACTTAAGGAAAACTGTGTGTGTTCTCTTCCTGAATGCCAAGAGGTAGAAAATTCAGGAGACTTGTTTTCCAAAGATAAGGAGCTTACGAAGTATTCCACATTACTGCTCACCTATTTTAAAGGGGTTCATAAGCTTGTTTGACATATCTCCTTCTGAAGTACTTAAAAATGCAGTTAATTTAAAATAATTGTTGGTACTAAATAAATAGCAAATATGCTGAAAGCATCAAATCAGGACTATATCTGATCTTAGCCAGTTTCCCACAGGCTCAGTTCCCACTGGGCTGTAGAATGTTGATGCATGTCTGTGCCCGTATTCAATTTGGGAAGATAGGAGTGTGCTGTTTTCAGCCAGTAAGTTTATGGCAATTTATTATACAGCAATAGAAAATTAATACAGAAGCACTTTGTCTTCCCCATCACATTGGTATTGGGCTCTTCCCTTCATATCACTATTTTCAAAACTCTACCTACAGGTGGATGTCATGAGCATAAATAAGACACCTTCTTTTATTCAACCAGTTCCAGTGTCACCATTAATAATTATTCAACAGATGTTGCAGCTCTCTTGGTAATGTCTGTTGAACATAACCACCATTTACATTTTACATTTTAATCATGGCACTATAATATTTAGAGAGCTGGTAAAACTTAATAGAGCCACACAGCGTAAGTTTACACATGAATTTGCTCTTCTACAATCTGGTAAAGCCTCAAACATGAATCTTTTACCAAGGCATATAACACCAAAAGTGCAGCACAGTCATTTCATTGTTCTTATATTTTTCTTGCATAAATTTCATGTTTTTAAAGATATAAGTCTGACTTTTTTTTCATGTTCTCTTTCCTAGGTTCCAGTATATGAACTGGGAAGAAAACTCCAGTGAGAAGAGCAGAGAGTAATTTTTAAATCTATTTTACATAAGAATGCAAATAAGAGAGTCAATAAATGGTTCTATGATGTGACCATTATCATCAAGGGTAAAATCAGTCATCAAAAGCTATTACATGAGGATGGCTTGACCACAGGTAAGTAAAAAAAGAGCTGAATCAATCCTTGACTTAGAGAAAAAATTTTCCATTATCCTCTTACCATCCTCTGTAAAAGCTGTCTTTGTAGGCTTAAATTTTAATAAATACCTTCCTGGTCACTTTTTAAAATCCAAGACTACTGTACATGCCAGCTTCCAATTAAATGCATTCACAATTTTCTTTTTTAAAACAAATTCTCATCAATAAGAATTGCTAATGATGGCTGGCTTTGGGTGGGTATAAATTAGAAAACATAGTCACCACCATTTTGTTGTTGTTTTTAAATATAAAAATAACTATTTTCTCTTAAAAAAAAAACACTGTAAAACAAAAAAAGCACTGAAAAAGTTTCAGTTTGGAGACCACCACTGAAACATTCTAATGCTTTCCAGTTTTTTCTATCACTATTTTATTACTTTTATAATCAGAAGGAAAATATTTTAAGTAACATTTTCATCTAAGTAAAAACTGAAAATTTTTTTATTTCAGTATGAAATAAATACTATGAAAATAGTATTAACATCCTATAGTGGGAAAAGGCACTGGTGGCCTTGCTGAGCTACTCATTTATCTTTGGGTAATCAAGTTAATCTTCAGATGCCCGTCAAATGTGAAAGTGGATGATCTTAAATACAGAGAATCCTTTCCCTCTACTCAAGCAGTCTTTGATTATGAGACATGAAAGTTTCCAAAAATTTTCCATAGGTCATTCTGGAAAGATGGCTATAGCAGCCATCTTTCCAGATATTAATTTAATACCAGCCTGGTATTAAAATTTCTCTGAATTCCCACATAAAAATAAACAAAGCACTTACACAGTAAAGCCCAAAGCTTGGAGACAAGGTGTGCCATTGAACAACAAAATACAAGCAGGTAAGAACAAACCAACATCATCCATAAGATCTGAGTGGCATCAGCTTGGGGAGAATCAGAGGAAAACAAGGCTGATGTATCTGAGAACTGGAAAACCCCTAAAAAACCAAAAGGAATTCACAGGAAAGTAAGGATGCCCAATTGGAGAATAGTAGCTAAAACTAGGAGGGGTTTTGCCTGACCAAAGAGTCAGTGCAAGGGGCCCACAGGAAGATTTGAAGAGGCTAACCTAGGCTAGTCCCTGTGAACTTTGGAGACTGCCCTCAGGACTGCCTTCCAGGAAGAGAAACTGCTGGGAGTGGAAACAAAATTGAACAGGATGGGAATAATAGAGACAAAGGAAAGAAAAGGTCCAGATAAAAGCAGGTAAAAGGAACAGAGCCAGACAGTGACAGAAAGCAGGCTGCCATTTTTGACAAGAAAACAACAGAAGGCTAGGTTCTAAACACTTTAGAAAGCCATTTTAAACCCTGCCTCCTGAAAGTTCAAGGAAATTATTTTTCACATGAAAATGAAAAACAGAAAAATACTGACGTCAAATCCCATACAAAGTTATACAAAACAAGGGCAGAACATCCTTATAAACCATAAAAGCATGCCACAACACAGAACAAAAACAAAATCCCCCAAACAAAAACACTCCAGATAATAGCCTACTATTTCAAAATAAACTAAAAGACATGAGACAGAAAAGAACGTTAGGAATTAGAAAAATTCAGAAGTGAGAAGAGTTAGAAATAAAATGAAAATGCATTTCAGTAATGATGACTACACTGGAAGGCAAAAAAGAAAGGCTAAAAACAACACATAATACCCCAAGAGAAAAGGAAAAGAAAAAATTAAATTAAAAAAGATTTAAAATATTTAAGATAGTAACAGATAAAGATAGGCAAAGATGATGTAACATACAAATGATAGAAGTCCTTGAAAAATCAAAGCAAAGGAAGAAAATTAATATTAACAAGATAATTAAAAGGCCAGGCACAAGGGCTCATGCCTGTAATCCCAGCACTTTAGAAGGCCAAGGCAAGAGGATCACTTGAGCTCAGGAGTTCAAGATCAGCCTGGACAACATGGCGAAACCCCATCTCTACAGAAAATACAAAAATTTAACTGGTAGTCCCAGCTACTTGGGAGGCTGCGGTGTGAGGAATGCTTGAGCCTGGGAAGTTGAGGCTGCAGTGAGTCATGATCGTGCCACCGCACTCCAGCTTGGGTGACAGAGCAAGACTCTGCCTCAAGAAAAACAAAAAGGTAGCCATTCGGAAGGAATCCCTCGGTAGGCACCTTGGACTTCGTAGCTTCTGGAACTGTGAGAAATAAGTGTTGTTTAAGCCACAAATCTATGGCATTTGTTACAGCAGCCAGAGCAGACCAAGACAGAGTATTTGCTGATAAAGCTGTAATTTGTTTTGTGGGAATTTCTGTACTCATGTTTTATCTTAAGATTAAATATTTAAAACAAAAAACAAAAGCAAACTAAAAACCTTTCCAGATCCCTTACCTGTGCCTTGGCCAATTTCTTTTCCAGAAGGTCCCGTTCCCTCTCTGTTTGCTGGAGACGTTTATTAAGTTCCACTATATCTCCCTTTAGTGATGCCAGGGCTGCTGAATGGAGCTGTGGTGACAGAAAGGAGGAGATTAGAGTATTGTAGCAGAGATGTATTTCCTTCCCTTCATTCCCGCAACTAGTATAACCAAATAAAAAGCCTATCATCCAAAAAGCAACACTTTTGAGAATGAAGGTAAGTGTTATGAGTTTTGGGGACAACAGGCATAAGTCAGGTGTGCTACCAGCAAACTGGGTTATATGGTCACCCTAAATATTATGTGTGGGACATGGGACCTAATTTTGCATGGTATAATCAGGCCAGAGAACAAAACTTCTCTTTCCAATGGCTTTCCCCAAGCTACTCAGTGAGGATGAGCCTGACAGCTGAAGTGGAGCTGCCTGATTCTAATCATGAGAGTCAAGAAAATCAGAACCATATTAATTTTCACCTTCGGAAAATATGAAAGCTGAATAGGGCAATTTGGATTTCTGGAATCCAGTCATCTAAATTGCTGCATATGTGACAGGCAGACAGGCACTGAGCATTAAGGGGAAAAAAGCAGCAGAGCTCATTTTTTAGATGGTCTCCTTGTACAGTTGACCCATTTATTTTCTTGTTGGGTCTTCCCTCCTCTTTGCCTCCCCACTTCCCCCGAAAGGCTGTACTGGCCAGACAGATGCTTATGTGCTAGCAGGCCCTCTTTCAGGAGCAGCACCAGAACTCTGACAAATGACGCTGTGAAAAGACAAACCAAGGATCAACTGAGGTATCTTTCTGCAGCCATTTCTCTGGGTTAACTGGAGTTAGAAAGAATGTTCTTCAAAAGATTAACAGGAGGCCCCACGTACATCCAGAATCTCCATCTGTTCAACTTCCAAGTTCTAAAGACTGGACTTTGGCTGCACACACACCTACCACACATGTGCCTTCTGTGATTTTCAGGCCGACGGATGGAACTATTTTTAAGACCCGTTCAACACACTGGTCCCAAAGCAACACCCTGAAACGTCCTTTGAAACCTTGAAACTTTCCATTCCAGGTGGAGCTCAGACCATCCCCTCACTGAATTCCATACTACATTTGGGTGAACAACTGGAATTAGAACAAACCAACCCCTGGCTTTATAGGCTTTTTGTAGTCTTTGCCAAGAAGGATTTCAAGTAAGAAGTGAGCAAATACATTTGATCTTTAAAGATGGACACAGGACGATGGTACGTAACTCAACTTTGAAGATTCTCATTTGAGGCTTAGAAAAATGTGCTTTTCTGCAACCTGCCCTCCACACACAGCATGTTGGCTGGCAGGCTTCAGGGTGAGGGTGGGGTGGGTGTTGAGTGAGGGAGAAGCAGATATAAGGCAGAGTGTGGGGTTTCAAAGCAGTTGTTTTTGTTAGACTCTAATAGCAGTAAATGTGACTTCACTTAATCGCATCGGAGCAGCAAACCAACAGATCAATAGCCGATTTGAAATCAGGAATGCTTAAAATTAAAAAAAGAAAATGTCAGGCAATCTGGCAGTATTTGTCTTCTGATGTAGGGCTAGGGTGGCTTGGAAAAGGTCACTGTGGGTTTCAGATACAACGTTTTGTGTGACGACTTCTCAGTACAAATACCACAGTGTTCCCGTTGTATAGTCTTGTTGAGATTGTTTTGTTTGGTGGAAGGGGAACGAATTCACTCCCTTTGATGGTTGGTTGCCCCCTCAGCCTTTGAACTGTCAGTCTGAGGATTTTTCTTCAGCATCTGACACTGTGGCATGTTACGCTATTATACCAACTCTTGAGAAAGGATTTGCCACCTCACCTCCGGCGAAAAGGATAAAATACGTGAGAGCTGACATGTTCTTGAAGAAATTGAGGAGTGGGGATAAGGATCCCAGCTCTGTTAGCCTAGACTTGCTTCCTTCCTCATTATATCTCCCCTCCTACTTCTGGGGGAAAGGGCTGCTTGAAGGGGTTGGGGGAGGCCTGGAGGGAAAAGCTGAGAGAATGCTGCATGCTCCCCCACAGACTCCATGAACTGGGCCAGATGGAGACACACACAGAGTACTTACTTCCATCACAGACTTGGAAGAGGGGTCCAGGATGGGTCACTATCATGGGGGAGAGCACCGGGCTTAGAGTGATAATACCTTCTGGCCTACCAGCTCTCCAGATTTCCAGGAAGAGCTGTCAGATGCCCAAGGGGGCAGGTCCCTTCACTTCTCTGGATGGAAGGTGCCTATGTATGAGGTGAGAACAGATTCCTTGAGAATCTCATGAATGCAATGGACCCTTCTACTAGGGCAGAGATGAGTTTGGGATGCATGCATATTTTCCACCCAATTATGGTGATGACACACTCTGGAATCTATCTATGGGCCCCTCAATAAGAAACATCTGGACTTGATGTCAGCTCTGTGACCCCACATCAGTTTCAGAGACTGTCTCATGTGTCATCATCACAGATGTCTGAGTGGGGAAAAGAACTTTGGTACTGATGTCCCCGACTCCATAACTGCAGGTTAGGATCTGGAATCCAGAGACTGACTTGCTTACTCAAGGTCTCACAGTCAGCTGAGCACCAGGGCCAAGGCCACAGCACTCTTTTCTGGCTCTCTGGTATTGTACATGACAGAGTTTTCAGTTTGTTACTTGGATGAAAATTTTACTTAACATATCTTCTCTGATTATAAAAGTAATAAAATTGCAACAGAAAAATAAACCAGAAAGAGCATTCTCATGTTTTAGTGATGGGCTTTGGGTGGTTTTAAGCTGTTTTTTTGTTTGGGTACTTTTTGTTTAATGAGCATTTTTTCCTGAGTTATTTCTGTATTAAAGACACAATAAAATAAAGTGACTGTTTTCTGCATATGCAGGCTATAGCATAAATATTGTACAGGGTTATTTTGCTTCCTTGCTGCAGTCTGTCCACCAACTCTTCTGACAGAAGGAAAACCTGTAACAATGAGGTAGAATAAAATATGTCTCTTACTGTTACTGACAATTACTCCGCAGAGGCTACAACTAGAGAGAGCAGAAGTTGGAGTGGGGGAAGCCACCAACCAGCCATAAGCCACACTGCCTAGAATTGGCTGACAGACCACTCCTTGACCTCCTGGACGGAGTAGGTGAGGAGAGGAGTGGACTTCCCACCACAAGTTTGAGTGCTGGACACTCAATCTCTGTGCGTTTGAGTTCAGTGGCACTCCCTGTCCCACTGCATCATCAACTCAAGTCATCAAAAGCTGACATAACCTCCCCTCTTTTGGGGTTTCACCAGTCTCTGGCTTATTGGTGGCATTCCTGCAAATTCAAAAGCTAGAGTGTTTGTGAGCGATGCTACATGAAGGAATTTGTGTAGTTGTGTGTTGGCAAGCATGAAAAAATTAGTTTAGAGGTCCCTCTAGGCAGTTAAAACTTTTTTACTGAAATATAATATTTATACATATTTATGGGGTACATGTGATATTTTGATGCATGCATACAATGTGTAATGATCAAATCAGGATATTTAAAATAACCATCATCACAAACATTTTTCATTTCTTTGTGCTAGGAACATTTCAAATCTCTTCTAGCTATTCTGAAATATACATTATTGCCAGCTATAGTAACCCTACTGTGCTACAGTAGGAGTTATTTCTTCTAACTGCATGTTTTTACCCATTAACCAACCTCTCTCTTCATCCCTCCCCCACTATCCTCACATTCTTCCCCACCTCTGGTATCTATCATTCTATTCTCTATCTCTGTGAGATCAACTTTTTTAGCTCCCAGTATGAGTAAGATCATGTGATATTTGTCTTTATGTGCATGGCTTACTTCACTTAACATAATGACCTCCAGTTCTGTCCACACTGCTGCAAATGACAGGATTTCACTCTTTATTATGGCTGAATAATATTCCACTGTGCATATGTACCACACTCTGTATATCCATTCATCTGCTGATGCACACTTAGGTCGATTCCGTATCTTGGCTATTGTAAACAGTGCTGCGATAAACATGGGGATACAGGTGTTCCTGTAATAAGCCGATTTTCTTTGCTTTGAACAAATACCCAAGTAGTGGGATTGGATCATATGGTAGTTCTATTTTAAGGGTTTTTTTAGGAACCTCCACACTGTTTTCCATAATGGTTGTCCTAATTTACATTCCCACCAACAGTGTATAAGAGTGCCTCCGGGTGATTTTTTAAAGGACTACCAGTGGGTTTAAATCTTGGAAAGATAAATGTACTAAAGCAACCAAAATTGTCAAGTATGTATAAATGGGAAATTATATTTATGCCAATTTTTGGGATCCCTTTAATCATATTCTGGTTTCTGAAATGGCCTCTAACTTGAGAGATTCAGACATATGAACTATGAAGTATGATGAAAAGAAAATGTTCCATGAACCAAAGAGAAAGAAAATACATGCTGTTTAGAGTCTGTGCTAGTGTCTTCCTCAACACATATTTCTCTTCATACTCAGGAGTCAGATGCTGATTTTTAGCTGGTCATATTTCTGCTCAGCGAAAATATTCCAGTTCCCATCCTTCAGTGTAGTTTGCGCTAGGTATAGCCATGTGACAAAGTTCTGGCCAGTGCGATGTAAGCAGAAATACTGTGTGAGAGGTATGGGAAAATCTTTTTGAGAGGGCACATCCTTTTTCCTTTCATCCATCCTTGCTGTTTGGTATCTTATGTGATGGATGGAGCTCTAGCAGCCATCTTGTGCTACAAAGCTGAGACTCTAGGGAGCAGAAAGGTGCCTCAGTCCCTAGCAACTTTGTGGAGCCACCCCACCAGTTTTGGACCACCTAACCCCAGACTTCTGTTACAGAACTGCAAGAAATAAACCTCTGTTATACAAAGCGCTATGAAGTTGAGAGTTTCTGGCAAATGAAGCTGATCTAATCCTAATTCACAGAATCAGATAAAGCTGGGTTCAAATCTTATCTATGCCACTTGTTGGTGGACTGTCTTTGCACAATTTAATCCCTTTTGTTGTAGGGCTGTGTCAAGACAAATGATGGCATCCAGAAAGTGACTAGCAGGGTGGCTGGAACCAGGTAAGCACTCAACAAACGGGTTTGTTTGAAGTCAACAACCTTCTCAGGCAGACCAAGCCCCATCAGAGGTGCTAGGGACACTCAGACTAGGAAAACAGTCCTGTCCTGGAGAAGCGTTATCACCTGGTAGATAGCACAGGACTAAGAAGCCAATAGCTGCGTTGCCAGATTCTGCTGAAATCCTAAGGCTTAAGGAGCTGACAGCCAGGGCTCTTAGTTCTCTGTGAAATTTTAACATGAGGCCTAAACGAGGTTGGATAGAACCCTGACACTTTGTATACAAATCTGGATCTAGTGCATGAAGGATATAGATCCACACATTCCTCACATTTCTGGAGATAAAAGGCCCTAATTCCCTAGGCTGTTTTGAGCCCTGCTTCACATTCATTTTACAGTGTGTATCCAAACGAAACTAAACCACCTGGACATTTGGCTGCAAGCTAACTGTCAAAATGGTTATTTTTGGATAAAACATAACTTGAGTAAAATAATTTCACTGTTCAACTGACTCTAAGGACAAGCCCTCTTAGCCTCTGAGAGGAAAGGTGTCCAGCCCCCCTGAGCCCAGGTAAGAAGTGAGCAGTGCCCTCATGACAGACTCTCCCAGGGGTATCTCCTTTGCTAAGTGAATAGATGTCTATTCCGTTACATATCTGCTGTGTGACAAAAGGCTTCACACTTCATAAGGTGCCCTTGAACTCTGCAGTCCAATGACTCTGATGAGAGCCCCTCCAGGAGTGTCACTGCGTATTTCTGGTTATTAGGTGCTTCTGCATTTTGCTAACCCTGGCAATAAACACAGCAGACATGCCTACACTACCCAGTGCACACACCACTCTCCAGGCACCATCTCCTCTGACCTTCATCACGCCAGGACTCTGTGGCCTAAGGGCAAGCTATGCTTCCCGATTTGCTGAGGGACAACTATTTTTCCCATGAAACACAGTTGGTAAAAAGGAATACGATTTGAATAAAATGGTGGAGAACCTAGATTCATCTTTGTGGGACTTCAGTCTGTGCTTTGAACAGCACAGTCTTCAAAGGGCCCAAAGGCACCTGCAGCCACAGGTGAGGCAGAGGAATGAGTTCATCCCCACAGGCCCTATCTAGATACATGCACCTCATGCTGCTGAGGCACCTCATGGTGCTGAGGGCTGGGCCAGTCTTCCCGGCTTTGTTGGGAAGTGAGTTCATCTGGGGTAAACTGTGCTTGTTCTCTTTCTCCTTAACTTGGTCTGGCTACTTGAAGTGCTAGTTTAACACTCACTGCCAGCGTGCATCTATTGCCTTCCCACTGAGTAATGACAGGAGTTACAGTGGTCTCCCCCTTAATGGAGGGAGGTCTGCTCCAACACCTGCAGTGGACGCCTGAAACCTCAGTTGGTACTGAACTCTATATACACTGTTTTTTCCTATACATACAAAGCTATGATAAAGTTTAATTCATAGTCAGAGATTCAAAATAATTAATAGAACAGACCAATTATTAACAATATGCCAGCACTGCTACTCTTATGCTTCGGGCCATTATGATGTAAAATAAGGATGACGTGAACACAAGCACTGTGATGCCATGGCATTTGATGTGATAACCCAGCTGGCTAATGGGTGGGGAGCACAGACAGTGCAGATATGCTGGACAAAGGAAGGAGCCCTTCCCCAGGTCGGACAAAGCAGCCCAGCACGCAAATGCATCAGCCTACTCAAAACAGCTTGCAATTTCAAACCTGCCAATTGTTTATTTTTGGAATTTTCCACTTAACATTTTCAGACTGCAGTTGACTGCAAGTAAATGACACTATGGGTAAGGGGGGACTACTGTACTATTCTGTCTTTCTAGCTGAGCCACTTGCTTTCCAGATACAAAGTATGCACAATTTTTGCTTATGTTTTAGTGATGACAATGGGTAGTGCCAACTTCTCTCATCCAGTGACAATGGGTAGTGCCAACTTCTCTCATTAAAGGACACTTAATTTCACTGAACTTAATTTCATTGAATACATATTTTTGGCAGGTTCCGCACTGCATGCTTCATACACTTTACCTGTTCCATCAGCTGCAGAGGAAAGGCAGTGTCAAATCCCAATGCCAAAATCTGCGAATATTCTTGAGAATTCCAGGTCACCAGGCAGTAATAATGAAAGTAATAATATTAATAGTTACCGTTTGCTGAATATTTATTGGTATCAGGGGCTTGGGCTAGGCACATTACATGCCATATCTTATTTAACCATCACCACAATGCTGTGAGATATATGTTATTACCTCCTTCTGGCAAACGAGGAAACCAAGGCACAGAAGAGGGGTAGAAAATCAGCCGAAGTGAAGAAAACTAATAAATATTAGGTTGGTGCAAAAGTAATTGCAATGGCAAAAACTGCAATTACTTTTTCCAACCTAACAGTACCGGAGATAATAACACACAAGGACCCTATGCTCAAATCTTCTCCACTATGTGCATCACTGGCACCTCCAACTCAACATACCACGGCTCTCCCTTGCCCGAGGGATGCGTAAACCTGCTTGTGTCCATGTATGTGTGTGTGGAGGGGTGGATGTGGGGCGGGGGTGAGGTGTGTGCACAGGCAGGGCTGAAGACATGGGAGAAGCAGGGTCAGGGTTTTCGTGATGGCAGCACCCATGTGATTTTGGGTGGGAGCGAGAAGGGTGGCAGGGCAAGTCCTCCAATGCTGTGATGAAGCGTGGGGCTCAGCTTGGTATAAATGTGGGTGATTCTCTTTGTCCTTTCTGTGCTTTTTTGTCCTCTGTAGAAGGGTTTGTATCGGATTACCTCTAAGATTCTTCTGGTTTTAAACTTGTAACATGCTTGCCTGGCATGTTCACCTGTCCAGGCACCTGAGTTCTGCACTATGGGCTTTGCATACTTTATTTGTCCACTGGTCCCAGAAAAATCTGCTGAAGCTCAAATATTTAAGGAAGCTTCACTCTATACAGAACTGTTCACCCAAGATCTTTTCCCTAAAAATGGAATGAGTTTTCAGAATCACACATCGTCTTACCACTGGCAAGGGAATTTGAGAACATCTAGTCCAATTCCTTCATTGTAGAGAAATGAAACTGAGACTCAGAGAGGTTCAAGGTTCATCAAATTCAGATTTCCTGGTTCCCTGTCCAGAGGCTACCTCTCTCCCAATGGCAATCCAAGAGCTCGTGGGTAGTCAATAAAATATGTATGTCCCAGCTATCCTTGGAGACAGCAAGAAACATCTGCACATGAAAAAGCCTCATTCAGCTTCCCATCCAAGACTCCACACCCAGGTGTTCTAATTCAGATACATACAGAACAAAATGCCTGGCAAAAGGGTAGTGTTCCCTGCTAGATGGATACCATCAGGCCTGTTCAGTGACTTCTAGGACTGGAACATTCCTCTTTACTACCGGAATTCCAGCTAGGGGCACCTGCTATGTAGTATTTCAAGAAATGCTGCTCATAGTCTTGAAAGTTAAAACTCATTAAATATAATCTAAATTATAAATTAAAGATGTCTCACTGCATGGAAATCACTTTTGTGTGCCCTAGATCAACTCAGAAAGCAGCAGCTTTTCATCTTTCCTTTTACCTGATAATTTCATTGAGAGGTCAGTGGCCCCTGAATTATTTCTTAAACCTCAGCTGAAATTCAGTTGCTCAAAACAGCATTCAAAGGCTCCTTCAACACCGCAGCAGTGGGACACCATTTATACAAGAAAGATTAACCCTACCCAAGGATGGCTGATATAGGGAACAGTGCCAGATCACAAAGCAGGCCCAGGTACTCACTGTGAAAGCTGTCATACTGGTCCCTAGGACCCACTTAAAGCCACACCTCCCCTTCTTCAAATAAATGGTTAGGAAATGGCTCCCAAGGGGGAGAGGTGTCTGAGACTGACAATCAGCTTTAAAGATGACCCACAATCCCATCCCATCTGTAAACATATGCTCCCCTGAAAATATGTCCCATCGTAATTTTTACTGGCTAACACAACTGCTTGCTATGTGCTAGATTGCTATACTCAGCATATAACATGCATTTTTCTCAACTATTCTTCACATAGCTTTATGAGATGGGTAGTGCTGTTATCTCCAATTTAAAGAGGTAGGAATTGAGACTTAGAGGTTAAGTAACTTGTCAAGCTAGTAAGTAACAGAGCCAGAATGAAAGCCCAGGTCTGTCTAACCCCAGGGTCTTGTTCATAACTACCAAGTCCCCTGCTTTGCAACAGAATATCATAGCACTTCTGAGATCCTTGCAAATACCCACGAAACTGTTGAGAAGAAAGATCTCAGAGGGTTATTCTGTTAAGAGAAGAAAGCAGAATTAGCACAATTAGCATGGGGGATAGACAGGTATTCATTCTTTAAAACTTTAAACATTTTGAGAAATAGAAGACCATTCAGCTGGTATCAGACCCAGGAAGGAATCCGTGAAAAATTAATCTCCAGCTATTCCTACATTCTATGTGGGAAAGTTAAAGAGGACAAAATTGTAGTATAGGTAAAACAAGCCCTTACAAACACCTAACTTTGCTGCTTAAAGACTACAGAAAAGGAAAGGTTATTACCTTCAACTGATGTGATCTTTAAAAATTAAAAATCTAAACAGAAGAATATTTTATATATTTTGTAAAAATTTCCTATACAAATATTGTAAGACAATAGTAGCTATTAAAAATAAGTTATTATTTTCCACTAAAAAATCCTAACTTGTAGTAATATTTATTTTCAAGGGAAACGAAAATTATGTGGTTATACAAGGGTTTTTGGAAAGAAACACAGACAAAATAAAGACACTGCACTAAGCTGGCTGCACCAACTTAAATTTCAAGGGGGCTGCATCCTAATGACACATCATGGAGGAGATGAAGATGTAACAATTAAATCCAGCTAATCAGGGGACATGAATATTTCAGTGCACGCTAAATACTGATGTGATTCCCCAGGCGGAAACTCCCACAGAGAATTCTATGAACATGAATAAAAGGGTTCTCTGACAAGGTCTGAATTGTTCATAAATTTTTATATTGATCCAATTTAGCAGGTATTGAATTCCCCATTCTAGAGAAACCAAGTACCTTTAGTGGTGAAACAGTCAATAAACTCCACAGATCAGGAAAGGCCAAAGTATTTTTACAGCAATGGTTGAAGTGCTTTGAAGAGACCCTAGATTTTAATGGATTAAGGACAATACTTTTTGTTTGGGAAAGCAAATGGAGGTTTAGATTTATGTGTGTGTGTGTGTGTGTGTGTGTGTGTGTGTGTGTGTGTGTGTGTGTGTCTACACATACCCATACACACAGACATGCAATTACCAACATATACACATACAGAGTATATATAAAACTCAAGGCACATGCTTCCAGACTTCTAATTAAAGTGTAAGAGTTATCCAAGATGTCAGCTATTTAGATATTCAATACAATCATTTTTAAATGCATTCCCATCTTTTAAAAGATACTTTAATATGCATTATTTCATTTAAAGAAAATCAGTTTTAAAATGCTTGATGCCACGGCATGCTCCGTTTCAGGGAAGGCCCAGGCAGGCCCTGGCTTGTCTTGCCTCACCACAGGGCTGCTGACGGATGGGCCATTTACCGTTTGCTGGTACATCTAATCCAAAGCACCAGGAGAGGAGGAGACACATTTCAAATCTGCTTCGTGTTCCCTCTCTGATGGGGCCCTGCTGACTGCTTCAGAGAACAGTGTGTTTAGATAGAAAGAAGGAATGGCTTTTAGGTCTGAATCTTCTTTCCTTTCCAATCACTCTAACCCAGCCAACAATAGTCCCAACTCGGATCACTTTGTTCCCAGAAAATGAAGAGAATGGGAAAGAGATTAGGTAGAAAGAAAACAACATGAAAAAACAGTTTCATGGTTAAGGACATAGGCTTTGTCAAAATGCAAAAACAAAATACCCTGGACTTGAGTATTAGTTCAGCTTTGGGTAACTCGTTTAACTTTTCTAAGCCTCAGTCTACTCATCTTTAAAATGGGAACAACACCCACTCATTCTAGTTGAGAAGATTAGATGAAATATTTCAGGCAAATCACTTAACCACAACATCAGCTGGCAGACTGTTAGCCACAAGGGTCGTTGCAATCTTCTTTTTTTTTTCCCTGAGACATGGTCTCACTCTGTCACCCAGGTTAGAATGCAGTGGCAAGAACACAACTCACTGCAGCCTCGAAATCCCAGGCTCAAGTCATCTTCCCACCTCAGCCTCTCCAGTGGTTGGGACCACAGTCAGGCACCACCACGTCCAACTAATTTTGTTGTTGTTGTTGTAGAGATGGGGTATCACCATGTTGCCCAGGCTGGTCTCAAACTCCTGGGCTCAAGTGATTCTCCCACCTTAGCCTCTCAAAGTGCTGGGATTACAAGCTAGAGCCACTGTGCCTTGGTCCACTGCCACCTTACTGACCACAATTATCATATGCCACCCCTTCTGCCTGCTAAAAAGTGTCAAAATAAAATCAGGCTTTGAAAACAGTGGTACGTTACTATCCTATCTCATTTTCACAAGTCCTGATTAAGCAATCAGAATGATTCAACACATTGGAGCCTAGATCACATTAATCAGAGTAATCTAGAGTCTGCCTTTCAACACGTGTAATTGAATCAGCTGCTCCCTGCACCCAGGCTGGGCCAGCAGGTAAGCAGGCAAACACATTCATCCTAAACAGCCTGGAAACTGGAGTAGCCTCATGCCCGCTTTGCACCCTCTGCCTCATGGGTCCTCATATCATTCAGGTAAGAGACAGTCAAGAACCAAGCGGGACATACATAATGACCCCAAAATCAATTTCCATAAAAACGCATCTCAATAGTACAAAAGAGAGGACCAAGGAAGTTATTGTAAGCAAGGACACACACAAAGGTCATCTATTCATGATAGAAAAATAATCAAAAATAATAAGTTTTTGAATAAATTGTGTGGCAGGAATAGAATAATCCTAAGTTGTCACCAAAACAGAGAAATATATAATTAACTTAGCAATCATTATTTCCCACATGTATGACTCATTTCCTAAGTTCTTTCATGTTGGTTTCCAATTGTCCCCCACAGATCACCTATTCTCCCCCATCCACTTTCTCTTTCCTCCTTTTTTCCTGTAACCCTTAGTATGACCTGACATCATATCCTAACATTTTTTTTTGTTGACTCACTGCCCCCATAAAATTATGAGTTCCAAGAAGGCAGGGATGTCAAGAGGCTGGGGAAATAGCTCATGAACAAGAAGAACTGTACCTGGCACATGGTAGAATTTCACGCAGTATTTGTTGAACGGGTAAAGTTAGCAAATTAGAAAATACAGATAAAGGAACATTATCCTTACCTCTTCCCACCACCACTATGAGATGATATCACCTGCAAATATCTGTCAGACATTTCTGTAAGTGTAACTACACTTAAGATAGTTTATGCAAAACAATTTTTAATATAGTATTATTTTTAGCCAAAATATCTAACTAGAAAGAAGTCCAAAAATACATGTACCAAAATGTTAACAACATCCCCAGGTAATCTCTGTGTAGTGTGATTACAGATGATTTTCTTTCTCAGGTTTATTGTATTTTTTCTATAATAAACATATATTAGTATTATACAATTTTTAAGTGTTTTCTTGACCCTATTTACAAAGTCTTATGAAGAATACAAATAAATAGGTAATCCTTGCTCTCAACAAGCTCCCAGTGTATTCAGAGAGATAAACCAAGGATTTTCCAAATCTAGGAGTTGGAAAGATCATTAACTGTCCTCTTATCCAACAGTCCAGCCAGTGCCAGAATCCTGTCTACAGTGCTGCCTGCAGGTGGTCACTATGTCTATGTGCTAAAAAGCTCGGCAACTCCTCAGACAGCCAAGCCTGCTCACTGTTGGATAGCTACTGGCATTTGCAAATTTTACCTTACATAGCAACTCTGAAATTGCCTCCTTGCAACTTGTCCCATTGGTCTAGTTCCACAAGTAGGATAAAATTAGCTCTCTTTTATACTCCAAACTCTCCAAGTAACTCACTCTATCAGTAAGATCCTTCCTAAATCATCAAACCTCCAGAACAATCCTTGATCGCCCAGGGGCCCCTAGGATGTCAATGTTCCTTTTGGTAAATGGTAGCCAGGACCAAGCACAGTACTCCAGATGAATTCTGCCTAGCTCATTCTTACGTGTCGATCACTTTACAAGAGTTTTCATAGAATTCTCACAGTAAACCGAGATAGGTGCTACAATGAACTCATTTCACAGATAAGGAAACTGAGGCACAGTCAGTTTTCTAGTACTTGAAACCACAAACTTCCAAGCTGACCTGTCACATTTACCACGGGTATCCAGGGTCACACATTTTGAGATCCCATATCTGGTGTGGGCTAAGGGAGAGAGCCTGAGGACTCAAGACTGCAGACTTGGATGGTGCTCAGCACCAGATGGTTTATAGCAGTGCTGCTCAAATTGGAAAGGCCATTGGTACCAGAGGGAGTTTCAGTGGGATCCCCATGCTTGCTCTGACAGTGCCTGGCACCAGAGGTAAGAAGCTCCCCTGTATAGGTAAAGGGCAGCCTGAACTCTGTAGCCAAAAAGGCGCTGTTCTACCCAAAAAGACCTTGTTCCTGCAAGTAAGCCATGAACCTACCAAAGCTGGTGCACCTCCTGCACCCCACCCCATCTGCCAACACTAGCCTGGCCAGGGCCTGTGAGTGTTTTGCAATCCCTTTGCCAAATCAAAGATGTCAGAATTGCAGATAAAAGCTACAACACAATGCAAGTCAACCACAGACCAGAATGAAATCTGGTGGTTTGAGTCTAGCTTGACAGCGCTCCAGCTCTTTTCCTGTAAGGAGCTGCTTCTCCCTCAAAAGCAGCCTGTCCTCCTACTTTGTCTCTAGAAACCACAACATACTAGTAATTCGGACAGGTATGCAACAGCTCAACATTATCTTAATATAAAAAGCCTCCCTGTTTCTTCCCCCTACCTACAAGAAACACCAACATTGTATCACATATTGTCTTGCCAGTTCTCTTACAAACTGACTTATTCCTTTTTTGTCCCCTTAATTTCATGGGCTAATTCTGAAATTAATAAAGTATGGCAGGGGTAGTGGCATTACTCGCTGCAGATGGGATAGCTAAGGACAATGCAAGGTCTCCTACATCGGCACTCACCTCTACCCTTCTGCCGTTACAGGGACTCTGTGACACCCTTGAAAGAGAAAGCAGCAGGAAGAATAAAGAGGAGGCCACCATGATGGGCTGATAAAAGAAACGTTTCCTTGGGGTTTACGTTTATTGGTTGTTTCTGACTTTCTCTAAATGGCAGGAGCACCCGACCCAATGGCACCGTCTTCCAACCTGTAACCACCCAAAAAATCCATATTAGGTTCCAGACCTAATGGTAATAGAAACAGCTTCATTGCTGAGGGAGGTGGGGAGCTTTTGGGTAATCACAAATAGCACACAGCTTCCCAGAAGTAAGACTTCTTTCATCATATATTTTTGGGAATGACACGGCTTTCTGCCCCCAAAACATACATTCATTTGCAAGCTAAATTTCTCCTGTGCTTATTAAGAGGGGTGGGAGGGGGCAGGGAATGAAGGCTGCATATTTTCCCAAGCTCATGAAGCCCAGCCTAATCATTACTTCAAACATGCCACAGCAAAAGAAGTGACATCTAATCCTGATTTTCTTGTCATGTCTACCATTCCCCCATCTCCTTGTAGACATAGCACTAGGATGCAAACAGAAAAATTCCCTAAAGCTGCCTTATTTTGTTTCCTGAAAGCAGAAAGGCAGTGAGCAAAGAAACTATGAAAGACTCCTAGGCTGTTTAGGAATGATACATTTCCAACCTAGATAAAAATATCAAAAGAAAATCTAAGTCTGGCAGTGACTAGAAATACTGACATTTTTACAATACAAAAACTAAAATTTACCCAAACTCTTAAAGTTAAGCCCCACTACTAAAGAAGTTTACACTGACCATCATTAGGCATGGGACCAAGTACAGCGGTAGAAAAAATGTTGAGTAAGCTTTTGCCTGATATCCAGATGGAGTGTCCTAAGAGTCCTGCATGAGCTACCCTGTGAGGTCAACATTCTGAAATGCTAATCTTGGAACAGCGTGGGTGATAATACAGTTTAAATGCAAACATCACTCTGAGATGGATAAACAGGACTATAAGATCCGAAGACTCTGAGTCTTCGTAATAGAGTTTAAATGCAAACATCACTTGAGATGGATAAACAGGACTATAAGATCCCAAGACTCTGTGAGTCTTCCCATTACCCTCAATACAGGGCATCATTTATTTAAAAAAAAAAAAAAAAACAACCAAAAAACCAAAAAAACAAAGCTTAGTTTTGGGCTCTCAGAAAAATATCACAAATTTGAAATGGGATGATTTTGCTCAGAGGTAAGGAGAACAGAGGCAAATTAGCACTAGCTGCCAAGCATATGATGAACTCTTAGACTGCAGGGACTCACCAGGGTATGCAGCAAGAGATAATGGGTTTACATTTCAGCATGAGGGATTCAGGCTTGCTCTAAATGTCTTTCCTGACAGTGAAGCTTGGTATGTCTTACAAGGTACAGCGATGGCTGTGGAATTACTCTCCCGGAAAACCTTTCCAGTCGGGGCGAGTCTCATCTCTCTGGGATAATGTGGGTGCAGCCCTGCCTGGGAGTTTGGTCGGCAGCCTCTCAAGATTCATTCCAGTCTGATGATTCTCTCACTTTACACCAATAGATGCGCTGTGGCAAAAAAGGTGAGTCAACACACACAGAACAATTATGGAGGGCATTTCTTTTCATGTGGCAAAGAAAAACAGTGGTTATTCCAAAGGAAGCACAGGAACCTCAAAGCTAGCTTTTTGTTTTATTTTCTTAAATCCTGGCAATTGTGACTCATAACACAGAGCAACATTTACAGAAGTGTGAAATTTGCGCACTTCATTCCCTGATGTGCTTCAGCCTGGGAGCTATGGCATTTACACACCTGCAGGGCTGAGGGCTACCCGGAAAAGTGACTTAAATAGAACTGGAAATTTATTTAAAGTGATTGATACATAAAGGAACAGCTTCCTCATCCCCAAAATAACAGGCTAGAGTGAAAAAGGGAAAGAGAATCACCACTTTAAATTTTAACTTCAACAGACTGAAACTCTCTAGACTTTTAAAACAATTTTTTTCTGGGGCAGAGAAACATGACCTACAACCACCACCTTCCCCTTTCAATAACCATTTTTATTTTATTTTTGAGACAGGGTCTCTCTGTCACCCACGCTGGAGTGCAGTGGCATCATCAAGGCTCACTGCAGCCTTGACCTTATAGGCTCAAGCAATTCTCTCACCTCAGCTTCCCAAGTAGCAGGGACTACAGGTGTGTGCCACCATGCCCGACTAATTTTTAAATTTTTGCAGAGTTAAGGTCTTGTTATGTTGCCCAGACTGGTCCTGAACTCCTAGGCTTAAGCAATCCTCCTACCACAGCCTCTCAAAGTGCTGGGATTACAGGTGTGACCCACTGCACCCAGTCAATACCATCCTTAAAAGAAACCAAAATTATTCAAAAATTGCCTGCAGTCTCAGGATTTTAAACATTAACAATTGAACCTATCTCATTTCAGATATCACATTTTTGGGAGGCAACAGTTGTATGTCCGTGAAGAAAAAGTGCAAACATGGCAAATCATTTCCTAGGGAAACACACAGGCTTTGAGTATCCTTATAAAGCAACAAAGTTATGCTGGATTTTCTTATATACCTAGTGCGATACTAAACCAAGGGCATGCCACAACAAGCCTATTTGGAGCTTTATATACACTGTACATGCTTGTGGAAACAAGGCAACTAGAGAGCCATAAAGAATTCATAACTTACATATGGAATATTAAAATTTTGATGAAAATGTGCCCTTTTCCAGATAAATGCCAGATGTTAAGAGTACTTTCATATCCATTCAGACAAGTGCTTTAACATGATTCAGTTCTTTGAAACTTTCTGAAGAAATATACTTGCACTTCTTTCCCCCATTACATTTATGGAGAAAGATTTTCACATACTTTTTATTAAAAACTTGACTAAGAAAAGATGAGCTGTGCTACATAAGTTAAATGATTTCCATAGAAATACATTATTAGAGTATACAAAAGGATAAATCTATGCCATGAAAGAATAATACAAAGCAGGCTCTTTCTATGGTGAGTTCAAATTCCAGAATATACCACAGGCACAAAACCCTTGTGGTTTACAGAATTCTGAATCTCGTAGTTTGAATAATGGGTGCAGGCCAAAGCAACTGTGCTTTTTTGCCATGTCTGTTTTTTTAATTAAGCCCTCCTAGTGGGTGGTGTTGGGGGGAAAACAGGGGCAACAGATCTGAGACAGGCAGCAGAGAACGGGGCAGGGGCAACAGACTAGTCCACAAGGCTAATTCTATATTACCCCTAAAGTCTATAAAGCACAAAGACTCTAAATTCAGGCTTGACTAGTAGCAAGCAATAGCTTAGGCAGGCATCAGCCCCCATGATATCCACCAACTCTCTTGCAGGCATCCAACAGACATAATCGGTGGATGTAAAGATTGTGTTAGCTAAGCAAACGGCTTTAAGACAAGCCCTCTGTGCCTCCCCATCACCAATCCCCAGCCCCAGAGCACCCTGAATGCCTCCCTTAAAGAAATCTTGAAACTCCCACCGTCCCAGACTCCCTGCCCTCTGTCCTAGGAAGACAGAAAGAAGGGACACTGATTTGCATTGCTCTTGCTGTTTTATAGGTAAGATGGGAGGAGAAAAAGGGGAAAAGAATCCAAAGAGTAGGGGGAAGAGGGAAATAGAATGGATAGGCTGTATACATGGAGATAACCATTAATTCTAAAGGAAGCCAAGAAACCCAGAAGGAGAAAGGAAAATAATAATAAGCAAATTAACATTATAGGTCTTTTTAAAAGTCTTTTTGAAAGACTTTCCTCTGCAGGACCATTCCTGCACCCAAATGTGTCAAAGCCTTAATCTTGCATAGTCTCCTGTAATGCCACCCCACACCCTATAACCAGCATGGACCAGCAAGGCCAAGCACACCAAGGAATGCTGATGTTTAGATAATTGGGTGGAGATGAGGTGTGCACTGAGAAACAAGTAAAGGTTGTTCTTGAAAAAATGTTCTCTCATTAAGACCCAGTCAAACTGCTCAGGTGTGGTGCCAAGGGGGTTAATGTACAAATTCAGAAGCTCTATATGGGGTCACATTCTGGCCATGGGGAGACACAAGGGTAGGTTTCTTAAAATGCATTGACTTGACCTCTTCCCCAAGAGCAGTCACCTTTTGAACTGCTGTGGGATGACCTGGGAAAAAAACAGAAAGCTCTGCAATCAGGCACTCTGTGTGAGTGTTTGTAGTCAACAATCAGAGGGCTGTCTAGAAAACAAAATGCCTCATTTCTTTAATAGTAGCTATTCAGGCAGCAAGAGGCAATTTAAAGACTGGCCAGCAAAGTGCACTGTTTGGGAGATCGGCATAAATGATAACATTTCTATTCTACTCCAGCTTTTATGCATTGCTCAACTTCACATTGCTTAAATAAAGTACTTCCTTCTGGGGATGGCAAGTACATGATACCTCAGCTACAGCTACTATGGTAGAATTAGATGGATATACCCCACACATCTAAGCTCCAATACAAAATTCTTAGGGATTTTTAGTAAGATGCACAAATGAGTATTTTTAAGCACAAAGTCATGGGCAGGTCTGGTCTTCATAGAAAGAAGCTTGACCATTGATGGTAGTGTCTTAATCTAAATTTCTTTTTTCTTCTTTACAGCACCTACTTCTTTTAAACAAGGACAGATGGAGCCATAGGGTGCTAACTGGTCCCTTTACTCCTTTCACTTTTTTGTCCTTTTCTTCAATGGACTTTACTTCTAATCCATGGCAGAATCATCCTCTCCTTGTAGAATTGGGCAATATACCATATTCCTACCTCCTTAGGCAAGAAGGGACATTTCCAAAATTTTCTGATAAACCACAACTGCATGAATGGTGAGAAGCTTGGATGCTTTTTATTTCTGTGGCGTCATTAAAGTCCCACAGTACCCAGCCTTTGCTATGCACACCCACCCATGTCCCTATCTGCTTGTGGGAAGCTAATATTTACTCTACCCACTTCCTAGGGATACCGGGGTCTCGGGGCATTCCTATAAGTGTTGTTTGTTAAAAGCACTACAAAAATGTTACAGTTCAAGGTAGTATTTACTGACTTTTATATATAACTCTCCTTACTGGTGTTCTTAAAATTCATCTCTAACATACTTTATTATGTTTGCCTCTGTTTACAAAATTTGACAAGAAGTTATAGACTTTTCGTGATGTGGTCAGTAGTTACAGTATAAGCAAGCAACTCATATGTTTTGCTCCCAGAAAAGAGCCCTTGGGAATACTTATCTCTAAGGGCAAGACTTGAAATCTGAGAGTCAGATCCAAATATTGCCAGATGGCTGGCAATACCTTTAAGCTGAAGAGTGGGTGTTTGGCTCCCACACTGGGCGTTCTGCATCCAGAACTGAGACTCTGTGGAAGCACCGAGTACATGCGTCCCTAAAGCTTTGGCTTCAGTGGCTCTCCTGAACCATTTCTGTTTGTCAAAGGCATGTGACCATGTCCTGGCAGTTCACTCAGATATCTGCCCTCCACACAAAAATTTGATCACAACTGCCTACATCCACAAGAAAGCTCCTGAGTCAAGTTTAGCAGAGTGCTATCACAGCATGGTGCAAGATAATTTCCCATCAGACAGGCAGCCATTCTCTTGAACCTAAAGACAAAAGGAGGAAGCATAGAAAATAGAGCTGTTTCATCACTTGGGTACTTATGAGTTTACATCTCTGCCCCAAAATGTATTAAGCTTCAGTCGGGCAATTACCTAACAAGGGCAAAAATGCACAGAGACAAGCAGAAGGCGGAAACCTCTTATTTTTTAATTTTTGAGACAGAGTGTCACTCTGTTGCCTAGGCTAGAGTGTAGTGCCACGACTCGGCTAACTGCGAACTCTGTCTCCTGGGTTCAAGCTATTCTGGTGCCTCAGCCTCCTGAGTAGCTAGGACTACAGGCATGCACTATTACACCTGGCTCATTTTTGTATTTTTAATAGAGACAGGGTTTCACCATGTTGCCCAGGCTGGTCTTGAACTCCTGGCCTCAAGTGATCAGCCCATCTTGGCCTTCTGAAATGCTGAGATTAGGGGCATGAGCCACCGCGCCTGGCCCTGGAAAGTGGAAACCTCTTTAACCCAGAACATCTAATTGGTGGCTCTGTGGCCTGTATCATTTCACAGGTGGTTACCGGGCAGCCTCCAAGAACGGAAGCAGCTGTGGCAAGGGAATTCTCCAGAATCTGTGAGGTTTCTAGCTACGAAGAGCTTCAGTGATATCTGCTTGTCACCAGCAAGTCCTGGAACTCATCAGTAACTGACCCTACTACATGAGCCCCTACATAAGGAAGGCTCTCCCTTCTCACCCTCATGATCCATCTCCCATGGTTCTTAGCAAACCATCAGTGCCATGTTTTGACCAAGAAAAAGTAAAATGGAAAGCTATCCAAATGTTGACTGACTTCAGGTACTATGGGAGCACTGAGGGGGAAAAGAACTGTTATGTAGGGGAAGGATTCTATATGAGAACAGGTAGGACCCTTTTCTCCAAATGTAGCAGTGGAAGAGAAAAGAGACACATACCAATGGACAGTTCATACCCAATAGACACAGTTCAGCTCACACAATCCAGGCACCTGACTTAATATTGATCAAGTCTCACTGGATCACTTAAGACAGGATTCAGAGGTGACAGCAATGTTTTTGTCTGTCTGAACACAAAACAACTCAAAAAAGGGTCTCAGGCATCAAACTCTCACCTCTTTAAGGTTATTTAACAGCCTAGGCAAAATTTTGGAGGTTAGAACAACTATTCAGCTGCTTTAGCACTTCATTTGCATAGAGAACAAGCTTCATTTTCCCTTCTCACTGTACTTGGTCAGCCTCAAGTTGCTATTTCCTATAGCTTTACAGCTGAAAACTCTACTCTGCCATGCACATCCTCTTCTTTTAAGTAACCTCGTTTGACTAAAAAGGCTTTGGGGAGGCAAATGTGAAATGTTCTTTCCCCACCTCTTACACACTTTGACATAACACAGAACAAATCAGGTGACGAGAAAGACTCCACCCATGGCCATCTGTCCATCTTAACACAATTACCTATGTGCTGGGCGTACCATAACTTAGCCAACAGCCAATTATAGAATGTGTAACCAATTTTCCTTGTTGTATATTGCTACAATGAAGAACCTTAGAACAAATTCGTGGAAATAGAGTTAATTATCTGGCCAAGGCTTCTGACTGTGAAATTGCCTTCTACCGAAAGCTATTGCAATATATATTTCTCCCAGCTGTATCTATTTCACTTTACTCCTAACATGTGTAGATATATCACATATTTTTTTTTTGCCAATTTGATTCCAAAATAGTCTTCATTTTCTTGATTATTTCAGGATAAACTTTTTGTCGTAAATCTACTGGACACATGAATTTGTTTTTTAATTGCCTGTTTATGTTCTTTGCCTGTTTTGATAGGATGATTTTTTAGAGTTTGATGTATATAACAGATATTAACTTTTCACCAGATACACTGCAAATACTCTTTCCCAGTGAACTGTTCGTCTTTTAATTTATATAGCATTTTATCACATCTGTATGTTTCATATTTTTATGTAGCTTCCATAAACCTTTTCCTTAACAGATCCTCTCTCTGATTTTTGTTTAGAAAGACATCCTCCACCCCACTCAGATTCCATAGCTACCAACATTTTCTTCAGTGTGGTTTTCTTTTATGTGGTCATTTTTTAAACCTTTTATTCATCTGGAATTTCATGGCATACATGAATTAGAAATCAACTTTGTACTTTTCATTTATTGTTTGTCCTATTACTACTGAATAATTATAGCTACATCTTTATGTTACTCTAAATGACAATATTATGTTTAATGTTGCATAGTGTAATATCTCCCCCTTTGTTTTATTAAAAATAATATTTTAGCTATTTGTTTATTCTTCCTGATAAATATAAGGTCACTGTAAAGATTTGTTTTGAAATCCCATGAGGCTCTGGATCACAACACCACTAAACTTCTATTCTCCCCCAATCAGTGTAATCATGTGCATGACTGAATCCCATCTAATAACATGAGCACTCCATTTATCAAATTGTATTTTTCTTTGCAGAGGCTCTCTTTAACCTAGACATAAATTCCTTGAGGACAAACTTTATTTCTGTTTTCTCAGTATATTCTATTCCTAGTAGCTAGTACAGTGTACTAGAATGAATGAAATCAAAGTGACCTAGAACATTTGTCTTTAACATCTTATTTAGTATTTCAAACCCCAATTAGCTAAAACAGCACCATAACCCTGAATGCACTTGGTGTGTGTAACTCAGCAAAGGTCTAAGTGCAGGGATTTACAGCCCACCACACCACTCTAACAGCATAACCAATTCCAAAGACAGAGACCTTTCTACATTACTGCAACAGCAACACAAAGGGGAAATGAACATGGAGGGTAACACTGGGTAGATTAAGATGAACCAAAATCAACAGAACTGGAACTCATGCTTGAGAACTACAGAAATGTGTCTAGAATGAGGTATATCACTGCCATGGTGAAGTAAAGAAGTCAGAACACTGCTTTAAAAAGTCCTAGACCCAATGCTAAGAGAGATTTAGGACATTGAGATAGCAAAGATCCAAGGTAGGGGTGGGTAGACACAGAAATATCCTAGGTAAAAAAGACCTGAATCAATGTTCCCAACCTGTCTTCTTCCTGGCTCCTTGGTAAAGGGACTCAGCTAACAAAAACCAATTCACTGGTGGAGGCTGGATGGAGTCATTGTGAATCGTACCTACACTGCTGGTATGGATCACCTGCACTGTTTGGCACCTAAGGAGCACCTCTTTTGATCTAATGATTTACTAGTTTTAAGATATATTTACAAAGATATTTATTATAGCAGTATAATAACAAAAACTAAACGAACACATTAATGCCCATCTACAGGAGAGTAAATAAATACACTGACATATCCATACTTTGCAGCTGTAAAAAAGAATGGTATATTGAAGACCTTGGAGAAAAAACCCACGACATATAGTTAAAAAATATTTTTTTTCTTAAGACTTTTTTTTTTTTTGAGGGTGTTTCTCTGTCATCCAGGTTAGAGTCCAATGGTCCAATCACAGCTCACTGCAGCTTCAAACTCCCAGGCTCAAGCAATACTAACTCAACCTCCCAAGCAAGCATCTGGGACTACAGGTGTGAGTTTTGTAGTTTTTGTAGAGATGAGGGTCTCCCTATGTTGTCCAGGCTGGTCTCAAACTCCTGGGCTCAGACGATCCTCCTGCCTTGTCCTCCCAAAGTGCTGGGATTACAGGAGTGAGCCAATATGCCCAGATGACAGATTTTTTTTTTAAATGTTAAGAAGAGAATTAACATAGTGTGATCTCATTTTTATGAGAAAATGTTCACCACATTTATAAATACTTGTGTATTTTATATGAGCTTAGATGGGTATTGAAGAATAAACACCAAATTGTTAATGCTGGTTAAGGAGGAAGACAGAAATTTAAGAGGAGAAGGGGCCTGAGTTAGCTCTTCCGTGATATACTTCTGTGTTGTTTGACTTGTTCTGGTGGCCATGTGTAGCTTTTGTGCTTTGAAAGGAGAGGCTAATAAGTTACTATTCTTGAAAATAAATAGACATGTCAATAAATTTTGAAAAATGGATATTAACAATGCAAATGTAAAAGTATCTCAGATGTAGAACAAACAAAATAATGAACCCCATTAGAACATACTTGAGATGGTCAAACTTTGATGACTTAAAGCTGGAAAGAGGTACTACAATTAGTTTTCCTTTGATTTCAGGGACGTATTTATTCTGCTTATCTTAAGACAGAACAGACCAAATGGTTTTGAAAGGTCCTAGATGGTTCTCAACATTTGGGTATATTCCAGGAAGACTAAGTTAATTTAGCTATTCACAGAGTGGCACATTTGACAGGGAAAATGCAAATTTGATCACTGTAGTTAGTGTTCAATTAGCCACTCAAACTGGACGGGGAGTAGTGACAGATAAATAGATATGATGCTAGGGATACTGCAATGTATTTCACTTTTGAAAGCCTTGTTTGACTTTCTCAGGAACCTATCTAGGAGGTCGTATGAAATTTGTATTAGATTGTAAATATTGTTTTGGTGTACCCCCAGGGGATTAAATAGCAACCACATAATATTCCTTATAATCTACTCTAAAATACATTCAATTTTAAGGAAGAGATATAGTCATCCCCAATCATCCCTAGAGTACTTTTCATGAATATTTTTCAACATGTGGGTCATGATCCATAAATGAGTCTGGAGACAAATTTAGTGTGTTGTGATCAGCATAGATCTAGATTAAAAAAAAAAAGTTTGAAAACTACTGCCTTAAATATTCCCTTCTTTTCTGCATCCTACCCCCTATGTACTGTACCAACCAGCAGGGAAAAAACACTTTCTCTCAAGTCTGGATAGGCATATCCTAGGCTGATTTTCAAGGAGCTGATTTTGTCATTAAGAAAAATGTTAAGTTTAAGTATACATTTGAAAATTCAGGAGCTAATTCTATTTTCTCTACTTCCCAGCAAGGCATTTGTTATAATGGGTAAATGGCTTTGCCTTAGGATTTCTTGCTGAGAAATAGCTCCTAAATGCCCATTTCTTGTACTGTATATTAAAACATGACATAAGAACAAGGGGGATCACAACAATAAGGTCATAAAGCTGCAATCAGGCCAGGCCCCTAAGGACTGTATTAACAGCCCAGCACTAGCAGTGGATGTACAGAGAGGAGCTGTGTGCACCCTGAGTACAACAGCTAGTAAACGTTTAATTGAAAAGTTATCTCTTGCAGCTGTGCTGCCAACACTCAGACATCTGAAGACAACTGTCAACAGAATTCTCAGGAAAAGACATCTACTATTGAAGCTCTAGCATGTTCCTCAACACACAGAGCAAGACACTGTTCTCAAAGTCCAACAGCTAAGGGTGACGGCTCCCTTGTGCTCCAGGCTTGTACCACCAGCTGCTGACCACACTGCTGCACCCAGAGGATGACACTTGATGTGGCCCAAACTCAACTTCCCTTCTTTCCCTGCAAACTAACCCACCCCGTACATCCAGCTTGCTAGGCAATTGAACTGTCACCCAGTTCAATTAAATGAACAAATATGGGCCATGAGCCAAGTTCTACAGGCCCATTTACCCAAACCAGAGACTTGGGTATCCTTTTTGAATTCTTCCTCCACGTCCCTCTTATCGATTTCTGTTGATCTTGCCTCACAAATCTTTCTGGAAACCATCCACTCCTCCCCATGCCAGCATCACCATTCTAGCTCAGGGTCCACTGCTTGTCTAGATTGCAGGAACAGTGTCTTCACTGGTTCCCTACATCTAGCCTTCTCTCTAAACTGTTCTCCAAAGGAAGCGTAGACACTCTGAGGTGCATGTCTGATGACATCATTTCTCTTGCTAAAAGAGAAATATAAACAATAACAACTCTTCAGTGGCTGCCCTTCGCCCTCAGGTAGGTCCAAATTCTTTTAAATGGACCTACCTGCTCCCACCCCCACACCATCTTCAGGTGGCCTCTGGAAAGACTTCTTGAGTCCTAGTGGACCCCTCTCCTATGTAGCCTCCTAGTTCCCATAAAGCTTCTAACACACTCTTTCGGTGGCCTTGTTTCTTTGGTCTCCTCTAGTAGTCTGTAAACTCCTTGAGGACTAGCATTTTGTCTGACTGGTTTCCAACAGCTAGCACTGTGCCTGGCACAAAGGAGGCACTGAATAACCACATGTTAAAGACTAACATTGACTAGTTCCTCTAACATGGGAACTATGATAAAAGCTAAACCAGGCGTTGGAGGTCATTGTGTGCCTTGTGCAATGACACAATGTGGACTTTCAGCAATGGTTAGGAAACCATCCCAACAAATCTCTCAGGTACATAACCATGGAAAATCTAGGGCTAGACAGTCCAATGACTTCAGTCACACAATCTGAAAACAAAAAGGAGCACTGAAATCAATGATATAAGTCTGCTTATGATGATAAACAATGTTAACATTAAGTACATTTTGCCATTAAAGCCATTTCACATAAAGACATTATACCAAAAAACAAAATTGTTATAGCAATTAGATTTCTTCATGATCCTTTCCATTTTTTAAAATCCATGTTTGCATTTTTCTTTAAAAAGCTGTAATCCTAACATACATATATGGCGAATTTTGTGTTATTTTCTATAGGTTTTCTCAAGTGGGTACACAGTCTTCATATTTGTAGTTTTAATGCCTGAGTAAATGCCATCAAGTTAATGTATCATACTTAATCATATTTAGGTAGTTTCTAATCTTTACTAATTTAAAATAATGCTGTAACAAACATAAAATGATTTCCTTCTTTTCGAATTACGAAAGAATTTTTTCTCCTTATCTTAGAAGACTATTTCACTATGTTAAACCTGCAAGAACACATACTTGGAACACCATCTGCAAAACAATACCCAAAACAGTGGGTAATGTAAGAATGGACCAAAACAGGGCTTGCAAATCAGAACACATGCAGGAAAGTGGGGTATGAGTGGCAGCGGAAGGGAAGAGAAGCTGCAGAAATGGTATTTAGAATGCGTTCCTGAATGACACGGGAGGAGCATTTCTGGAGTCACTCTTGTCACTTAGACAGTTAACAAAGACACTACCTGCAGCAGTCCCTGTTATGGAACCAGATAAGGCAGTGGCGAGTGGACCATCTCAGTAGCTCTGAGCATGCAGCAGCTTTCCTAGCAAGGTGGCTAGGGGTCAGATTTAGACATAAAGTGTAGATGGCATTAGTGCAGCAAAGGATTCTGGCCTGTTTCCAGTAGTTGAGGTACTAGAAAACAAGAGAAAGAGCAAACAAGGGTAGATGGGGGATTGCCAGGGCAGAAGATTTATTTATGAGGGATATATTGGGAAGGGTTAGCCAGAGAAATAATAGAATCCCAACCCACTCTGCCTATGACAAGTGGCCACTCAACCACATTTCCTCCTCACCCCCAAGTCTGGCCCTTGCAGAGATAGCTAAACTTCTGCCAACAACCGGATTCCTTTCTATAATTAAATTTAATTCAGCACTCATGTAAATATTATTTCTCACACTACTGTCTTCTATCACTGTTGCGTTAACCTCAACAATTTTACCATTCCACTTCCACTGTCAAAGAATAATAAAATCCTCAAAAATACCCACTCTTAATTAACATGTTCTATTTTCTTTTCCTCCTATCCTACCCTCCTGCCTTCTACCAGAAGGCAAAGGGGATCTAAAGTCTTCCTGCAAACACAGAGCTGTGGTCTCTTGTGATTACAGTCCCATTTCTATCTCTCTCATTTATCTTATCAAAAAAAATCTTATAATATTTACACATACTCTAAGAAGCCAGGTAACTGTTAAGACTTAAATTCAGCAGAGCTTAAACAAAAGAAGAGCAAAAATGATCCAGAAGTCATAATTTACTGTTAAAATGCTACTATCTCATGTACCATCCCCCATACCACACTCTTCCATGTCTCATTCAATACCTTACAGAGACCCTTTAAGAACACAGGCTGTGCTTTCAGGAATAACTGACATCCCTGTAAATCCATGTAATGTTCAGAATATAAAGCCAGTGCTCTCTGCTGTCCATATAGCACCATTAATCTTATGAACAGTACCACAGAACACCCTCCCCCAGCCCCCTCCATCTGCTTTAAGTAGGGCAAGTGTTTTACTCATGTTAATGGTTCTGACAGATGAGGATCAACACTGCTTTAATCCATTTGCAGCCTAGCACAGGGAACATTTGTCTTCTCAAATGCTGTTAGGGGCAAGTACACTGGCTGTTAGTAACAGGAGAAGTACTTCAGGCAGTGCTCAGTACTCTGAAGTGACTGGCTCTGCTTTCCTCATAGAGGGAATGCAAAGGAAATTCTTCCCAAAATGGGTTCAAGATGTTCTGGCTGCCATTGTGGTTGTGTGTTGATCCTTTAAAAACAGCAGATAGTAGAATTTTATTAAACTAAGACACACTGAATCAATTTCTATTGATTTCTTTTAAAATGCCAGTGTATCTTCTCATTTACCAATTAATAACATGCAAGTTCTAGAAAAGACAAAAATGAATGCAGTTGAATTTTTCAAAAGGATTTTGCTGTAAAATGCAACAGCCCAATTAGGAACCACACACATTTTGCAATGATATACCTAGCACCAATTTATAACACACACAGGGAACATTAGAGCCAAGGCCTGCCGTGTTTACAAGAGCATGGGCCTTAGATACAGGCACACACCTGTGTCCAAATTTCAGCTTCACCATCTTTTGTCTTCTCAACCAGCTGCTATGGGTATTGCAGGAATCCCTGGTCAAGAGACATACATACCTAAACATATACATACCTACATCTTGGTTCTGAATTACCTGAAGATGTAGCTTCAGACGATGTGCTAAATATGCCCTAGAGATTTCTATTCTCACCCCAGAAGTACAAAGAGGATTTCCATGGAGAATGAATACAGTGGCCCGACAGCCTCCTCCCCCGATTTTAGGAAGGGGTCGCCTGCCTGGTCTCCATGAGAAGTACTTCTTTATCAGCATCTGGACTTCACGGGCCCATCTCTACTACTTATCGTCACGTGTTTTTTTATTTGCCATGTTCTCATTTCTACTCCCTTTGTTTTATTGCTATTTCTTCTTCAATTCCACCCTGTCTCCCGTGCTTCCAATTTATAATAATAATCTTATACATTTCAAGACTTCAGTACAGTGCTTCCAGCTCAGAAATCTAATGAAGAAAAACAAATATGGCATGACTCAGATTTATGGAATATATTGTATAGAGAACCCACCAGAAAAACCCACTTGTTACCCCTTATAGGCAGGATTACTGATTTCTTCCTTCTGCCCCTCCTAGGCTTTCAATGCTGTTCAGGGTGCCTCGATGAGATGAGAATAGATGGACAGGAGACTATTCTTCTAGTTTGGGGGCTCTTTCTTCTTCAACTTCTGGGTAAAAGCATGGCCCAAGATTGACCACTTAACAAAAATGCTTACTGACATGAGAGAAGTTTATGTTATAATGCCAGCCATTTTCTGGTAAGCCATTTTTGCCCAAGAAGAGTATACATTTATGTATATGTTAGATCTCAGCAGTATAAAAGAGATCAATTTTTCCTCTATACAACAGAGAATATTAAAACATTAATGGCATGTCTATCTGGATGTGGGATTTAAGGTAATTTTTATTTTAATATTTTTCTGACTTTCTACATTTTATATAATAGTTAACAATTACATTTTAATCAGAAAAACAAAATAATTACGTAAAGTTACTTACGTCCTTCTAACTCCATTCAGCACCCTACTTTGAAAGTCATCATTTATGTCTTTACAGTTTAATCTAAAATCATCCAAAAGTCAACTCTAATTTTGAAGAATCAAAAGATTCCAACCTCCCAACTTGATTAAATTAGATCAATGTTGCAATGCCCTAAAAACCTATATTCTTATATTGAGACCAACACATCTCTATGTGAACGATGACACTTATTAAAGATAACCTAGTCTAAACTCCCAGAAACAGGCAATTTAGACTATTCCTAAACATGAATTTTGATGGGAAGCTTTGATTTTCAAAAAGGAGTTTTCCTCATTCTGCTGCTTACAGAAAGCCTGGATGTGCACAGGCCTCTTTAAGACCATTATCAGGCAAATTTTAGACCACCACTATCGGTCAGAACACCATTACCAGCCTTGAAATGTACTGATTAGAATTTAGAAAAGGATTCTGAAGAGATTCACTTTTACTGGGACTCAAAGAAATTTGGCTAGGCTGTTTTATTGTTTATAATCATAGAGGTAAATATTTAGGAAAATAGAAGACAACATGTTATGAACTCCAAAGAGTTATCTAAATGAGTAGGATCCAACAAAAGTACCTTGCCATCTATAACTGTAGAATACTATACAAAGGAGAGATAATGCACAATAATCTTAGCTACCTTCTGACTGTGCACCTGCTGTCAGAAAAGTGGGGTCAAATCTGACTCTGCTTCTCTGGGTTTGTTTTCTCAGCTACAGGATGAGGTAACTAGTCCCCAGAGAGGAATAAGCGAGATGTGTAAGAACAAATGAAAATATAACAAAAGGCAAACCTCAAACCAAAATGAAGATCATCTGCCTGGAGAGTTCCCTTCTTCACATATAAAACTCACAATTACAAAACCAAAAATAGAAAAAAAGAAAGAAAACAAGCTCTCAGACACTGTGCTGAAGTATGAGTGAGTCTCCTTACCTGTGACTGCAGCTCACTGTAAATTCTGAGGCCCAGGGGGGTTTTAACAGTTGCCACGCAGATATGTTGCTCTCCAAGGACCCCATTCCCTATCAGGTGCATTATCTGCTCATCAGCATCACTTGTTCCTTCCCACAGCTGAGCCAGGCCCTGATGTGCTAACATGGAGGAGAGGTGTCATGCTCCCTCTGTCAGCTCGGTGGGTTTAGCTGGAAGCATCCTGTGTGTAAGGTAAAGCCACAACTCTCTTCTTCACCAGAGTTGTTCCTTACCTGTCAATTTTGTTTCTATTTAAGGGTGATTTCACCCCCACCAATGAAATGCTTTTAAGGGGGTTTTTATAGTAGAGAAGGGACTGAACTGCATTTACACACATTATACAGATTCTCTTCATTCAGTTAGTATTTACCGGATGGCCTCTGCAGCTTGGTATCTGTTCTTCCATCACTACAGTCAAGCCAGACCCAGTGTTCTAATGTGGTTAAGTGGGCACATACCCTTTTTCCTCAGACCACACTAACAAGATGGTAAGTGACTCACTCAAAACACACATATTGGGTATCTACTATGCACCAGGCATTCTGTTAGGTATGGGAGTAAAAGATTAAGATATTCTCCTAACTTCAAAAGGCAAGACTTTCAGGAGGCTGAGGTAGGAGAATAGCTTGAACCTGGGAGGCGGAGGTTGCACTGAGCCAATATCGTACCACTGCACTCTAGCCTGACAACAGAGCCATCCTCTATCTCAAAGAAAAAAAAAAGAGCAAGCCTTCAAAAGCTACATGAAGATACTCACAGGGAAATATTAATGCACTTGATACTTCCTTTCACATACAACATATGTCACAGTGAGTTTTGCATTTACATGCCAGTCTTCATACCTGTTGGTGAACTTCTATATTTATCTACTTCCGGTGCCTCGCACAAGGCCTGGCACACAGGGGCACTCAATGCATGCGCATCCAATGAGGAACTGACAATCCAGATGGCGGGAAGGTATAAACACCCAATAGCCACGCTGTCACAGGAGGCTTGTGACGAGGCCATAGTGAAGGTCTCAGTAATGTGCCACAGACAGCACAGGAGAGTTCAGTGCAGTTCCCATTTGAGATAATTCAGGAAGATTTTCTTGGAGAGAAGGCATTTGAGCTAAGTTTGGGAGAAGGATTTCAACAGGGAGGAAGAATGAGAGCTGGGGAGGGTGTCCAGGTGGGCAGAGCACCTTAAATGGAAACATGATAGGATTTATACCAGGTCCGTGGCTGCCAGATGATACGCCTCACGCAGTGGGGGCTCCAGATCTCTCAGCGGCCCCATCTGCTCCTCAGTGTAATTGATTTAAAAGGTCAGCTCCCTTATACTCCTAAGACAAGAGCTCTGATTCACACCAGAGAGGTCTGGAAAATCTAAGCTGTGTGTGCGTGTGTGTTTGTGTGTGGAGGGGAAGGAGACAGAGAAATGTCTTTTAATAAGCTTCTCTAAATTTTAGCTTTTTCAATATGTGCAACTTAATTCAAATCTATCTTTTCTTCCTTCAGGTACCAGGTCAGAGAAAATTTGTCAGACTCCTCTTAAAAACATTCTTTCTTGTCTCAGAAGAAAGGAGTGTGGATTGGTATTATGGCCTCTAATGGAAACATGGTGACAAAGTCAGCTACCTCCCTCCCCCAAACATCCCCCTCCCAAGGGTTTTGGTTCCAAATAAGCCTGGAAGGGGACATTCATTGGCTGCATCAAATTACAATCCCCCCTCAGCTGCATTAATTGGAATACTGTATCTAGCACACAGCAGGATGAGAGTCTCATACGCAGAGAGAGTTGGGCATCTGGAGAAGTGTGCAGACCCAAACAGCCCATCTCAAGAGCACCAGGGGCAAATGGGACCAGTCCAGAGGGATGGGAACTAGCTGGAAAACATGACTAGCAGGGGCAAATGGTCAGAATTCTCTAGGTTCTGTCTGAAGCAAGACTTGTGGGGAGAAAGGGGGCCAAAGGAATAGAGGGCTGACACCCATTAGCCCTTTCCACATGACTGCTGCTCTCCTCCCTCCTCTGCCCGCCCCCACCCATCTTCACAATTCCCCATGCAATTTTTCGGTTGTGCAAACTGAAGCCCAAAGAGCTTAGAGGATCCAAAATCACAATGCTGGTAAGTAAAATGAAATGTCTGATGCCAAAATCAATTTTTATTCCCCTCTAAAGCTCATTAGGGGAGACAGCTGGCATTTAATTTTTAAAGTGATCTCAAAAGAACTGTAATCTCTTAACATTAGAATTTGCTCTTATAAGATTGTTTTCCCACTTATTAGCACCATGCATTTGTTGAGACGGATTTGGATAATATCGATATTCTGACAGAACATAATGGGATAACTCAGGTCCTTAACCCAAAGCTCTGTTTCTATTTAAGATAGTCTAAAAGAGCTACATCAGCATCTGATTCTTTGCCACCTACCCTCCCTGAAACTCAACTGGTTTTCCATATGCTAAGCATAACTTATTTTTTCTGGTTTGGATGGGTTAGAAAGATGCTGGAAGAAAAATTAGACCAACTTGTAAAACTTTACTTTGCTGATCTATGGAATAGCACACTTTTCCCACATAGCAATTTAGTTTCTTTCTTCGTTTTTTGTTTTTTTTTTTTTTTTTTGGAGACAGAGTCTTGTTCTGGTGCTCAGTGCTGAGATCATGGCTCACTGCAGTCTCCTGGGATCAAGCAATCCTCCTGCCTCAGCCTCTCAAAGTGCTAGGATTATAGGTGTGCACAACCACGCCCAGCTTATAGCAGTTTGGTTTCTATAACCCTATAGGAACAGAGGTCAACAAGGATTATTTTTATTAAAAATATCAAAAGAAGAGATGGACAGGTATAAGTAAAGTGGTTAAGTCTGAAACTGTAGAACATAGAACTTCTGGGTAAAATCCTTAGAGTCCACTGATGGAGGTATGTTAGAAGGCTAACAGCTTCAACTTCGCATCTCCAATTCTATAATTACCAACTGAAATAGATGGGCAAACCACCTTAACTTTGTATAAAGTACTCATGACACACACTGTGCAGTGGGAGAAGTAAAGAAAATGTTAGCCTGAGAGTAACTTTGTATTTGTCTACAAACCCAAATCTTATCTCCTCCACCTTTTAACTGAAAGGGTCAAGAGAGAAAAGGCTGCAAAGGCACCAGGGAAGCTGGGGAAATCCTGAAGGATAATGAACAACCACACCACGTTAGGCCACTCCACGTGGAGACAGCCTCTGCACGATGGTTCAAACATCAACTTAATGAAGAGAGAGTGGGCATAAGGGGTTGAATTCATCCAACTTTGGATCCTGACTATCTAAGCTGTCTCTAACATGAGGTCCCAATTCTCTAGTAATCAGAGGGGTTGAGAGGGTGAGGAAGGAGAGTTGTAAATGGGAGTGGACTTACTTTATGCAGTCAAATCTTAACAAGACACAAGCCCTAGAGGAAACAACTCTATGGACCTGAAAACTGCAAACACACACACACACACCATACAAATTGTTCTGACCAGCAAAGAAGGCATGAACACTTGACTTCCTAACAAGGGTCCACAGGCAGAGACCATCTATCTTGTTTGAAATTCTTAAAATCCTGGTTACATGATTCTAAAATTCCTGGACACATGATGTCCCAACCAACAGGAGATTAGAAGTAGCAGATTGAAAGGCTAGAGAAAGCTACACAGATATCAGCAAGAACTGACAGCTGACAAAAAGGTAAGAAAGAGAATCATTATTCTCAAAAGTGAGCATATTTTAAAACTCAGCAGTCTAGGAGCATTGAGAGGAACTAACAGCTTTACAAACTTCAACCTCTCTTGAGTCATTGCCATCCCCAGGCATGTGAAAAATAATTACAAGTGTAGGAAAGAAATACAGCATAGTAGCATAACATATTAAAGAGATTTAGGAATTCTAGTTCACACTAAATTCATTGAGAATGAAGCGTGCTGTAGCATGACACTCTGCAATCTTAGGGTATAGTAACAGAGGCCATATAAGGAAATGAATGAGGAGGTCACCCCTCCTTCAGTAAGTTGAATTCTGGATTCCTTAATTTGAGAAGAAAGAGCAATTAAGTGTATATTCAGATGAGAGCCACCAAGACCCTGAGGAGATCTGAAAACAAGGACTGTATGATTTTTTTTTAAGTGCAATGACAGTGGCATTGAGGGGCAACAATGCATAAACCTAGTTTGTGGGACTGACTGAGAGCTGCTGCTGAGGCAGCATAGAGGTCCCTGGGATTTCCGGGGTATTAACATGCCTGTGCGGCAATGGATCCTTGCAACTACTACAGGTGATCTGACCATATCTACACAGTATCCCTGGCTCAGTCTTTCAGCCCTGCTTCTCACACAGGGAAATCCAGAGCGTGGGTGGCAGGGGACGTGCCAGCAGGAACTTGAAAACACAGTAAGTGCAGCTCCAGGGGCTATAGACACATTTTGTTTGATTTGCAGTCTCCCTTACACCCCCTCATTTGGGCCTGTTTTAAATATGAATGGGTTTGATATAAAAATGTGTTTCTGAATTTCCCAAGGCCCGCAGCAGCCATGGCGACAATGAACTAGAAATGCGGTCAGCCTCCCTGTTTGGCTACTGCCTTCCAAAATTAACACCACTTATTTTTCAACAAAAACAAATCAAACCTCCTAGTCTACTTCATCTATTTAACCTGCCCTGCCTGGCACTTGAGTGTGTAAAGCCTGCCCTACAGCAGCACTTGATGTAAATGCAACTTAAAATATTTTTATATTTAAGATCAACACATATATTAGAGAATAAAGCAAAACACATACTAGAGAAAACATCTACCTATTAGCCCTGGGATGTCGAAAAAGCTTCAAGCCTATGTACCTTTTCAAGGGTCACCATGGGCACTTTGCTTACTGAGGGGTAGAAGTTTCCTATCTTGCTTTATTTCAGAGCAGTGGTTCTCAACCACATGCAAGTTTGTTCCCAAAGGACATTTGGGAACAATGTCTGCAGACATTTCTGGTTTTCACAACCGGGGGAGGATAGGGGGAGCTACTAGCATCTACTGGGTAGAGCCCAGGGATACTGCTAAACATCCTACAATAAACAGGACAGCCCCCACAACAATAATTATCTGGCAGAAATCCTACTTTAGCAGAAATCCTACTTTAGGAAAGTTTTCAGGAAGTGCTGGCCTATAAGATACAGGATACTTTGAGGCTCCTCAACATCTGCCCCAACCAAACCATTCCAAACTCATTTAAACTTTCACCTCCTATAGTTTATCCTCCACTCCTCATATGCCCCATCACTACTAGCAGTTTTTTTCAACTTTCACCTCCCAGGTTCAAGCAAGTTCAAGCAATTCTTGTGCCCCAGCCTCCTGAGCAGTTGGGATTACAAGCATGCGCCACCATGCCCAGCTCATTTTTGCATTTTTCGTAGAGATCGGGTTTTGCCATGTTGGCCAGGCTCATTTTGAATTCTTGGCCTCAAGCAATCCGCCTGCCTCGGCTTCCCAAAGTGCTGGGATTACAAGTGTGAGCCACAGCACCCGGCCTCCTCTGTTTCCTTTTAAGAAGATGAGGCTAAAAGCACTGTCAACTCACTGGGTTGTTCTGAGGATCAGAGGAACCCAGGATATTTCAGGGCTTAGTCAAGAGTTTTCCATGTTCTGGGGCTCCCAAACTTACCCTAGAAAAGAAAGCTGTAATAAAACATACTGTGAAACCCCGTCTCTACTAAAAATACAAAAAATTAGCCGGGCGTGGTGGTGGGTGCCTGTAGTCCCAGCTACTTGGGAGGCTGAGGCGAGAGAATGGCGTGAACCCAGGAGGCGGAGCTTGCAGTGAGCCCAGATCGCGCCACTGCACTCCGGCCTGGGCGACTGAGTGAGACTCCAACTCAAAAAAAAAAAAAAAAAGAAAGAAAGAAAACATACCAACAAAAGCAAACACATGCACCTGTGACCAAAATAGAACATCAAAGACTCTCTCACATCACAAATGTGAGCCATACTTTAGACAGAACCCACGTTACAAACAAGGTCCCTTACAGTTCTAGTGCATGCTCAGAACAAATTGAGGGGCAAAGACCTAACAAGAGGGGCATCAACAAATCTGGTATGTGGCCCTGCTCAAGCATGATCCTGTTATCATTCTAGAAAGGGGAAAGCAGAAGTAAACCAAGCCATAAATGAGCCTCTCTCACTCCCGGGGTTTTTGAAAAGGGGATGTAAAAGAGGCCATGTATTATTTACAGCCGAGGAAGCAAGGACCTCAGATGGTACTGAAACAACGAATATAGCCTATATCAATGCCAGCTTGTCCACATTACATGCAAGCCTTGTGGTTGTCTCTGGATGCCCCATTGTCTATTACAAATTCATCACAACCATGATTGGATACTGTCAAGCTTCACAAAAAGACAAGAGCCAGCTGTCAAACTAAATTCTTCTCATTGTTTACCAAAAGGAGGCAAAAAAGATTCTAATTATTCTAGCCCCACGAAACAGGTAAATAAGAAACACAGAGTCACATGTTCTGCCATAGAACAACTCACAGTTAGAATTTATTCTGCTTCCAAGGACAGCCACAGTGACTGCAGGGGTATGGCTGCAAAGTTCATATTATTTAATAAGCAAATTGGATCAAGAGGCTGAAGGCTTTATGTTTTCATATTTATTAAGTAAAGATGTATTCAAAACACAAAAGCAGAAAGGGGAAGGGAAAATCATGGTTGAGGGCACACATGCTTTTCAGAGGAGTATGGTATAAAGAGACCAGCCCACATCTAACCTGAATGTCACCTGTGATGTAGTATGCACACATCACCCTGTTTAATCATGATGTAGGCCTTTAAAGTAGATGCTGTTGATTCTTCTCATCTTACAAGTGTGATATAACTGAGTCTCAGAGGAAGAATAATGTGCCCAGGGCCACACAGCTGGTCAGTGGCAGAGCCAGGAATTGAGGTGTCTACCTGACTCCACAGTTTTTAATTTAGATAAACTCTAAGCTTATCTAACTACAAAAACAGAGCAAAGAGTATTAGGAAGCCAGTATTAGCTAACATAAATGAGAAATGGATACTAAGCAAGAGAAAGTAAATGTGAGAAGGGGAACCCTTGTTACTCTGTGAGACACAGCTGACCTTGGTGCAGCAAGTTTTCTGAATGCAAAGCCCAGAGACAGCTTCACCTTGGAGGAGTGAGGCCGTCTACCAAGCCCTGTGAAAAGGAGCACCTGAACAGAACCGAGACAACCTCAGACTTGCTTCAAGCCCGTGTTCACAAAATAATCCAATGGGTGCACTGAGCCCAGTGACAGCGGCTGCCCTCACCTTGCCCTACATGTCCTCTTTGGAAGAGCTGGCATCTTATATCACAACTCGACAGTCAGCTGCCCCTTAAACAGTGAGACTCTCAGTTATGGCTCTGGGGGAAGGACTTACTACAGACCATCTCCATAGTTTCATAGGTCAGAAGAAAGCACCTTTGAAGTGTTAGCCCAATTTTACAGTTAAACAGAAGAGAATGCTGCTTGAAGGATCAGATGATCAAAGCAGAGATTGACCATGCTGGTCTGCAAAAGTATGCCCTTTAGGTGTAAGCCCATTTTACAGGTAGCAAAACTGAGTCCGAGAATTTAACTGGATAGGCCATCCAGGTTCACTATGACTTGCTTAAAAGCAGTGTTGGACTCAGGTGACTCTAAGCCTCACAGTCTATCACTAGGTTGCACTATCTTACCCCTTTATAGTCACACGATACAGAATAAATAAAAGTGAATCAACTGAGCGGATCAAAATAAAAACAGAAGTAAATCACTTGAGCAAGCAGGAGGCTGGCTCCAAGTGCTCAGAGTCTAGTGGAATCACTGTTTAACCTTTGAAAAAGGAAGTAGGTTAAATTTAAGGACATGGATGGATACTACCAAACTTAAATTAAATAGGCAAGTTCACTCACTTTTAATTAGCCACAATCTTAATTAAGCAGCCACCTATAAAAAGCCCAGTAACCACCATTACCAGTGAAGCTATATAACATTCCTGCAGGAGAAGATCCAGGCTTGGCTCTTGGATGTAGGTTATCTAGAGAGCCTCATTAGTCCACTGAGATCCCACTGGCTAATGGACCACTCAGGGGCCTGTGTCCGCCTGAAGTACCCAGCCTCAGTCTCAGCCTAGCCACCTGCAGCCCAACACCCCTCAACCTACAGTCTTCTGTTAGCATCTGATTAGGTGTTAAGGTGTCTATAAGGTCCCCTTATTTCCTGCCTGGGCAGCTGCTATAACAGTCTTGGCCAAACTGCAGTTGTAAAGTGAACTAAGTCCATAGCTAATAGGTCAGGTGATAAGATGTGAGAGAACTAGCTGTCTTTTGCTTGTGTTCACAGCCTGCTCTAAACTGGTAGGGCTCTAACAAGCCACTTGATCTATTTCCCCAAGGAACTAAAAGGTCTACCGGAAAGGATGATAACAACAAATAGGGGTGGCAGGCAATCGCGCTTCCCTAGATCCAGGCTCTCTGGCCTACATAGCAAAGGCAAAATCACATGCGGAAGGAGGGGCTATAAGGATTCTCCAAGTGTTAGGAAGCTTTAAATGATGCACACCAAAGGAGGAGCTTAAAATACCAAGGAGAAAGTCTCCAGATTAAAACAAAGAAAAGCCCTAATTCTAAGGGGGAAAACTTGTTCCTGAATCACAGCTAAAGAATGTAGAGCTATTCAGTATTAGTGTCCCTTCTGCTGAAAAAACCAAACAGACAAAACAACTACAAAACTTAGAATGGGGTGGGGTGAAGAGCAGGAGCTAGCACAACAATACAGAGATATCCGAATGGTTTCAGAATCTGAGCATGTCGAGCTGCAAAAAGGTGGTGCCAGGAGAACCCAGGGCAGGGGCAAGAGGAAGTGTATGAAACATCCTCTGAGTGGATTCCCTTACTGGGTGTGGGGAACAAGGGATTGTCTAAATCTAAGAGGCAGAGAAAAATAAATGTCTCTCAAGTTTACCATCTCTTGAACACAGCCCCATTACCATGTGCATGGCCATCTGCAGGACCAAGGCAAGTACTCTGAAGTGGGCAAGGAAGATGGAGTGGAGGGCAGAGCATGGTGCCTGGCACGAAGCAGGCATGACCCTGATAGCTGGATCTCAGCAGCAGGCTGGAAGGGCCCATCCTCTCTGGATTATATAGATGACTTAAAATGAACAGAAATCATCAAATCCAAAAACGATAATCACCTCCTTTTAGCATTCTCCATTACATTCAAGTTCTCAAGCATCACCGAGCAGAAGGTAGGAGGCTGCTTACCTGCCTTTGCTCCTGGTCTCTTCCCATCCAATGTTAGAAGTGGGAAAGGCTGGTCTCCCCCATCTGCCTCCGCACCAGTACTCCACATTTTTCTGACCCTTCTTCTTCTTCTTGGGTTTGTGAGCCTGGGCTTTCCTTCTGTCATTCTCTTCTTCTATCTCTTCATAGGAATAAGAGGAGGTCCCCTCACTTTTTAACATCTCTCCTTCTGGCCACAGCCTAACCAGGAACATCGTTGGTCATTGTGGGGAAACTGGCCCTGGAGGCCCATCCTAGGCATGGCCCTACCGAATCCAGAGGGCAGGCACCTAGAAGCCTTCCTGCTGGGCCATGTTCCTTTAGACAGGTGGAAGCCCTCAGCTGAGCAAAGGGGAGAAACAGGAGTGCAAGGGAACTGAAGATGATAATCATGGGGCTCTCTGACCTCACAGTGATGCAGGCAGAGGTTTCCTCGCCACATCTCCGTACATCAGAGAACAGAAGGAAGCCAGGTCATGGGGCTGAGGATGGGCGACTTGATTTTTAAGACAGCAGGATGCAACAGTTTCTTTTTTCTAGGACAGTTAAAATGACGCAATTGATTATAGAACAGCGATGAGAAAGAGCAGCCCCCAGTGGGCCACCACTCCCCATGAAGGCCAAAGGCTTTAACACCTTGATTTAGGTGTAGTGTCAAGTTGTTGTTTTTCTCTCTTCTATGGGACAATGTTGGACTTTAACTGATTCAACAGAAAATTCTCAAGAATGTCTGCATGTGCTAAGTACTGTACAAGCCCTGGATAAGTTAGGTTACCACCATGCACACCTACCTGCTGGATGCCTAGATTTCTTTATGACGTATGCAAGACAGATTCAGTCATTTGTCAAATATGACCATTTTTTGTTTTCCCCCCACTACAGAACTAGAAGATGATGTTTATGTCACTTTTTGAGCTTAGATCTCATTCCAGTGTGCTGGGGCTAGTGCCACATGCCCCTTCCTTCACCATGGCACCCACCCACCAGGCTCTAAGGAAGCACCCACACCTGAGAGTAACCAAAGACAATACCTGAAATGTTTTGGTAAGGCCAAGCTATTAGATCAAGGTCACCCTTTGAAAACACCTTTGAGATGTGCAGTCTAGAAGGCTTTCCCTTCAGAAAAGAACATTCTCTGGACAACCTTGTTGTCAACGTTGATAAACTGTGAAACACAAGGCACTGTTCTTTCACTAAGAAATTTTCCCTCTTCTCAACATGGGATTACATATTGTCTGTAGGAAATTTGTGAGTTAAAAAAGCATATGCAGAAAATAGCACCTATACCCCCTACCTTTTTATAATTAGCATATGTCTTCGTGTGTACTTGTATATGTGGATTAAAGACACACATGCATGGGCTTTGGATCGGGTGTGCCAGAAAGAATCCTAGCTCTGAAACTAACAGTGTGATGTGCAATTTAACAAGCTTCACAGTTCGCTTATTATTAAAATGGGAGTTACACCTCCTTTTCCATAAGTTTGTAAGGACTAAGAGATGATACATGCAAAGCACACAACACAGTCCAAACAAGGAAGAACCTGCTAAGCCTCCTTATACCTCCTTCTCCATAGGTTTATCAACTAAGAGATGACACATGCAAAGCATACAACACAGTTCAAACAAGGAAGAACCTACTAAGTAGTAGATGTCAGTATGAAAGTTTTTCCATTAGGCCTTGGGATTGTTTTCTATGGCTGCTGTAACAAATACATGAACTTAGTGGCTTAAACCAACACATGTTTATTGTCTACAGCTCTGGAAGTCAGAAGTCTAAAACCATTTCGTTAGGCCTAAATCAAGGTGTTATCAGGGCCAGGCTTCCCCGGAAGGCTCTGGGGTAGAATTTATTTCCTCAGCTCTTCCTATTCTAGCTTCTGGTAGCTGCCAGCATTCCTTGGCTCGTGGCCCCTTCATATTCAAGGCCAGCAGCACAGAATCTTCCAGTCTCTCTCAGACTCTGACTCTTTGCTTCCGTTATGACATCTTTTTCTTCTGACTCTCATTTTCCTCCCTCCCTCTTATGAAGACCCTTTTGATTACACTGGGCCTACCTGGATAATACAGGATAACAGCCTCATCTCAAGATTCTTAATCGCATATGCAAAGATCCTTTTACCATGTAAGGTAAAATATTCAGTAATTCTGGGGATTAGGACATGGACCTCTTGGGGTGGGGGTGGGCAGGCATTCAACCCAACAGATGTTCTTATTATATTAAGCTATTTGAGAATGGTAACATGGGGTTGTTGGAAATATTTTCTCCTGTTTGTCTACATTCTTTCCATAAAAGTAACATGTTTGTTGTCAAATCCTCTTATCTACACTTTTGTCATTTCTCCCACTAACGTTAAGCCTAGGAATTCTCTCCGTATCTTGTCAGGATAGTGTTTGTGTATGCGTGGGTGTGGGTGTATGTACTTCACTCATTGTTACAAATTCAAACGATAGAGAAATACATAAAGTAGGAATAAAATTTGTTCCCCACCTCCAATTCTGTTTCTCCTAGGAAACCGCTTCATAGCCTGGGATCCACTCATCCAGAGTTTATGCTATTCATTCACACACTGCACTTCCATTTGTTTATGGGGTCAATTTGTACACCTAAGTCTATAGTCCAGCTGGGATTTACTTTAGTGAATGCTACATATACACCTAGGAATTCCTCCTCTCATTTGTTTTTTTTCTAAGGAATGATTAACTGAAGCACAATTTGGGTAATAGTTGTTATTTTTCTATGAAAGTGTATTTTGTGACCTATTCCTGTTTTTGTCCAGTACCACACCTGGGGATCATCTACCTGCCAGTTCTACCTCATGTTTACAGGTACCACTATTCACATGGTGGCAGCTGCACAAACTGAAGAAACAGCACTTGGGAAAAATTACGCAGGCTCCAGAGGACTCCTATAGATCTAAGCTTATAAAGTAACATAAACATCATCGTCTAGTCCTGTGATTGGCGGAAAACAAAAAATGGTCATATCTGACAAATTACTGAATCTGTCTTGGATATGTCATAAAGAAATCCAGGCATCCAGCAGGGGGACATGGTGATAACCTAACTTATCCAGGGCTTGTACAATACTTAGTACATGCAAAACACTCTTGAGAAACGTCTGTTGAATCAGTTAAAGTCCAACATTGCCCCATAGAAGAGAGAAAAACAACAACTTGACACTACTCAAAAGGCCTCCTGGTCTGCGTGGGGGCTCACTCCCTGAATACCGACAATTTAGGAGGCCCAGGCAGGAGGACTGCCTTAAGTCAGGAGTTCAATATCAGCCTGGGCAACAAAGTAAGAATCTGTCTGTACAAAAAAATAAAAACTAACCGAGCATGCATGTGTGTAGTCCCAGCTACTCGGAAAGCTGATGCAAGAGGATCACTTGAGCCCAAGAGTTGGAGGCTGCAGCGAACCAAGATTACATCACTGCACTTCATCCTGGGCGACAAAGGAAGACCCTGCCTCAAAAAAGAAAAGAAGAAAGAGGAAGAAAAAGAAGAAAGGGGAAGGGAAAGGGAAAGGGGAAGAGAAGAGGCCTCCTGATTCCCTATGATGAGTGATGAATGCTGCTCCGTAGAAAGATTTTGGCAATCTTGAATTCCTTCATCTATATATAGTCATTCCTCGAGGACTCATTGTGAAAATGAATCTAGATGTAGTGTACAAAGCAAACGCAATAAACCAAGGCCAAAATAGCCATAAAATCAAAAAGAGAACATGGCCCCCACAGCAGGCCTCACTTCTGTTGTCAGTGACAACATCACAGCCAGGCTGGTGGTTCCACTGTTGGGAGCAGTGATGTTTAACTCTGAATAGAACCAGGCTGCCCCAGAAGCATCCATGCCCATTTCAGATAGTGATTGTGCCCTAGGCTTTCCCAGTGCACAGTGTGGACTAAATATACCAAAGCGTTTGTTGAAGGGAACAGTAAAGGAAGCCAGCTCCAAGACCACACACAGATCACACTTGGTGTGAAGACAGCAATGGACCTCGTGAGGGGGTCGATCAATATCCATGCTGCAACAGCAGCATTCTCAACAGTGTGTGCTCGGAAGGGGTGACCAGTGTTCCTTAATGGCACCCAGCATCGGGAATGTAGAACCTCTACCAGCACATACAGGCAGAAAGCAAATTATAACAACCAGGACACAGTGAGTTTCACTAATAGAATTAGACCTACAATTTGGTCTCAACCAGATACAAACTGTCTGCTTAGGTCTGGTGTAATTTACAACAGCCTCAAACATGTTTCTCATCTCTTCGTATGACAGGCAGGTTAAACTTTCTCAGTGTCGCCACTCCCCTTTAATGCATTTCCAATTGCATGTGAAATTTATCACCCATCTGTGGGCTCTGGGCCTCCTGAGATCACCAGGACTCTGCAAACTGACACAGCCATGGGCCTGAGAAAGAAAGGTAATCTTAAGCACCCTTAGAAGAAATGGGCTGGAAGAAAAAGCCAGATGGAGGGTGCAGAGGACATCCTGGCAAACAGGTCAGTAAGCCATCTCTGGCTCTGGGATGTTTGCTAACAGTTGAAGATATTTTCACTTCTCAAACTCCTTTGACCACAATATTCCCCTTCTCAAAAATCTTTGGTGGCAGTGCCCTTCTGCCTGTGTTCCAAATACCACCATCTGGCTTTCAGGGTCTCTCATCTGGCGCCTCCTCTCTCTCAGCTCCCTCTACTCTTCTACATGTGGGTCATGGTGGTCAAGTCACAGCTGGCTTCTTTTGCATCTGTCACCCCCTCAGGGAGAAGGATGTTTTCTCTTCCAACTACTGAAATCCTACCATCCTTAAAGAGCTAGTGCCAAATGACCTCATGCATGAAACCCCACAGGCAGCTCAGGCAGCAGTAGACTTCATTCTTTTCGATTGTTTACTTGTGCCTCGGTTGGCACATAGTGTCTTTCACTGGAGTCATGCTGGGAGTCACTTCTATTGGTGATATACCTATGGGTGAGATACCGTAAGTAATGGGAAATATCTTCATTCCCATCTCCCTTGCTTGTGCCAACACCTAGTGCTGGGTTTTAGAAGCATTGCTGGATGGATGAATGACCCTCTTTCCTGACATCAGGCTCTCATGACCTGGGTCACAGTCAGGTGCCCAGGAGGTTAGCAGGTGAGCCCTGATGGAAGTGGGTGAAGTGAGCAAGAGGGAGCAGTAGGGCCCATAGCAACCTGGAGAGGTCATGTCTCATTTACTACCAGGCATCTGCTTCTCAACTCCAGCATTTGTTGCTAGGTGGGAATATGGGCCCCATGTTGCTAGATACTATGATTTTGTAAGAAAATCCAGAAATAGGGATTTTTAAGTGAAATATTTTGATGTATAAGGGCTACTTACCAATGTTAATTTAAAAAATACTCGGTCGGGCGCAGTGGCTCACGCCTATAATCCCAGCACTTTGGGAGGCCAAGGTGGGAGATAATGAGGTCAGGAGATCGAGACCATCCTGGCTAACACGGTGAAACCCCATCTCTATTAAAAATACAAAAAATTAGCCGAGCGTGGTGGCACATGCCTGTAATCCCAGCTACTCAGGAGGCTGAGGCAGGAGAATCGCTTGAACTGGGGAGGCAGAGGTTTCAGTGAGCCAAGATCACTCCAGCTTGGGTGACAGAACAAGACTCTATCTCAAAAATCAATCAATCAATCTGTGGGCAAACAGAAGCACGTCTGCAGGTTCTGGCTGAGTTTGGGCCCTGTGATCTGGAACCTCCACTAATGGTCTTTGGAACAATTAATTAAGGGTGCCATCCTACATGTAACATTGAAATAAAAGATGCAGTGTCTGCCCTCATGGAGCTTAAAACCTGGTTCTGGAAATGTAAGATGTATACATGGAAATCTGAGCAAGAAACGGTGGCATATGTTGATATTGTGGAATTAGGACTTCAGACTTTTTGGAGCCAGGGAGCTGTGGTGGGCTGGGGGGTCCGCTCCACTGTCACGGGCTTCTTTCTTAAATACGTTCTGGGTCGATGGGGAGATGTTGGTCAAAGGAGATATAATTACAATTCAAAAGGGGGAATTTTTTTTTCCTAAACCAGTTTTCAGACCCCCAATTTTTTTTTAAGCCCAAATAGGCAAACAAAGAGAGAGGAGATAGGTGACTGCTTGGGCTAGGGGAGAGGATAGGTAGGTAGCGGGGAAAGAAGTGAAGAATGGCTACCTATGGTTATGGGGTTTCTTTTTTAGGCAGTGAAAAGGCTGTTTGTGGTGATGGACACACAACTCTGAACACACTAAAAACCACTGGATTGTACATTTGAAGAGGGTGAATTGTATGATATGTGAATTATATCTCAAAGCTGTTGAAATCATAAAGTAAAATAAGCTCCCTAGCACACAGGAAGCCTGATGACAGCCAATCTCTTTAATTTTCACCTCCCACTATTTCTTGGGTCGTGGGAGGCCAAAACAACAACTACTGATGGCATCAAATATTGAAAACTTACTATGTAGGGGGCCCTATGTATTAAGCACTTTATTCCATTCAAACCTCACAGCAACCCCACATGGGTGAATTACTATCCTCACTTTATAGTTGAGAAGAAAAGGAGGCAGGGCATAAGTAATCTGCTCAAGGTCACAGGGGAACTGTGAAGCCAGGACTTGAGCCCAAGGTGGCCAACTCCAGAGCCTGTGCTCTGTGCACCAGGCTATGCTGCGTTCCGTAAACCCAGGCAGGAGAGGCGGAGGAAAGCACAGAGGTGACACTCGTGTCATGTGACTACAAGAGTGAAAGTGTGTCTGATAAGCATCTCAGTCCAGCTAAGTGCAAGCTATGGAATGGTGCAGATTAGAAAGGGGGTAAGAACTGGTGGCCAGCCACGCTGTGAGCCTATATAATTCAGTTAACAGGAAAGCTGGTGCACTGCAGGCCTTCTTTGTCATACTATGTATAAGTCTAGCATAAAGCAAGTCTCGTGCCACATACAGAAATGGTATCACCCATATAAGGCAGTTCAGCTTGTTCATGTCTTTGGTGGTGTCATTATTTGAGATTAAAGGGTTTTGGTATCTTCTTTCTGAGCTACTTGATAGCAGGGGCTGTCATTTGAGTCCTTCTTCCCCTACCACCTCAGCACCTAACACCTAGCAGGTGTTCAAGTATTTTAAAGTAAATGAGCCTGGGATAACTTATGTATTTCAAGAGAGAAGGCAGGAACTAAATAATATCTAACCTTTTAGAAATGTACAGATGTGGGGCCAGGCATGGTGGCACACACCTGTAATCCCAGCACTTTGGGAGGTTGAGGCAGGAGAATGGCTGGAGCCCAGGAGTTCGAGACAAGCCTGGGTAACATAGTGAGACTCTGTCCCTACAAATAATTAAAAAAAAAAAAAAAATAGCCGGGCATGATGGCCTGCACCTGTGGTCCCAGCTACTCGGCAGGTTGAGGCAGGAGGATCTCTTGAGCCTGGGAGGTTGAGGCTGTAGAGAGCAGTGATCATGGGCCACTGCACTCCAGCCTGGGTGACACAGCAACACCCCCACCTCAAAAAAAAAAAAAAAAGAATTAACAGACAGTATAGATGTAACAAAACTACCTCTGAGGAACACAACAAACAGCTGGCACAAGATTCAGGAGAGAGGCTGGGCTGGGTTGGGAGGCGGGACCACGTAGGCTGAGGTGCATGCAGTGACCTTCAAGTTTCTGAGTTGGGGGTGGGCTCACAAGGGTTGGATGTTATATAGAAATGAAATCAATAGGCCAGGGGCAGTGGCTCAAGTCTGTAATCTCAGCACTTTGGGAGGCCGAGGTGGGCGGATCACCTGGGTAAAACCCCATGTCTACTAAAAATACAAAAATTAGCCAGGCATGGTGGTGTGCACCTGTAGTCCCAGCTACTCTGGAGGCTGAGGCAGGAGAATTGCTTGAACCTGGGAGGTGGAGGTTGCAGTGAGCCAAGATTGCACCACTGCACTCCATCCAGCCTAGGTGACAGAGCGAGACTCCGTCTCCAAAGAAAAAAAAAGAAAGAAATGAAATCAATAGAAGAGCATCCTGCAAGGACAGGTGTTAAGTGTGAACCAAGGACCATGACTAATCTAGTGCCGTGTTATCTGAGGTCCGAGTGTAAATAATATATAAAACCACAAGACACACAGAACAGGAGTAAGGCCCTCTTTGTGGGACCAATAATAGAAACCACATGTAGTAAGCTAAATTGCCAAATCTAAAAACAATGTGGGTAGTTTATATAAGGGGTCCTGAACCTGGAGTCCACTTACTTTGAATAGACAAGATGTGCTAATCCCTGAAACTGGACACAAAATTGTATGAGTGTATTTTTTCTGGGAGGAAAGTTTGCTGCTTCCAGATTCTCAAAAGGATTATCTAAAAAGAGTTAAAATTAGGGTTGGAGAGTGAAAGAATCTGAAGCAGCAGCATTGCAGCAGACACTGTGTGCCATGGGCCATAGAATAAAGTCTCAGGATGCTCTGGTAGAATGGTGAATGGGGTGAAGGCAGTTGGATTGCATCACCACGTGAATGAGATCATTATTCCCCAATGACTGCCAGCTTGCTGAAGTAAATGAGGCCAAGGAGAGAGAACAATGCAACAGACCACCAAGGCTAATACCATCCTCTCCTCTCCATGCCTGACTTTCACAGGAATGAGTGACACCACTCCAAACATCCTGAACTTTCTGAAGACAACCCTGAAACCCAAGGGGGATATTTTTCTGGCTTCTTCCCGGTGAAGGCTATTGATTTTGAAAGATAAAAGTGGCCAAGCAACACATATGGGTATCTGAAACAGAATTTTTATTTTTAGGAACCGTGTGTGAGACACTAGAATGATGGCTCCTAGCTGGGGAGAAAGGGCATTTCATGAGCACAGGTGGAAAGAGTTTTGCCATGGATGAAGTGACAAGGTAAGTTTTAATGTGGAATTTGGAAAGTGGAGGAAGACACGTAAAATTTATATCCTAGCTACAGTGGAAGACAGTAAATATGACAGGTTACCACAGAAGGAAGGGATTTCAAACCTAATAGGAAAAAATAAAAGGGAGCTGGAATCTCATTATAAATGCATGGTCTGTGAGTAGTAAACATCATGAATTTGAAATTATAAAGGAAAAGTGATCTCATGCAAATATAGCAACAGGCAGGTACAGTTTGTTCAATGAAAGCCATTCAGATGGAGGGCTCAGGACAGCAGCTCTGTGGGTCAAGATGACTTGACAGTGAACCACGAGTTGCTGTGAGGATACATCACTGCCTGCCTGCTGATCCCCTTCCTGTTAGAAAGCACAAGACTATACAAGAAACAGTGGTGGTAGGGGTTCCTTCTAACACCAAGACTATCTGGTTCAACTTAAAAAAACATTCTCCCATATTGAACTTCCCTGTTCCACTTAGTTAGGCTAGACCTCAGGTCTGCACAGCAGACTGAGCTGACACAGGAAGCCCCTTCTCCACTGAGAAACATATGGAAATGTCGGATACAACTTAAGTTAAAAAGCAAACAAAGAAAAGCCTAGCCAACCTTATAAGCAAAAGGATCTATCCCCAGAAATAAAGAGAAATTTCAAAGAGCAAATAGGGGGATTTGAAACCAGATGGTGCCCAGGTGGCTACCTAGGTGAGGCCAGCAGTGAGGCCTGAAGACACCTCATCTTGCAGGAAACTGGTGCTGTGCCAGAAGCAAGGAAGGGATTTCGTTAGGCAAAAAATCTTTCAATGCATTTGGCTTTTCTTGAACACTAACTTGACCATGTAGTAGATAAAGGGTTAACATTCTGCCATAGGTGATCTGCAGGTTATTTGGAGTATGATGGATGGAGACCAAACAGTTAAATTCTTATATGGAACCCCTTACACAGGGGGAAAAAGCCTCGGATGTATCCATCTATATGCTTGGAACTGGAAATAAGAAACTACTGGCCTGGCTGGGCACAGGGGCTCAGGCCTGCAATCCCAGCACTTTGGGAGGCCGAGATGGGAGGATCACCTGAGGTCGGGAATTTGGGACCAGTCTGACCAACACGGAGAAACCCCATCTCTACTAAAAATACAAAATTAGCTAGGTGTGGTGGCACGTGCCTGTAAATCCCAGCTACTCGGGAGGCTGAAGCAGGAGAATTGCTTGAACCCAGGAGGCAGAGGTTGCAGTGAGCTGAGATTACGCCATTGCACTCCAGCCTGGGCGACAAGAGCAAAACGCCATCTCCAAAAAAAAAAAAAAAAAACAAAGAAGAAACTACTGGCCCACAGCAGTGTGGTATCCCACCCTCCATAAATCTAGGGCCCCAAGTCAGATGAAGTCCTAATCCATGGCTCCTTCTTGGTGACTTTAAAAACCCAAGAACCAACTAGCTTTTGCTTTTCTCCCCAGCTATAGGTTTTGCTTAACATATTTCTTGCATTTCAGAGTCAATGCTTTTGACATCCTCATTTTCCAAACTTTTATGAAAACTTGAAAGAAATATTAAAAATATGCTCTAGATTTTATGTCAAGCCTTGATTTTTAGGTGCTCCTATAACTTCAAAGTAATTTAATTATGCAGGAAGGTTGGTTTAGTAAAGGTTCATTAATGCCCAAGACAACATGCCTTTCTCCTTAAAGGGGAAAAGTCTTATTCTGCTAGAGGGCTAGATTAAAATCAAGCAAGTTTTTACACTTAAGCTAATTGAGACCAGGGGAGCCAGGAATGAAGTGGTTTCCTGTCCCGCCATCCAAGTAACACGCTGTCAGGCAGGCTACACTCACTCCAGCCAATAAAGGGGCAACGGCAGCAAGGAACGACCCCACAACCCCATTTTCATCGCTCCTCTTTCCCTCCCAGTTTTTACTGGCTGCCAGCACAACCCAGTCAACAGCAAGCTTTCCTTTACCACACAGGCTTTCCTCCTTCCCTGAACCTGCTCAACCCCAGCCTCCATTACAAATTTCCCCATTAACCGAAGCCACCAAAATCTGCTGTCTGCCTTCCTTGCCTTAGACACTTCTGAATGAATTGTGATTAACTGATTCAATGTTCAGTTTTGCAAAAGGGGGAAAAAAAAAAAGGAAGGATGGGGAAGAAGCTCAAAACAAATAAAGCAATCCCGGGGTTGTGCTGGAGTGCACACGGAGCTTCTATAGGAAATGACTTTTTACTAGTCCCTTAAAAAACTTGCTTAGGCCAAGCAGCCACTCTTTATCTAGATTTGCCAAAATCTGTTCTCCAGGACTGATAACCTACACTGGGGTAGCTCCGACACTGGGTTTACTTTGAAAGATTTTCTCCAGTTACCGCCAGCTGCCTATCTGTTTCGACAATACGTACATAGTTAGCCTACAGGATCATCACTGTCATTCTTTTGGACATGTTCATTTATTAGCAGTCATTCAGATACGCCGACAGTGTATTTGCAGGGGACACAAAAACACACACGCTTATACACACATGGTATGTTAGATGTTTAAGACTGGGAAAAAACTTAAGTCAAACAACACATAATTAGCCTCTGCTTGCAGAGATGAGACAGTTTATCAGACTTTATGACTTCTGTTCCCATTCCCCAGCTCCCCCATATACCTTCTACTTTCCCCTCAGCCCCAATGCAGATGAAAGTTTGCCCTTTATTTAAAAAAAAAAAAAAAAACTTTTTCTAGGGGTATAGAAGCTTCAGACTTTTGAACTTTATGGCGTCCGTGTTAGAAGAGTGACTTGACATATTCTCAACCCTGTTTTTCATCAACAATGCCTGCTCACTGCCAAGTTTAGATGTGACTTTAAATTGCACCCAATCCGGCAAAATAATATTTCACTGCTGGCTACCAGTAAAGCGCATACAATTTTCCCTTTCAGAACTTCTGAGCCACCAAGCCAGGAAATCTTTTGGTGACCACTCCCCTTCCCATTTGTAGAGAGAAGCCAATACTCAGGACCAGGGGCTGGACTTGGGGAATACAAGGGTTCCTGCATTTCAGCCAGGGCTCCCTCTTGCCCCACCGGGAAACTACCCAGGGGCCTGAACCTGCAAGAGGTAGACAGGCACTGTGAGCTGGGCCAGTTGCCCCGCTTGTGCTCCTACCTTGACATGTGCTCTGGTCCTCCTTGCCCAAGAGGTGTGGGGATGGGTGTGGTGGAGGCACAGTCCGGGGTTGGTCTCGCCTGCCGCACGCCTGTTCAGTAGCCTTTTAATGAACTCAGTGACTCAGCGCTGTCCCTCCCCCACCGGCCTCGGATCTCATTCCTCTCAATCGCACTGATGCCCATGTGACAGCACGTTGTCTCCACCGAGACTAATCCCTTATCAATAAGAGCTTTCAGCACGGCCCAGACCAGATTACTCTGTCTCACAACCACTTTGCTGACCTGCCCGGGGGGCCACCGAATACTCCCCGAGCGCATACTATTTACAGAAGAGTCAAGATAAGCCGGATCACTTGGCGTGATTATTTCGCTTCCAAAGTTTGTGGCTTTAACAAAGCAAACCCACATTCAACCACTCAACCAGGCGCCGTGCAAGCCACCAGAATGAAAAAAAACAACGCTGGATCTTACACACATGCAGTAATCAAAATATTACAAATAAAGGCTACATGTGAAATGATAGGTTAAGATGCGCTCTAGACACCAGATGTATGGAGTTTGCTATTAGATTTCTTTGCCATAGATCCAGCGCAAGGCAACATGGCATTTCATTGTCAGATTAATGTGGACATAATAATTTATAAGAAGGCTTTAAAAAAAGTCACCAAGATTGGTCCTTAACTTTGCCCATTCAGATTCTTAAGAGCAAACCAAATTTGAGGAGAGATGCCGGACGCCAAACTGAGTACAGGCTCAATATCCCCTATTTTCCGTCCTTCCTTTTCCGGCAATTTTTATCCCACTCATCTCTATCCACAGCCTTTCTGGGCAGCTGAGATGAATAAGAGGAATGAGTATAAAGCCTACAAACACGGTCAAGGAGATGACTGGGAGTAACTACATCTGTGCCTAGAGAATGGTCTTGACGGTTTGCAAGAACCGTTTCATCAGCATTATGGGCAAGAACAAGAAGGCCAAGGCATACTTAAAATCATCACAAAGCCTCTTTCTAGCACTAAATGTGAAGTAATGAAGCCATCACACAGCAGATGAAGGCCTTTGCACACAAAGCTCTCTTCCTCAGAAAAGCTCTATTGATTGATCTTGAAATACAGATTTTTAGTTCTAAAACTGTGTGGATAGCTAGTTAAAATTCACTCTCTTTCCCTCCGAAATGCATTAAAATTCTAAAACATGCACCAAATTCTAAAAATTAAGAATTCTAAAATTCTAAAATATACACCAAATAAAATTTATTTTTAGTATTAAAATACCTGATGCTCATTTCATCAAGTCTCTGTTCTCTCGTCTCTGTTCAACGCAGTTAGGCAGATCTGAGGGTGCTGCGGAGAGTATCTGAGGAGAAATGCCAGGCAGAGAGCGAGCAGGCCCTGAGCTGCAGAGACAATGCTCCAGGCAGAAAACCATGGCTGGCAGGAAACCAGGAGAAATTGTGCAAGCGAAGAGCCATTCCAAAGCTGTTCTCTGTCCCACGGTTATGATCACAGGGGAGGGTAATTGCATCTACTTCTGATCATATTACCTTTTGCCATTTGTCAGATAGCAGACCTCAAATTCAAGGTGGATTAGTCTGGAAAACTAAACAATCAGTTTTGAAGTCTTACTTTTATATCCATCCACTGATCAATGCAAATATGAATAGTACAGAAAACAGTCAAACACCTAATGAAAAGTGGAACCCTGCAGTAACTCCCCCGTATTCAACAGATGACAGGGCTAATGCAGGGAGTTTGGGGCTATGGACTGGTTTTATAGCCAAAGCCACAGATAATTCCATCACCAAAGACTGCTTCCTACTTTTGGTGAAGGAAGCAGGTAATTTACATGCCAGTCTCAGTTTTTTCCTCCTTTCTCTCTCCCTCACCCCCTGCCTTACTGGTATTTTTCTCTATGAGTTCCCTTGATGTATTTTGTGTTGGAGGACCCAGCCTGCAGCTTTCACAGGAAGGGCTGATGCAGTGAGAAGAGCAGGATCTAAGAATCAGAGGAGGTGGGTTTGAGATCTAGAATAAACAGTTAAAGGCCTAGAGGCAAGGAGCTTCACTTTTGAGCCTTAATTTCCTCAGCTTTAATGAGAACACTACCTGCCCTGCTTGCTTACTAAACAGGACTGACCTGGTGGTCAGGTATGGAATGTGGGCTTGTATCATAGAGAAGGTGGACAAAACAGGATGGAGAAAACAAAGTCTGAGCCCCTGCTCTGCCATGTCCCTTGTGGGGCTTCCCTTCCTCTTCTAGGCTGCATTTGTAAAATCTGCTCTGTGTATCTACCAGGGTCAACAGGAAACTTAAGCAATGCATTTGAAGATAAATATTACAAAACTGACGATGCTATCAGAGGGCATGTTCTTACCAGTCTGTCCAAAGACTATGTTTTAAAAGCATGAATAGCTCTAAAGTTGAAAGAAAGTCTTAAAGAGTATTTTTATATTACACTATAGAAAAATATCTTATTTGCTTTAAATAACGGGAATCTAAGTTTCAAGTCAGCAGATTAGAGGTGAGCGGGTAGCGAAACCATGAGGGGTGGCATGGGTAGATAGAGCATTCTCCCAAGTAAGATGACTGAAGCCAGAGCTGATGGGGCTAACAATGACGTTCAGTCAACGCAGTGCATAGACCAGCTTTGGAGGCCAGGGCATTTCTATAGAAGGCTCCTGAAGCCATGCCACAGAGATGGGTCCTTTCCTGTTGCTTCACTGCCTAGCCCCTTTGTGAGCATGGTGAGAAGCCTGAAGGTGGCAGCAAGCACTGTGTGCTGGCATCTGCAGTGAGCAGTGACAGCTACACCACTGGACAACTCAATCCTGCAGGACTGCTCCAAGACTGAAGTTCAGAATGACAGGTCACTACGGCTTGCAGTCATTGACTCCCAACACCTCATTTTACATACAGGAAAACTGAGGCCTGGCAGCAAGGTGGAGGCACTTTCCCAAGAAAGGCAGCATCCAAGCTTTACTGAGTGCCCTGGTCCTCGGATGCCCCACCCAGTGTATACTCACTACCTTGGGATGTTTCCCCCTAACTGGAATCCTATTGTTCACCCATTTGCTCATATGTGTAATATATACCATAGAACCTTAAAAATTATCTTTGACAATTTTCTCCTCTTGGCTTTATAAAAATCTGTCCTTTCCTTATGCAAATTATTTTCCAAATATTTAAATTTTTCGGGCCGGGCCCAGTAGCTCACGCCTATAATCCCAGCACTTTGGGAGGCTGAGGCAGGCCTCCCACTTGAGGCCAGAAGTTCAAGACCAGCCTGGGCAACATAACAAAACCCTATCTCTACTAAAAAAATTAGCCAGGCATGGTGGTTCATGCCTGTAATCCCAGCTACTTGGGATGCTGAGGCACAAGAATCCCTTGAACCTGGGAGGCAGAGATTGCAGTGAGCTAAGATTGCACCACTGCATTCCAGCCTGTGCGACAGAGCGAGACTGTCTCAAAAAAATAAATAAAAATAAAATTTTCAGGCACTTTGAGGAACCCTAGTCTTGAATCATCTTGTACTTAAAAAGTAAGTAAATTAGGTAATTTATTTTGTGAATCCTTCGTAATATTTGTATAACCCCTTACAGTTTTCGTAAGCTTTCCCTCATTTGATCATGACAATAGCTCTGTGATGTAAGCAAGACAGGGGTCATTACCCTTAATTTTGGTGGTATTACAGAGCGATGAAATGATTCATCTAGCACCAGAACTAAAGTAGAACCCAGTTCTTCCCAACACTATCTTGGTCCTCCTTACTCCATTAATTCAAATGAGAGCCTTTGTGTAGTGGGCACTGTAGTTGGAACCAAGGGGGCAAAGATACGTAAAACAGAGTTCAGTTTTTTCCAAAGAGCTGGCATCTAGGAGACACACATACACACAAAAAGGTTACACATGAATTTGGGGGTTAGAGACTTTGGAATCAGACAGATTCGTATTTGAGACCAGACCTCACTGTTTACTAGTTATGCAACGGTGGGCAAATCATTCTGCCCCTTTAAACCACAGTGGTCTTACCTCACAGGATTGTCAGGAGAATTGAATGAGATGGCAGAGGAAAGATGTTTAGCACAGAGTCTGGTTCATGGTAAGCATCCAGTACGTATTAGCTATTTTTATTAGCATTAATACAAGGCAATGACAGAGACACATGAAGGCTATTAAGAGAGCAAGGTCTGGGGACACCTATCCTCCATCGTGGAGGGTGGGGGGTGGGGTGGGCGGGGGCAGTGTATCTGGAAGAACTGAATCTTAGAGAATGGCTTTAATGATTGTTCTTACAAAACAATACTTATCTTTGTTCTTTTGTTCTTTTCATCTGTCCATCCACGTAGTTATCCAACGCCTACAGTGAGCCCAGCACTTTACAAAATGATTCTCAGCAGGGCTCCCTTGAATAAAGGGTTTTCCTAGGGCACTTAAAATATGAGCACATTTACAAAAATTATACTCACACACCTTTTCAGAGTTATACCTACTGAGTGAAATGAGGTATATCAATGGTCTATTCTGATCCTAGCTAGAGGTAACAGCTTAAGAGAAACAAACCTATAAACAGAACCTTAACAAGATGTCCTTTGGTAACAAAGTGAAAAGTCCTTCCCCTGGAGGCCACGTTAAAGTGGTCTGCTGAATGAGAACCCTACTCTCATCAGCAGAGGTGGGGCCTGAGCTACTGGGGACTTCAATCGTGTCTGCCTTCACCATTCACTTAAAAGAGGGAAATTATCCAGCTAAATGCTTACTCATATGCAATATCTGCTTGTCAAAGGTAGCACAGATAATAATCCCATACTTTCCACTTTGTATGATGATTACAACTTCCTCTCCATTCATTCTCTCAACTGACCTGGTAGCCAAATGAGCCAATCTGGATAAAGCAGAGATATAGCCAAGGTGGGCTGGCCTGTGAACTTTCTTTTGAAAATGGGTTCTGCTACTGAAGATATGTATCTTCAATACCTAACATAGTGACATATCACAGTCACCAGATATGATACTTTGTAAGCTGGATAATTAGTTCAAATCAATCCCTTACATGGCACACTTTGTGAGAAGGAAGTTGGAACCTATCTGTTCCCCTGATGGACAAGACTGATTCCTTTCTACAGAGTGCCTTGAACTACTGCAGAAGAAAACCACCACCCTTCAAGAGCACCCAGAAGCTGTGTGCAGCTGGACTCCTGGAAGGCTCTCCCTGCCTTGGGATGCTGCCCCGTATAAAAAAATGTAGGACCAGGTCCTCTGGGTAATGGTATTTGTGACTTTCTTTCTCAAAGAACTAGGTTCTTCGAGATGGGATTAGACTTCCATTACTATCTGAAATGTGAGGTGAAGAAACTGAAAAAAAAGCAAGCCTTTCAATCATGAGAAAATGCAGTTGCTATGATGCCAAAATAGAACACTGTGTTTTTAAGGTTTCTAGAAACTGAGGCAAAGAGGAGTCACAGAAAATTCAGCTAGCAAGAGTATCATGAAAAAAACAAACATCTTTGTTTCTTAAATGCTTTAGAGAGACACTCTTACCTGAGGAATTACAGTTCCTCACTGTATTACTCAAAAGCAATATGTCCCCAACATCATGGCCACAAAAACATAGATGTAGATTTCTTATGCTCTCAATATATTACAATTCGCTAGAAAATTCAGAGGCCTAACACCAAGGTCAGATCCTGAAGCCATTCTCTGAGGGGCTAAGGGTCGTGGTATATATTGCTATCATATAGTAGTCTAATATCATCCAAGGATTGATCCTAAAACACTTCAAAAAGGAAATTGATACAGGCTATCTCTTAAATTACCTTCTATGTACATCATCTCTCACAACCAGAGTCTTAACAGAAGCTGTATGTCCAACAGAGTGAGATTATATTCTGTTTATCAAAGGTCTGGGTTCTCCCGAGAGGCTCTTACATTCCAAGATTGATGCTCTAAGCAATTCATTAATTCAAGCATAAAAAACTCATCTGATTTTAGGGAACAGTTGACATGTTTACCTAAAGTTGTAAAAACCAGACTTATTAAAATGCCTCAGAAGAAGGCTTCAAAAATTATTTCCATTCTCAAAATGTTATTGCTCCCAATTGTCATATATCAATGGCTCCCCAGTCAGTCATGCTCTGCCTAAGCAACATTACAAAACATCAGACGGTGCCGATGGCAATTCCACTGGGTTCCTCCAAACCCAGCCCATAAAGCCTACAGAGGAAATAGAAAGATGACAGAATGCATACACTTTATTTTTGACCTATCCTGATTTCCGGCAGGCTTTGGATATGGGACGACTTTTATGGCTGCAATAATTTTATTGTAAAGACCCAGTATAGGAATTTCTTCTGGGAAAATATTTTATATCAAGTTGTCAAGCAAAAAGCAAGGTATGTTTGTTCTCACTCCAAGACACCACTGAACTCAGAGCAGGAACACAGCTGTTTTCAAACATTAGACTGCAGCTCCTAGTGTCAGTGGGTCAGGAGCCTTCCATGGCCATTCCTACAGGGAATCGTGTACTTCCTGGGATGTCATGTTTATGGTCGGGCTCCCATTGCATTCATCTTATTTACTCTTTAAAAAGAAAAACACCAAGTCTGACCAGAACAAACAAACAAACAAAAGCAAAACAAAAAGGGGGGAAAGAAATTACTTAAATTTATAAATGATGTGTCTAGAGTGCTATTTCATTTTTGCTTATAAAAATGGCATTCATGCTTAAAACCGTCTATCGGAGTGATAAGATTGGTATGATATGGTCTCCACCTGACTTAAAGGACCTATGTTTGAGCGTTGTTGTTCTCTTCTCACCGCAGCCATAATGTGATATACCCTATGACATTCATTAGGCTCTTGTAGCACACATTTGACATTAGCACAGGGATAAAGTAGGGCAGGGAGTGTGGTGACAGAGCTGTGGGTGGGAAGAGTGAAGCTTTAAACCCTCAACAGTACAACTTTTCCCCTCCCAGAGAAGTGACTCTAACCAGGAATTACAGGGCCTCTAAATATACCTTCCCATAATTTGTCCATATTCTCTCTTCCTTCCCAATTCTCTCTTAAATATTTATTCTGTGTTAATACAAGTGTGGTGTTCTGCTGAACTGGGTGGTGGTTTAGAAAATGCATATGAAGCCCATATCTTAAACCTTCTGTTTTAGTCTGGAATATAAGCTTAACAACATCTTCCCCCAACACATACATAAAACCATAATCAATATGGGACAGCTAGTGTATTAGATAAATGTGTATCCCCAGACTCAGTGCAATTGGGATTGAGAAAGGGACTGAGAATGGTCAAGTACAGGTGTGATGAGAAATCTAGGTCGCATTTGCAGAGGTGGAAGGAAAGAGGATGTTTGGGGGAAACATGAACCCAGGTACTCAGGCAAACATGACACGAATGAATATAGGAAGAAGGAGAATCCAAGGTTCATGATACCAGGGAAGCTCCCTAAAGTTAGAAAGTTAATATCTAGTAAAGATAGAATTACATGAACAATAATTTACTTTGAAAGAGTGTTGCATAGGCAACAGTATATGGCTGTCAGTTTTAACCTATTTTCCAGGAGCTAAGATCGACCCTAACCCTACCTTACCCTACTTACGTACTCCAAAGATGTTCTGCTGTCACTTGAAAGATGCTTATCAGAAGGCATCATCATTCTAGAAACAGCCACTTCAAGCTCTTGACCTTCCCTCAACTCTAAAGGCTTTGTAAATTAGCTCAATGGAGGTTAGAAAAGACTTCTCACTGGTGTAATTAGTGGTGTTAGAGATATGTGGATTGCCTATTAACATGATGCTATCAATTGACTGAGTCTCTTCCAAATTCATGTTAAAATCCTCATCCCCAATGTGATGGTTTCAAAAGGTGGGCCTTAGGAAGGTGCTTAGGTCATGATGGTAGAACCCTCACGAATGGGATTAGTGCCCTTACAAAAGAGACCCCAGAGAGCTCGCTTGTCCCTTCTACTATGTGAGGACACAGTGAGAAGGTGGCTGTCTATAAACCAGGAAGCAGGGCCCTACCAGATGCTGAATTTGCTCTCGCCTTGATCTTGGACTTCCCAGACTTCAGAACTGTGAGAAATGTCTATTGTTTATAAGCCACCCAGCTTATGGCATGTTGTTATAGTAGACCAAACAGACTAAGACATGTAGCATTGGACACTTCATCTGTTGATGACAGAGATATGAAAGAACCTGAAAGACCCAGCCTTACTCTGTGTAATGGTGCCCACAGCTTGATTCTAAAACAATCTTCTACATAGCCACTGGCTTGGGGGGTTCTTGTTGCCTAATGCTGACAAAGGAATCCTGCTCCATGTTAACTTTTCATGTAAGGTACTGTCAGCATATCTAAAGATCAGAAAACAGGCTCAGTGACTGCTTTTTATGTAGCTGATGTTTATATAAATAGCAGAATTTGGTAAATGTGTACTTTTGTATGTGGGAACACAATTGAAGGAGACCTTTAACTCATTATCTCAACTACTGGAGGTTATCCTAAAACTCCCCTTAATTAAAAATAAACAAATTGGCTTAGAGGTTAGTTTTTAGCACACTTGAATGAAGACATTTATTAGAAACAAACATGAAAACTCTAACATTTTTAGAAGCATGAAAAATTGGAGTAGTTATGTGTGACACATGCCTAATAGCAAACTTTTAAAACAATGCATTTTTATTAAATCAGAACCTAAATACACACACAGTAAAGTACCTCTAATTTTCAAACACATGGAATACATGGCTTCCCTGAGAGAATATCTCTAAGATGCAGTAAGATCCCAGACAATTATAGAAAGATTATGTATTTGCAGCTTAGTCAAGGGCATTTTACTAAGGTCTGGCATTTAAAAACTAATGGCTGTTTGATAACTAACATTCCACTAGTTCTCTCAATAATAACAAATTAGTAAATAAAATTATGTTGGTACATACATATATAACCAATCTTTATCAATTCATATATAGACAATACACACCTATCTAATACTCAAAGGCAAGAAAAAGCCATTCCCCTTTCTCTACACCAAGCAGTATGATACACATTTCTTGCTCACTAATCTTGAATCCCTAGATATTTGAACATGGGCATTTGTTGCTGACAGCCACCGCCAGACAAAGCTCCATGACCTGGCTCCACTCCAGGAGAGGCCACAGAGAGGGCTTCATACCATTCTTGGAAAGCATTCAACTACCACATGCAGCCTCATCTCACACCGAAAAAAAAAGATCTCACGTTGCAGACAGCTTCACTATAATGTTAACATTCTTGGTTGTTACACACACATTTGACAAAAAATGCAAGCCTCTAGATATAGCCACGTTTATTGTACAATGCCAATATTGTGTTCAAACACAAAATTCTCTATCATTTTAGGCAACACCACCTGCAGTTTTATTCTCTCACTTCCCAACCTCTTAAGCCAAAGAAATGAGAAGGTGCTCTTCCTTCTATTCACTCCCCAACACCTAAATACAACACTGGGTAAGACTCAGTTCCTGCCCACAGGGAGCTCAGAGGGAGGCATTCCTGTACTTTCTAAATTGCACAAGATGTCACTCCCCCTCTAACTATGGCTAAAAGGACGAAAAACAGACAAAAACAAAATCCACCTTGCTCCAGCTCTTTAAGCTGCCCTCCTGCCTACTAATACCTTTCATTCTCATCCAGTTCTGATGTTTCTTTACCTGTCATTTACTTTAATTACTTCAAACACATGTTCTTTCTGGTTCCAGCGTTCCTTCTTTCCCAAGTGTACTTGTTTTTTTTGTGTGCGTTTTAAAATTCTATTCTGCAAAGCTTGCTTTCCCATGAAACCCAGACTGTTTTCTACAGGATTTTGATAAGCCAAAGTGTTGCTGTCACACGCAATGCCATTGCTGCTCCTATTTGCCTCTTTCCTAGGGTCTCTGCAACTTTCTGCGAACCCTCTACACACCTCTCTAACTTTCCGCTGAAAAAGTATGCTCATAGAACTAGGAATAAACATTAAAGCAATCAGAGGCCTCGAGGAACTAAGTTTAGCAGGCTAATAAGAAATACCACAAGGGGTTAAAATATTAAGCAGAATGTGAACACTGCCCTAAGAGTTACAAGTGCCATGCAGGCTTGGAAGGGGGAGATAAAGAAATCTGTTTTTTAGATGCCATGTGAAATGCAAGGCATGGTGGTCTCACAGTGTTCATGGCTTTCAGTAAAGGCTCATAACCACCATGACCCTTCAGGCAGTTCACAGCAAGCAGTGTCCTAATAAAAATATTTAGTCATAAAAGAGAACAACGACATAACCTGAAGACTGCTTGGACCCTTAATGATGAAAGGCTGACTGGCTACACTGACAAGCGGCTTTGACAACCTCACGTCAAAGCACGCGGGTAAGAGAGAAAAGGCAAGCTCAGGGCTCTTTTCAGTACTGAGAGTGGTGGGCACAGTAGCTCTACTTCCCTGTTTCTGAAGCTGCCTGCCTAAAAAGTAAGGTTGGTTTCTAATTCCTGACACGTGTTCTCTTTCATACCCACTCACAGTGAATGACAACTTCCCTTTGTTGCCTCTGTCACTCAGAATTCTGTAATTCACTTACCCAAAGCTACTTTGTCCGAAAGAGGACAGACAAATCAGCTAATCCTTAAGTCCTTTTCAGCACTAAAGAATTTCCCTGCAGGGTGCATCATTTATTTTTTTTCTCCACTTCCTAAGTCCTCCTCATTCCTAATGCAAAGAACACAACATGAGGGACCCAATCAGCCAAGTCCAGAATTTGTAGGACTGATGTTTTTTGCAATAGTATTATTGTCTCTCTCATTTCCCTCCTCCCACCCCTGTCCCCATATTCCGGACTTAAAATACAAGGTCACGCACAATGGTGTGAATTAACAAAAATCCAAGGCCACACACTGAGCAGCTCCAACTTCAGCCATGAAAAGCATCCTGGGCTACGGCCAATGCCCTCCTCTCATTCCCCTGGTGCTGCTTTCAAAGCCACAAAGAACGACGGAGCTGAGAAACAGCCCCACTCAACCACCAGGCCACATCCCAGTGGGGAGACACTACCACATGCTCAGTCCTCTGCCCAGAGATCCTTTCTCCACCACATTCACAAACTCTGTTTAATCAAACTCCATGAACTGAGTTGCCTTGCGTGTTCATTCGCTGCGCTCCTATACTGGGTGCCATGGAACAATGGTAGATCCTTGAGTAGCTTATAGGCAAACTTGAGAATCTAAGAGATAAATACTTAAAATGTAAAGTGATGTGTACTAGATCATAGGAGGGCATGAGATCCTATAGCAGGCTAGGTTTGTTTCTTGACTCCTTCTGCTTCTTCATCCAAGCCCCAGCCTTATCAGTATCAGTGCCTAAAGGCTTCTGCAGCTCTACACCACTCCAACTTTACTCACTCAGTTCAAGTCATCAGCATCCTCCTCCCAGATCACTTGGATCTGCTAATTGTTCTTACCACTTCTAATCTCAACACCCTCCAAGCCATTTTCCACACTGTAGCCAAGCGCACCTTCTAAAGCTCAAGTTTCATGTGGTGGCCTGCCCATTCTCCATGTAAAAAATATCAGACAATGGCTCCTCATTGCCATCAGGATAAAGCCCACATTGCAATGCCATTTGTAACCCCTTCTACCTTCCCCATGCTCTACTGGCACCTGGTTCAGCCTTACTGGAAAACCTGCAGTGAGGCTGAACCTCCAAATCCCCATGCTCAACCCTGCCCTTGGGGCTTTGCACACAAACCATTTCCCTTACTTGGAACACAATCCCCATTTCCCTTACCTGGAACACAATCCTCATCTCTCCCACCACCCCCTTTACCCTTTACTTGGCTGGCTACTGCCAGCCCTTTAAGTTTGGGCTCAGCTATCACTTCCTCCAGAAGCCTTTGCTGACAACCCTAGGCAGAGGTGAATGCATCCTCTTTAGGTCTCTGCTGTCAGACTTCCATGTTCAACTACACTGTATTTTAGTTGCTTGGTATAATAGCTTGTCTATTTCCTCTACTAGACTTCAGACAACTTGGTGGGGGGAGGAAAGGGAGATTAGAATGGAACCTTAAGAGATGTTTCTTAATATCTGTTGAAAAAAGGATCTCAAGTATGACTTGTTTACCTGTGTATCTTTGTCCTTAGCATAGTGCTGGCTATGGTTTGAATACTGCACCCTTCAAAATTGAGGTATTGAAACTCAGTGGCCAATGTGATAGTGGTTAAGGGTGGGGGTTGGTCTTTGGGAAGTGATTAGGTTATGAGGGCTTTTGCCCTCATGAATGGGATTAAGGCTCTTATAAAAGACGGTTCATGGGCTGGCGGGGGAGGGCGGTTCGGCTGACTTGCCCTTCTGCCTGCCATCAAGTGAGGACACAGTGTTCTTCCCCTCCAATGGATGCAGCATCCAAGCCCTCTTAGAAGCAGAGATCAGAACCTCAGCAGACAATAAGCCTGCCGGCGCAATGATCTTGGACGTTCCCAGCTTCCAGAAATAATAAATAACTTTCTGTTCTTTATTAGTTGACTAGTTTCTGGTATCCCATTACCTCTCCCTTCACTACGAGAGAGCCTCAGTTACTATCTCCAGGCCAAGTTGAAGCCATTAGTTAGTCATTCTACAAATATTTAGTAAATGCCTACACTCAGTAGGGGCTGGAATGACCACACTCTGATCTCTCAAAGAAACCACCAATCGCTTTGTTGTTCAATCAAAACTGTTGTTTCTCAGTTATATCTTGTTTGATGGCAAGCCCTTCTCCTTTCCCTGTTCCAGAGGTCAGGAAACTATGGCCCATGAGCAAAATCTGACCTTCTACCTGTTTTTGTGAATAAAGTTTTATTGGAACATAGGTATGCCCCCTTTATTTACATAGTGCCTATGGTTGCTTTTGCTGCAAAAATGGCAGAATTAAGAAATTGCACCAGAGACCATATACCCTGCAAAAACTGTAATATTTTCTGCCTGGTCCATTACAGAAAATGTCTGCCAACCCTTGCCCTACCTATTATAACTTATGGGTTTCCTTCCTACCTTTGTGACTGTGACTGGACAGGCTCTTGTTATTCTGCTGCCCAATGAAGGTATAAGAAGTCCTAGGAACACTAGCTCCCCAGGATTCTGTCAGTCTGCTTTTTAACCTGACACGTTCTTTGTCTTTCTAAGATGGTTCCCATGGCCCCTGAACATCCCTCCATCAGTGACCTATAGTATAAATAATCTGTAAGCATTTTTGTCTTCCCCAACAGACGTGGCTCCTTGAGGACAAGGCCCATGTCTTACAGACATAATTCAGCACAGTGACAGGCACACAGTAGCCATCAAAAAATGTTAACTAGGTAGATGAGTGTTTACAAGGTATTTTTAAAATAACTATATTTAAAGGCTCCTGACAAAATGACTATATTTAAAGGCTCAGCCATAGTCCCTTGGTGAGAACACAGTCATTCAACTGATGAAATTTCTATTCTTTTGTATCAGTTTTGACTTGCCTATAGATGGGTGACAAAGTAGAAACCCCGAATAGGGGATTTCCCACTAGGATAAGGGTTGAAAGTCTGACTCCCGTTCACTAGCTGTAGGATCTTAGTTAAGGTGCTCACTCTCAGTTGCCTCCTCTGCAAAACGAAGACAATGAAATAATTCCTCTATCTCACAGGGTGGCTATGAAACCAATAATATGTGTAAAATGCCCACTACCTTTGTCAAGCAATTTTGGTGCTCAATAAGTAGAAACAATTATTACTATGGACAAAGTCTTCTGCCTTAAGGCTCCAAGTACACTGACAATGAACATGGCTAGGGTCGTCTCAGCTATGTTATAGCATCACACTTGATCTTTTCATAGCAGGAGCCCTGATTCAGGTGGTAGTTTCATATTTTAAATTATGAAAACAAGCAGCTAGGTCTTATATTAATACTAATCCTTCAAGATAAAAGACCAAACTCCAAAGGAGGAGCTTCTCTCTCTCTCTCCCATAAAGATTCATTGGTTAAAAAGCACTAGTGGTGATACTAAATTGAAGCATCAACAAACTGTTCTGTAAATTGTCTTTTCCTGATAGAATTTACCATAATTTGTTTTTTCAGCTATAGCACATAGCTTGGAATGTAATGCACACATTTTGAAGAGTAGACATTTTGATAATCAAAAGGACAATATTAAGTTGATTTTTTATAGCCTTATTACTGCAAAGATATTATTTTCTAAGCTAATGTACATACAAAACTTCATCTTTCTTTAAAGGTAAGTACATGGGGGCTAGAACAGAGATACTTGAGTTTTGTATGCATCAAAACAAAAACAGGGAGTAATACCAACACATTTAGCAAAAAGTAAAAAACAGATCCCACTCGTGTATGAAAATTTTTGGAGGAGCTGGGAATCAAGGAGGAAAGTGGGGCTCCAAGCTAATCAGGGCAAACTCTGCCTTCCACCTGTGCCCCTAATCTGATGCTCCGGTTGCATGACATGACTATGACGGATGGCCAGGGTGCTGTCGTTTATCTTTTGGAGTGAAACCGGAGAACTCAGGCAGAGCCCAGTGAGCACTTCTCATGAAAATGCTGTCCTATCTAATCCCAGGAGACAAGAGAAACACTGAGAGGTCAGAAAGGACATGAGCACATGAGTGTGCACACCACGCCTGTATGTTCCTTTCCTCTTCCAACACATTTTCGGGGACTGAGGAAGTGTGCCGCACATATCCCAAACAGAATTTCTCAGTATTTTCTGCAGTTTGATCTGTCCCATGCTGACCAGACACTGTAAATAGTTTAGTTTAGAAAGAAGCCAGAAATCCTAAGTGAGCATCTGGCTCTTAAGAAGCCAGAAGGATGGTTGCACGGGGGTGGGGGTGAGGTGGGAAACTGGGGGGAGTATGGAGAGTGGGGGGGTGGGGGAGCCCTTTACCCAGCTTCTCTTACTCACGAGCACTGGCGACAAGCGACATTGGCTTATCGCCTCAGCTAGGATAAATAACTCTAAATGTGTGCTGGGTAGGAGCTTTCATGCCCTGGCCTTCAATAGTTTTATTCTTTCACGTCTCTAACGTCTGCAGCTTCCTGAGATTGGCTGGTATTTTTGTCACTGGGCTTTCGGGCTGGGGGCTGGGCAGAGCTGAATGTCAGGCAAGGGTAAAGGGCACCTGTGATCTGCTGAGTGCCTCCGCTTTCTCCTCCTTGTTCCTGACATTACCGCCCGCTCAACCAGGAGGGCAGAAGGTGGGTCAGAATAATCAGTTAAGTGTATTAGGGTTTTCTCCTCCTTCACTACAAATCCCACAAGTGCAACTAATGAGACAATGCCCAGAGGTAGAAATGAACTTCATAACACCAAAGTACGGGTGTATTTCAATTTATGCGAGTTAAAAAATGTTAAACAAGAAAAGCAAATAAGTCTCAGAGCTGTTTTTTCACATTACAAATGGAACTCAATACAGATTTTAGAATATAAATATCCTCTCAGGCATTTAAAATAATGTGTTCACAAGGCTTTGATTTGCACATGATGTTGGCAATATCTTTTGTGCAAGATAGACTTGGGGAAAAAAATCCTCAGTTTTAAATTTTTAGTTACTTTCAAAATAAAAGATGTAAATTAATAACTATTCTTCCGAATAGAAGGGGACGCATTATAAGAATAGCTTTTGAAATAATGTAGAAGAATATCCACAGAAATTCTCAACATCGTATGGATAATATGAAATCCGTGTTTTGTTTTGGTTTTGAATGGGAGTAAAGGTGAAGAGTCTAAAAAAAGAAATTTTTTAAATTCCTGATATAACAGAGAAATGCAGTAAAACAGCAGGTTTCAAACTGTCCTCTGGCTCTCGAGAGTGTTTCCAGGTTTCTACAAACAATAAAATATTGGCTGTTAAACCCAGAATAAAACACCCGAGAAGATAATAACAAGTTCGCTGCTTTTCCTTTTGGGTTGTTTTAAATGTTGGGGTGCTGAAGATTTCATTTGAACAAAGAGTTCTGTTACCAAATAAGTTTGGAAGCTATTGTTTGGGAGGTGCCGTGCAGTCTCTGTACACAGGAAGGTTAAAGGAAACGGCCCTTGGCAATGAATTCTGGAGGCCCTTCCTGGGGGGCCCTGAACTCCTGTGAGGACTTCCAATAAAAAGTCAGTAGCATTAAGAATCAGCAATTAAAATTCAATGATCAGCTGCTATGTTTAACCACAAATGTATCTAAAAAGCTGGTGTTAACATGTTTTTATTTTCCTAATAGCTTATTTGAAAAAAGGTGATGTTAAAACAGGATCTCAAAAATAGATGATTTTGTATTACGTTAGTAATAGTATATTATTGATAGTCTATAATCATTGCTTTAAAATTTCAATAATAGGTCCCAGTTGGAGGACCGTATAATGAATTCCCTTATACCGATTTTCTCTACTTTTGTATATGGCTGAAACTTTCCATAATAAAGTGAGGTTTGTTTTCTTAAAGTCCCAGCAGGCCAGAAACTATGTTAAAGGCTAAATTTCATGTCCCTCAACCACAGTGGACAAGGTTTAGAGGAGTGCTATAAAGAGAATATTGATTCCTCTTCATCCAGTCCAACCTGGCCTTCAGAATGACTCCCACTAATGTTTTTCCTATGCCATTTTCTACTGTATACCACACACCCAACCAACTTGGTACAAATAAATGTGACTCACAACATCCTCCCGGTCAGTGCCAACCCCTTATTGAAATTAGATAGTATACATCCTCCGGGTTCATTCTTTTTCTAAGTTAATTTGGCTAATAAAAGTCCTTTACATTTCCATGTTAACTTTGGAATCTGCATGTCAATTTCTTTTTCTTTTTTTTTTTTGAGACGGAGTCTTGCTCTGTCACCCCGGCTGGAGTGCAGTGGCGCAATCTCGGCTCACTGCAAGCTCCACCTCCCGGGTTCACGCCATTTTCCTGCCGCAGCCTCCTCAGTAGCTGGGATTACAGGCGCCCGCCACCACGCCCAGCTAATTTTTTTGTATTTTTTAGTAGAGACAGGGTTTCACCGTGTTAGCCAGGATGGTCTCGATCTCCTGACCTCATGATCCACCCACCTCGGCCTCCTAAAGTGCTGGGATTTCAGGCGTGAGCCACTGCGCCCGGCCAGCATGTCAATTTCTACTGAAATGTCTGCTGAGATTTTAATTGAGATCTATAGATCAATTGAGAGAATTTATATCATAGCAACATTGAGTTTTCTGATCTATGAATACAGCAGCTTGCTCCATTTATTTAGATCATTTCTTTTATTAATGTTTGTATTTTTTAGTGCACGATCTTGCACATCTGTTGTCAAATTTATCTCTAAGTATTTCATATTTTTGACAGATTATGATACTGTTTTAGAATTTCAATTTCTGATTGTTCATTACTAGAATACAGAAATATAATGGATTTTTCTGTATTTCCTTGGTATCTTGTAACCATGTAAAATTCACTTATTAGTCCTAACAAAACAGTTTTCTTTGTAGATACCGTAGGATTTTCTACACAGACAGTTATGTTATCTTTGAATAAAGAAATTTTTACATTTCCCTCTTAAGATCTGGAAGCCTTTTATTGTTTTTCCTTGCCTTACTGCACTGGCTAGAACATCTAGTGCAATGTTGAACAGACGTGGTGAACACTTTTAGTTGGCACCTAATACTAAAAGAAAAGAAGCAGTGAGGCCGGGCATGGTGGCTCATGCCTATAATCCCAGCACTTTTGGAGAGCAAGGCGTGTGGATTGCTTGAGCCCAGGAGTTCAAGACCAGCCTGGGCAGCATGGCAAAACCATGTCTCTACCAAAAATACAAAAAGTTAGCCAGGTATGGTGGTACATGCCTGTGGTCCCAGCTACTCAGGAGACTGAGGTGGGAGAATCACCTGAGCTGGGGAAGTCAAGGCTGCAGTGAGCCGTGATCGTGCCACTGCACTCCAGTCTGGGTGACACAGTGAGACGCTGTCATAAAAGAAAATAAGAGAAAAGAAGTGGTGAACACAGATGTGCTTGCATTTATCCCAGTCTGGGTGAAACCACGTTTGCAAAAATTGTAACTGAGACAGTGAAGGAGACCTGAACTAACCAACTCCATCTGCTTCTAACCTTCAAGCTGTCTTTGTCCATTCCTGGGCACAGGACAAACTAACTTTGGGAGGAACTTAGTTTATGGTTTAGCTTTGAAACGAAGATGATAACAGCCCTTTCCCAAAACAATTCCCCTTCCTGCCTGGGGACTGGACTGCCTTTGCAGGACTAACAAATTAGTCATAAGATTAGAAATTATGGTTTAGGAGGCATGCAACTGGAGGCTATGAGATTTTAAACCTCTCCAAATTGCTTCTGGCAATAATATTACTATTGTAAAACCTAAGATCAGTGGTTGAGATATTTTGCAGACCCTGCACTCCATGGATCAGCTGGCACCACCCAGGTGGATACACTGGCTCATCTGGTCTTGTGGACCTGACTGAGGAACTGACTCAGTGCAAGAGGTCAGCTTCAACTCCCTATGATTTCATCTCTGGCTTGAACAATCAGAACTCCCGATTCACTGCCCCCCGCCCCCACCACTAAATTATCCTTTAAAACTGTGATCCTCGAACATTTGGGAAGACTGATTTGAGTAATAATACAACTCCAGTCTCCCACACAGCTGACTCTGCATGAATTACTCTTTCTCTATTGCAATTCCCCTGTCTTGATAAATTGTCTAGGCAGCAGGCAAAGTAAGCCCGTTGGGTGGTTACATTAGGAAGGGGGAGATACTTTTGGTCTTTGTTATGTATATTAAGATGCTGGCTGTAGGTTTTTTCATAGCTTTCTGGTGTCAGGTTGAGAAAGTTCCCTCTATTCTTAAATTCCTGAGAGTTTTGAGGGTTTTAATTTTAAATCATGAATGCATGTTACATTTTGTCAATTCTTTTTCTATATTTATTAAGATTCTTGTATCACTCTTCTTTAGTCTGTTAATATGGTGATTTACACTGATTTTTGAATACTGAACTAGCTTTGCGTTGCCAGGATTAACCTCACTTTGTCATGATGTATTATCATTTTTAATATATTATTGGGTTTGATTTGCTAAAATTGTCTTTTTTTACATCCATGTTCACAAAGATATTGTATTGCTCTGTACTTTTCTTTCATTGTAATACATTTTCTGATTTTGGCATTAAGGTAATCTTGGCCTCATAAAGTTCCTAAGTATTCCCTCTACTTCAATTTTTTTGGAAAGAATTTATGTAGAGTTGGTATTATTTCTTTCTTAAATGAATTCACCAGTGAATCTAGGTCCTATCTTTAGTAATATCCAAAGTCACAAAGCCAACTACAACTCATTTGTCAGATATTAAATGTATTAACAGGATAAAAATACATTTGTAATGGAATGTATAAGAAGAAGAGATTAATTCTCACTGGGGGAGAAACGAAGAGAATATTCAAATCACATTTTGAAATGGCACATATTTCTGTTGTTTGACTTATGGGGCAATGATACAGTGTCAAACACTCTGCTAGGAGCTGGGAATGCAAAAGTGACCAAGATACAACCCCTATCCTCAAGGGGACCACTGCACCCAGTGCACTGTCAGGGGAAGGAGATATGGTAAAAAGAACACACAACCCTGGGGTAGGATGTAGGAGTCTTCAAGGAAGGCTCTCCTGTGGGTATGATACCTGAGCCAATCAGAGATTACAAAGGCGAAGAAGGCAAGGACTATTCCACCCATCATTGCAACTCAGCACCTAGGGCTCAGATATTTTTCTGCAGGTGAGCTTTGCCAGACTACTGTGAGGAAGTCAAAATGTGTATCCCAGGCAGCCAGGACTTCATTGACAGGGACGGTGACACACGTATAAAAATGGGACGCAAACGAAGCTGTCAGGGCGGCTTCCAGTGTGATACAGGGAGTGCAAGAAGATGAGGCTGAGAGGCAGGCAGGAGATTTATCATGCAACGTCTCATGTGCCTAGGGCAGGGCAATGAGAGCAGAAGTTGCTGATGGCCCATAAGCATGTTCTGTTTGTGAAATACTTGAATTAATTACCAAAGTTTAAAACTCTGGGACTTCACAAACAAAGTTGGGTTTTTGCCTTCTCTTAAGAACATCTAGCCATACAAAATCCATGATCCCTAGAGTTGAAAAGTACCTGTTCCCCTTGGAGCTCTTCTAGTTCTCCAAGGTCTCAACATATTCTGGCCCTGGGGATGCGTTTGAATTTCTGAAACTGCTATTAGATAACATCACTCTGGTGATACTGCCAAGCCTGTAACAGGAAGACTGGTGGCAAAGACAGGGCAGGAGATCCAACAAGTCTATATTAAGGCAGTGGAAGTAGGGACTGGAAAGGAAGAGAGGCTACTTGAGAATTTTTTTTAAAGCAGGGATTAAATGGTAATTCGATAAAGGGAAAGGGAGAGGGAGAAGTCAAAGTTCCTAGCCTAGACCACAGAATGACCGATCTACAAAGAAGGGCAGAAACTGGTAAACTGGTCAGGGCAAGAGGAGCACAAGGGCAGAGAAAATGATGCCTCATTTGTTCATAGGTTTGTTTCTGTTACCTGGCTAGAGATTTGACATTTAACCAACAAATAAGTACTTCATTTTCAGTACATCTAGCCCAAAACTGGCACTCCCCACAAACCTTCTGTTCCACGTACTGGCATTTTCTCCCTGCTTGCAGGCCAAGGACTCCTAGACCTTCCCCATGTGAATCACAAACTCCTTGCTCTGCTGCTACACCAACCAGCAACACTTCCTGGGACTCACCATTTCAGATCTTTTACAAACAATAACTCAAGGAATGCTCATACCAATTCTTGGAGGAGTAGGTATTGTTATATAGTTTTTGTTTTGTTTTGTTTGAGACAGAGTCTCACTCACTCACTCTGTCACCCAGGCTGGAGTGCAGTGGTGTGATTTCGGCTCACTGCAACCTCCGCCTCCCAGGTTCAAGTGATTCTCCTGCCTCAGCCTTCCGAGTAGTTGGGATCAGGCACGCGCGACCACATCCGGCTAATTTTTGTGTTTTTAGTAGAGATGGGGTTTCACCATGTTGGCCAGACTGGTCTGGAACTCCTGGCCTCAAGTGATCAGCCCGTCTCGGCCTCCCAAAGTGCTAGGATTACAGGCGTGAGCCACTGCCTCTGGCCAAGTATTGTTATATAGTTTTTATAGTGAATGCATGCCAACTATTTTTCTTTATTCAAAGTCTGAATTGGAGGGGCCTGAAACAAAAACGCCTGTTTTCCTCACAGGAACTGCCCTCGTCCTTAAGCATTTTCTAATGGTGGCATAACCACTGAATCTTTTAACAGCACTGTGGGAAGATCAGAAGACTTTAAAGGCTCCCAGACTTGGTCAACTGTATGTTTTCCTCTGTGTAAATTCCAAAAGTATCACCACTAATCCAAACAACAGCTCTTCAAGCAGGAGTTAATAGAGGAAAAACCTCAACTGAAAGGTCAGGAAAAGGACTTTCCTGAAGTACAAATAATGGCCATGTGTGGTTGCTACTAAGTTCAAATCTTTTACAGATGCAACAAGATAAGTCTAAGTTCACACTCCTGTTCGCAAAAACAATCCAACCAGGGAATACGAAAATGACTCCTTAGGAAAAGATTTGCCACATCATCAATTACATAGGGCAGACAGGCTGAAAATTGAACAGAAGGTGGTATGTGGACCATGATCTGAGAGGTACCCAGACAGGATATAAGAAATGTAGGAGTGGTGACCCTGTTCCTAGTTGATCTTATACTCGGTTAAAAATAAAAAGAAGCTGAAGAATGAGGCCACATCCAGAAGAGCCAAGCGACTGACATGTCTGTGTAATACTTTATTTATCATCCAAAGCCTTATATACATTGCTTTACTTGGTGACAACCTCTGAGCTGAGCACTTCCAGATTCTTACATAGAGTCAAAGATGTCAACATCATAACACTAGTTCCGATCTGACTTCACGTATGACACTTATGTGTTTTCCTGTATATTCTGTTGAACTAATTTTATTGACGAATTTTCTTCTAAAATTACCCTCAACGTATTCTGACAGCCACCAACCTAAAGATCTCAGTTCCAATCCACCCAGGCAGTCATCACTTGAATTCTGCCACCATTTAGAATTGCTCTACCTCTAAGAGCTCAGTGTCAAGATTCTCTTCTTCAACAAAAACTTCTCAACCACCCTTCCACTTTCCCCACCTCACTCTTACTAAACTTTCTCTGGGCCTCCCGAGTTACCTTCTGGAATTTACTGAAAGCTGGTGACACTGATGACATTCTCCTAGTCATTCCCTCTGAATACTCACACCCTCATACAGCCTGAACTTAAAGAGTACTTCATGAATATATGCTCCATGGAGTCCTTCACCTCCTTGATCTTCTAACACAATTACAGTAAGAGGATAAGAATCACTACCCAGGAAACCTATACCAGGCACCTCCTCTGTTCCTGGTTCACTGACATGTGCTGTATAGTCACAAACACAGGCTCACAGGCATCCCAGGAAGCAGTGAGAACAATGGAATGTCAGAACCAGAAAGGATATTAGGTGATTACATCTGATGTCTTGACTTTAGCGATGAAAAAACCAAGGTTAAAGTGAGAGAGCTGGCAGGTGGTAGAGGTAACACAAGAAACGTCTTGGGCCAGGCGTGGTGGCTCATGACTATAATCCCAGCACTTTGGAAGGCCAAGGCAGGCGGATCACTTGAGGCCAGGGGTTCCAGACCAGACTGGCCAGCATGGCAAAACCCTGTCTCTATTAAAAATACAAAACAAATTAGCCAGGTGCGGTGGCAGGTGCCTGTAATTCCAGCTACACAGGGGGCTGAGGCTGGAGAATTGCTTGAACCCGCAAGGCGAAGGTTGCAGTGAGCCACAATTGTGCCACCATACTCCAGCCTGGGCTCTGTCTCTAAACAAACAAACAAACAAACATTTTCTTCCCCCAACCCCAGAAAGCTAACACAAGAAACCTTTCTGGAGAGGAAAAAAAGTTTTATTGGGATAAATTTATTCTATTCCATGGAATGGAACTGAGGGGCCAGGATGGGACCAAAAACAATGACTCACAAGGGATGAATGTAACTGGAAAGGCAGGAGCCATGATGGAGAAAAATGAGATGTGCTCAGATTTTAGTTTGCAGTCAACAGGAAATCAATGAACATATCTGCACAGGAGTGCAACAAGGTGAAAAGATTCCTGGAGAAGTGTTGTGGCACCCACGCAAAGAACAAAATCAGGCTTTCAAATGACAGCTTTTATTTTCAAATTAAATTATGTGTGTGTTTAAATGCCACAACATCTGGAAGTAACTAACAATTTAGTTTGAGGGGCTAGGGTCATTAACTACCATTTTAGAAGAAAACATGTTACAATTTAAATGATTTCCATATGCTTTTCAGGAGCTTAAATTAAGCTAATTGAACACTTTCATAAACCAATAAGGAACAACATCCCTTAAAAATGTTGAAAGTATTTATCTCTAGGATACAAAATTATGGGTAATTTTAGTGTTTAAAATTCTAACTTTACAATGTTTTATCTGTGGTATTATTTATCACTGGGTGAAGAGGCCTTATAAGATAGTCTTGACTCAGGCCTGAGTTCAAACTCTGTTTCTGCTATTAACCAGTTGAATGATTTCAACTTGGTTATTTTAATTACCTTAACAGTTTTGACATCTGAAAATAGGGATAACTATACCTGACTTGTATATTACTGTGAACAATTAAGAATGTATATTTTGTTATTTGCTAAGGATAAGGCAATGCAGTTATGACAGGGATATTTAACAGTAGCAGAGACACCCAGGCTCAGTTTTTCTTTTACTTTTTCGATGTGATATGACAACTTATTTCTAAAAGGGACTAATTAAGTGACTTTGTTTAGCATTAGAGCATTACAAAGCCTTAAATGGTTAACAAAAATTGCCCATAATATTTCTCTAGACACATTTGAGACTCTTGAAGTTATCTCTACCTATTATCCTGTTTCTAGAGCAACTTCTATCAATGGTATCCCAACACCATCTTCAAAGAATACGTTTCACAGTATCTTCATTGCACCAGAAAATATAAGTCTGTTCAAGTCTGCCAAATAATCTGGTGTTAGGCACTATAAGAAGTATATAGCCATACCTTAGATAACTCAAACACCCATTTTCCACATATTTCATTCCTGAAGTAGACCATAATTTATAGTAACTCGAATTATTTACATGGTGCCTTCCAGCTAGAGAACATGGTTCTCAAATTTGAATTCAGCTCCTATCCTATAGCTGTGGTGCTTATTCATTCATGTAACTAATATTTGTACTTTAATGATTTATAGAATAATATCCCTTCCATTTTAAAAAATCTTTAAAGAAAATCATATGTTTCTATAGACAGTAGAACATAAGCATGTCTAGAACAAACAATATGGGGATGGCTTATAAATTTTTCATAAGCAAGATCCAAATCTTAAAACTACTGTATAACTATAATACTATAAAGTAGGAGATGGACGCCAAACACATTCCATTCCTATAATAAAAGTAAAAAGTAGTCTCTTTTCCCCTACAAGATCTATCATTTTCCATTATTCCGCATTTTTTAGACCTGCCATGGAAATCCTACAGTAAAGACAATCTGTAAAGGAAGACTGCTCATCAGCTGTCAGTCTGATCTTTCATTCTTGGACCAATGCATCCTTCTAGTTAACGGCTGGTCTAATTTAGTCAAACCCAGGTATTACATAGCAACAGATGATGCTACTGTCAACGAAATCACAAGGTATATGCTTTAGCCCCAATGAGCCTGGGCTCAATTAAACTTAATAGATCAGAGAATTTGCCTACTTAAGTAGGTGTTGAATGAACAAATTTGCTTCTAAGACCACAGGAGAAAACCCTTAAACATTCTGAATAGGTACAGGGCCTGCTATGGCTTGAAAATGGTTTGTTCCCACCAAAATTCGTGTTGAGGCATGGTTTCTAATGTAATGGTGTTGAGTGGTGGTGGGAACTTTAAGAGGTGTTTGGGTCCTGAGGGACCCATGCTGTCTCGTGAGAATGAGTTCTTACACACACACACCTACCATACACACACACACACCACCCCCCGAATGGTGCTGGAGGATTCAGGCAGTGGAGGGAGTGGTAAGAAGGGTATTGCCAGACTTACAGAAAGCTCCAAACGGCCTCAATGTTAAGGTGACATTTGAGTAGACCTATAGGAAGTGAGCAACAAGCCTGGGGAAAGTGTGGCTCTGAGAAGTTGTTGTTGAAATGCTAGAGGAACAGCAAGGTGACCAATGTATCTGGGGCAGCAAAAACAAGAAGGAAGGTGGAGGTGGTGGTAGGGGTAGGGTATAGATCATACAGGGCCCACTTTCAGGACTTAAGAGGCTTTTATACTGAGTGCAAGAGAAAAGGGGTTTTGAGCAGAGGAATAACATGAATTGACTTATATTTTAAAAGAATCACTCAGCTGCTGTGGTGAGAACAGACTGTAGAGGGTAAGGATGGATGCAGAGACCAGTTACAAAAACAAGAAACACGGAGCAAATAAGCCATCAAAAACAGGTGACACACACGCTCATAGCTTAGCTGTGGGTTTGGTGACAGATTACTGTGGGGTATGAAGAAGAAGAATCAAGAAACACGTCAATGTTTTTGGCCGGAAAAATGGAAGGATTGGGTTGCCATTTACATATATGGGAAAGAATGTGGAGTCCAGAGTTTGATTTTATCATGTTTAGTTTTAAATACCTATTAAACACTGAAGAAAAGATGAAGAGGCAGCTGAATATGAGTCTGGAATTATGGCCTGGGCTGGCAGTATGGACTTAGAGGTCAGTGTTTGGATGGTTTTTTACAGCCCTGGCACTGGGTGAGAAGAGGTGGAAGGACAGGGCTTTAGGACATCCCAACATGGCGGATGGGGAGGGGCTGAAGAATCGGCAGAGACGAAGAAGGGATAGCCAGTGATGTGAGAAAACAGCCAAGAGACAGCTGTGTTCTGGCCACACTGTTACACCTGAACTAAATGCCTATTTAAAATGTTCAGAATCTGAAAAAATACTGCTGTTTCTTTAAAGAAGTATAAGGTTAAATATCCTGTAAGTAAATACTTAATGATAACTAATAGCAACCAGAAACTGCAATCAGATGTTTTTCCAAACACCTAGTACTGTGAAATATCAGTGATTTCAATTAACACGCAAATGGAGGAGGTTAGCTTAAAAAGAAAAGATGAAAAGTTTTCAGGTCAGCAAAAGTGATCCTCCTGAGGATTACTGGCCCAAACTTTTCTAATGCCCTCTGCATGGGTTTAGGATACAATCACTCCGGCAAGTGTTTTTAGTGATCTAGAGAACTATTTTGCAATTACAGTCATGTGCTGCATAACAACATTTTAGTCAAAGACAGGCCACATATACAACGGTGGTCCTGTAAGATTGTAATACCACATTTTTACTATACCTTTTCTATGTTTAGATATGCTTAGATACGCAAATACTTACCACTGTGCTACTATTGGCTACAGTACTCAGTACTCAGTACAGTAACATGCTGTACAGGTCTGTAGCATAGGAGCAACAGGCTACACCATATGGCCTAGATGTGTAGTAAGTAGACTGTGCCGTCTAAATTTGTGTAAGGACACTATGAAGTTTGAACAACTGATCCCCTAACAACACATTTCTCAAAATGTATCCCAGTTGTTAAGGGAAGCATCACTACCATATATGCCGCATTTCTGCTCCACTACAATCTTCTCTCTAGCTAATGTGTAGTCAAAGGATGGAAGCAAATTGAAATCTTCATATGATTCTCAGTCCCCAGTCAAGAAGATGTTAAATAGTGGATTCTAAAAATGGCCATTGTAGAGTTAAATTGCCTAATCCTTTTTCCTACAAAATTAGGGCAGCAGTAAGTTTTGTTTTTTTGTTTTGGTTTTTTACTTTTACTGTTACTGGATGTTAACAGTTGCTTTCATCATTTAAAAATATCTTCATTAAGAATTCAATTTGAAGACTCTCTTAAGACAGCTAACACATCAATGTCCTTGAAATATGACTTTTAGGTCATACAATTTTAGATAACAGAGGGAGAGGGAGAACTTATATCTCATACATAAACAACACAGAACATCAATGTGTTTTCAGAAACTAATCAATGTGATATCACAAATGTTAATAAGAGGGCCCTAATCAAATTCTTATATGCAACATTGCCCATCTTATCATTCCTTCTAGCATAATGAGCTGAAAGCTATAATACCTTGACATTTCTTCCTTTAACAGAGAGAATTTTTCACACTGACTTTTCAATTCAGCAAAGCTATACTGATCCAACAAGAATTAAGGATCTAGTCCATCTAAAGCAGTAAAAATATATTAACATAGTCTAATTTGGAAAAAGGTTTACTCTTCCTATATTTGGAGGATACAAGTTAATGTACTATTTTGCAGATATAAATATGTGGTGCAATGAGGAAAGAATCCCAGTGTCCATTTTCACCTCAGTTATGTGAACCTAGCTACATGACTACCTTCACATATTGTGATTTCTCTAAAATGAAAACTACCATTCCATTGACTTTCTCTTCAATCAGTTGAGCTGTATTACTACAGAGGATTGCAAAACAGACCATTATCTCAATTCTTATTATCATGCTCCTACGTGCTCCCCATACCTTAAAGGAATTTTCTGATTCTAAAGAGATGAGCCCGACAAACACTCCCCCAGCTACAGGAATTTCTTGGATTGTAGAACTGATATACTGCAGTCAAAAATTTTAAAGACTTCATTCTGAAAAGCAAATCCTCTTCTCCAAAACTCTAATTCCAGAAACGTTTCCTAAGGGGGAAAAAAAATCTCAAGAGCTTGACCTTAAATCACTGGTGAGAAATGCAGAGTAAGCCTTTTTTGTTTTGTTTTTTACTGAGGATTGAGGTACTAAAACATTTCCCTATTTCAGTGCTTCTCACTCCCTGCGAGTCTCTCCCTTTTACCATAAGAAGAGAGTTTCCCAGTTTTAGAAATTTCTTAATGTCACACTTCCAACTCTTTAATTTAGGAGTTCAGTTTGTATTACATTCTCACACATCACCAGTAAATATGCTTCCATCTAAAATCTGTCTTAGGACACAAATCCTTACAAAGTGGTGTCCTTTTGTTTCAGTTTTGTAAATTAGATATTCTTACCAAGTTACAATGAAAGAGACCTGCTATTTAGCCAGATCACAACTCAGAATATTCATATGACCACAGGACATGGGTGATGTTTCACCCATTAGTCATGGCTGTCTCCCATGTTCACTTTGTTCCTACAGGCAAATATGTTAATGAGCTTTCTCATTAATCCTCTTTCCCCCATATCATCTCTAAAATGGAATTTCCTCCTAGGAAGAAAATGTCAACAAATTTTCTTGACAGCTATGAAAGTTACAAGTCATGTCTCTAAGATAGTCGTGATTACCAATTTGCCAATGTGTCTGAAAGAAATAGCAAAAATATGTATTGAACTTTGAGACAAATATCATGGTTTTGCTGATATCCAGTGGGTTTTTGCAAGCTGTCATATTTATTATAAGGCTATTTCACATAGTCAGTGTTGCCAATGAACATCCAAATCATTGTCTACCTTAGTAGACTTCAACTCTATTAATCCCCAGTAATCTCTAGTTTTTACTATATATCTGACAACTTACTGACACTAAGTTGTACAGGACCTATATAATTTTGAATCTAAACAACCTCCTGGTTTTATAATGTAGACTCAAACTATGAAATACAATTGCCTAAATAGTTTATCACCACCTCAAGCACAAAGATACTATGTTATTTGTTAACTAGCTTTCACCTTAAAGCAAACTCTAAAATAAAAGCAAAAATAAAATGTATCACTTTTAACATTGAATTTTCTAAACTCCAGGGGAAAAAAGAACAAGCATGAAAGTCACATCCATCCACAGTGAAGTAGGAAAACAACATATCCAGAATCCTTTTCAGATTTGCATTTCTGCTTAATCCATTTAATGTAGTATGGTTGTATTCTATCTTCCAATGCTGGGATACTGGGTCTCAGTGGATTTCAGTGGGTGAATGAGGAGTCCAGTTACATAATTTTGGAATCAATCTTCCAGAATTGGATGCCTGAACACTAGCACATAATAGCAACAGGCCATGTGAGTCAACATGTCCACACCCTTGCCCAAGTCTATCAGCTTTCAGGCATCTCCAAACACTCCCTTTGCCTTCCTATTCTGAATTCGCACGCCCAAAAAAGCTGAGATCAGAGACTCTGTCAGTTTACTTGGTAGTTTTTTCACATTAACTTTCAGATTCAGATTAATGCATAATTATACACACATCAATGTACCAACACTTCAAAAAACCTTTAATGGAAAGTACTTTGAAAATTTATTAAAGCAAGAAAGGACCCATTTGAACACAAGAATACAGAATTGCAAATTAAGTATAATTAATATAATATTTATATGAGGCAGAACTTTCATACGGATCTTTAGAAAAACCCAGACTCTTCACCATGTGCAGAGTGCTTTAAGGAGGCTTGGAGCCAGATGGTCTGGGCTTAAAGCCAGGCTCTACCAGTTACTATGTGACCTGGGGCAGGTTCCTTAAATTCTGTCTTCTCAACTATAAAATGGAGATGATTTAAAGTATCTACCCAGGAGCAGAACCAGGATTGGAGAAGTCTGAAGCGTATGGAGCAGGCAGTTATTTTCAAAGACTTATAATCTTTTATAAGTCTTGTTACAGGGCTAAATGAAATACCTGTAAAGCACTTAGCAAAGCAGCCAGCAGGCAGGCAGTGCTCTATAAACCTGACTATCACTAATATTAGTGAAGAGAGGAAATGAGTGTTATAGGCCCATCCACTTTATCTGAGGCTATCAGAGGAGAGGAAACAAGCTTCTTTGAAACAAACTGTTTTGGAACCAAATGGAATATTTATTTACATGGCAAGTTATATCGGCAAATGTATGTAACACCTACCATGAACTGCAAAAGCTGAAAATACCCATATTAAGGGCGGAAAGTTGCCAAAAGGTTTGATGTTTTCCTATAATTATCTTAGATAACTAAATGTGCATCTCAAATGTCTACCCCAAATGCCTCTCAATGTCTCAGACTAGAATGCATGAATTTAAGAAAAGGTGACCAAGGTATTCATACTACCTGCTCCAAACACAAATATGAATGCAATGAAGTTTCCTTAAAACTTGACAGATTCTCTGAAACCCTGGGTATCTTAAGCCCTCATTCCAAGGAACAATCTAATGATTGAGAAAAGGAATAAAATGGCTATTTCTTTGTGATTTATAGTTTTGGGGTGATACTAACTGGCACATATGTGACTTCTCTCTCCTCTCTCTCACTGTCCCTTTGTCTCCCTCCACCCCAACTCCAGCCAGATGGCAACAGCATGTCAGAAACATTTAGTATTAAATCAACATTTCCTTGAGAATTAGATTCAAATCCATCCTGAGTCACCTAAGATATATTTGGCTGCCCCAAATCCCTAGATTACAAATAACATTTAATCCTAACAACTATGAAATTTTGTCAGTCTAACAGATGGTCTAGGATGACTCTGTCAGAAGCAACTCTGTTCATCTGATCATTCTCTGCTCTTAAATGGAAAAGAACTCATAGGATGGGGAGACAATGGAGGAAAAAGAACAGGGAGATACAGTGTATATGCAAAAGAGTAAGTCCTACCACTCTCTACCGCAAACAGTGGAAGGGAATGTTCTGAGCCACTTGTCATTAACACAGAGTTTAAACTTAAAGCTCTATTCTGACTAGCAAATAAAAGAATCACAGGTGCTCAATATTTGTTGACTAACTAAATTTGGTGGTGCTTATTTTCATGAACTGATAGTTTGTGAAAATGAAATGGCCTAATCATTACTTTGATGATAAAAGACATTAAAATATATCAAGAAACCTATTTATTATATAATACACCATCATGATACTGAAAATTACCTTTAAATGCTCCATGGTCACTTTCAATATTTAGCATATATGAGATGGATTCTTCACATTACTATAAGTCTTAAATCTTATATAAAAATATATAAATTTTAATAAAATCAAGGGTCATGATCCTAGCAAGCCAAGGAAAGCTCTGAGAGCAACACTTCAATAAGAAAATGCAATCAGCCTTACCACATTCTTCCTTTGTGGAGTGTGACTAGAAGTGGCAACTCTGCATCAGATCACAGTAGAGGAGCACACTGCAGCATCTTCCTATGCTTCAGCATGCCAGGGAAGCCCCCCTAGACGGGCTTTTTACTAAACCCAAATCCCTCAAAAGAGGTCTCTATCTCTACCCATAGTTTCCAATTTCCCTTTAAAAATACAGAAAAACAGAGAATATCTGTTGAGTGCAGATATTATATATAGAAAACAACTAGAGTTAAAACAGGACTCTTCTTCCTGCCCATTTCCTCAAGGAAACTCAGTGCTCCACCCAGCCTTGTGCATAATACTATACTTCTTCACAGGCCCCAGATATGCAGATGACAAATAGAACACAAGCTACTAAAAGCAGTGGCAGGTTCCTTGTTAAATTATGAACTCTTGGGTTCTAGCAATTCAGTCCAAAGGTAGATGAAAGAGACAAAAATATCTTATGAAAGGAGATAAAACCAAGGCTTGATCCAATTAGGATTCTTGAGTTCGCTGCCAGAAATTCAGGTGGTAACCTCAGTCTTCTGGCAAACTTCCAAGAGCATGCGATTACCAGTGATGCTCCTAAAATGTTCCTTGTAAGTTCTGCTTTTCCTAGGCTGTGCCCAGCAGATTTTCTGGAATTGTTTGAGTGAGCTGATTCTGTTCCTAAAGCTGCCCGAGGTGAAAGGTGCCATATAAAACTTTAAACTGCTCCACAATAAAAATGGGCTTTTTAAAAAATCAATTGAGAGAACACCACAAAACTCTCCTCATCCTTTTTCACTTCATATTCTGGGTTCTTCAAAAGTCTGACTTCAATGCACTTGAGAAATGAATCAAAGAGGAATTTTTCTCTAAATAAAAACACTAGCCTCTTTGTTAACTTAGATTCCAATTATCAAACACACATACATTCCATATTACTTCCCCAAAGGAATCTCCAAATAATTTTTATATCTGATTAGACTATGTTAGTGCATTAGTTTCTTCATTCCACTAAACAAGAGAGAGGTAAATAATCCTCAGAGGAAAACATCAATTTAAGTGGAATTTAGCACTTGGGAATGAAAAAGATCCAACTCTATCATGCATACAGGAACTGAGTGGGGAAACACAAATAAAATGGTGAATGTGGATTTAACAATCCTGCCATTTGAGGGCACAGTGCTTCGCAACTCTCTCCTGGCCCATGTCCCTTTATGATAAAACTACACAAGGAGATTCAGTACTTGGAAAGTATTCCTTCACTTAAGGTGTAAAGAAGATTTCTGGACTGGGCACCATTTCTCCTGCAGAGAAACCATTTCGGTTAAGAGATTTTCCCACTTTACATTCCTCCAGGAAACAAATCATTTTGAGGGGGTATTCTTTCATTTCAATGTTATGCCCAGTTCTGCAGCTTCAACTCTGCAGAACACAAAGAACTGGAGTCTGAACATATATCTATTCTGCCTCCTTGACCTGATTTTGGTAGCCGTTAAAATTCGGTCAGAGTCTGCTAAAGTTTTAGAGAGTTCAGAAGATTGAGGCAGCTTTGGTGATGTTCCCGCTACCATTTCCTTGGTCTTCTAACCTAGGTAGGTCGGATTTCCTCATGTTCAGGTTGGGCCCCTTGGGTGCCTTTGAAGAGTAAATTCTATGACAGGTAAAAATGCTGGCTGCAAGATCCTCTTTTAAAGGCTCTCTGATCTGCAGAATGAGTCACACTCCCATGACAATATGAGATGGCAGCTGAGAGAGGTGAGGTATGCTTGAGCCTAGGTTTGAAATAATATTGCTGCATTTGCAGCATAAACCAATATGCCTGAGCCTAGGTTTGAAATAATATTGCTGCATTTGCTGCATAAACCAAGAAGGACACCAATAATCTGGAATGCAAATTTCAATAAATTCTAGAAATGCTGGTGGCAGAAAAGCTTTCCGGGACCAGAGAAAGGCAGTATCGAGGATAAGAGCATGGGCTCTTGGAACCACACTCCCATGACTAAATCTCAGTTGTATTACTTACTAGCTATTTGACTTTGGACATGTTACTTAAATTTTTTCTGTGTCTCCACTTCCTCATCTGAAAAATGGGGATAATTATGTCTAGGGTTGTTGAGGTAGTTGAAGATTCATTAGATTATGAATTATAAAATACTTACAATGAGTCCAGGCATATAATTGAGTGCCATTATAATGTTTATCTTCACTGTTAGCGTTGCCAACGATTAATATTACAATTTCCAAGTGAGTCACTCTGAGGTACAATAAATGATTAAGCTGAACACCTAGGTTAGGGCAGAGCAGATAAAAAGCCAGAAGAATACACAGAGAGGAGAACTAAGGCCCCTCCCTCCCTCCTCAAACTGATCGGATGTTTGTTCAGGGGGACGGGGGACAGGCGGGGTGGCTACACTTGGTGGGTGGCTTCGCTGGGAGGCTGGACCAGGAGAGCATTCCCACTCTTTTCTTCCTCGACTGAATTTATCATGAAGTCTTAAAAACATAAAGCTGCAATGAATATACTGAAAGAAATTAGACTCTGAATGTCAGTTGTTTTCACTCTGTCAAGTTGAAAAAATTGAGAAGGAAAGTGGCAACGGGGCTCCTGATCCACTGGAAGTCCTTGGGGAATTCATTAAATACTTGCTAATTGACTGAACTTGCCTGTTCAAAGGAAACTTGGAAATGTATACGCCTTCAGGGAATAAATCATGGCGTATACAATCCACTAAGTATCTTGCTTCTCAGGAGTAACCACAGAATATGGTTTATATGTAAGTTAAATATTTAATTGGTATAAATATACTACTGAGATCACTGAGGCAAAAATGTGAACATTTTACTTCTACTTTTTAATGACTACATTTTGGGCCATTATGCTTAAAGCTAATACCACAAAAATTTCTGAATTTTGTAGCACAAAAATATTTTAATATGACTTGGTTATTTTCATTGATATGCGGAAATAAATGTGTTCCATGAAAAGCAAATACCAACTGCTTCCACTACCCATTTAATGTTCAAAAATATTTTTATGGAAAAACCTAAAAACAAAATGGCAAGCCAGGAGAATTGGTGCCTCTGGGATTAGAAGGTCAGAAAATTACCTAATCTTATTTCTGCCAAGAAGGGTTACTTGCATTAAAATGACAGCAGTCACCAAGGCACTGGGAGGAAACACGGGCCAGGGGAAAACGGGCCGGCTGTATTTTAGAGAAATCACAAGCACACACATGGGCTACAAGAGAAATTATATTTGAAAAATAAAATGGAACTTCCTCATTGATTAGTCTCAGCTCCGCGATAATTTCTGACTGATTCAGAAACTTGCAAGGCTCTCATAGAACCCAGACAAGAGCTTTGATGTTGGCTGGATGCGACACACTGCCGGTGATTTAATTTTGTCTAAGGCAAGAACACTGAAAAACAATCAGAGTCATCTCATGCCTGAAGTATCAGAGTTGTATTATTTTCCAGTGACAGCAGAAAAATAATTTCCATGAATGAGTATGGTTTGGGGAGCTGGGGAGGGAAAAAACTGAAGTAGGGAAACAGAGGTGGAGGAAGCATGCTTTGTGGATTTTCTCTCCTTTACCAAAGAGAGCTCAAAAATTTCTGGCTGCAAGACTGATATCAGACAGACATCAAGAATGCAGCTATATCTGGCTTCCCTCATGGCATAAGTAGCACTCACAGCAAAATGCATGCAACCAGTCACTTAAACTCAGATGCAAAAATTACCAGGCTTTGGGGGTAGAGGCACCACTGTTGAAATAGACATTAAATCAAACTGATGAGCTTCTGGCACTTTTCAGAAAGGCAGTAATATTTGGAAACATTTTTTCCTGTTTTTTTTAATCAAAGCAATTATTTCACTAAAAACTGAGAAATGAAGGGAAAATGCCACCTAAAAAAATCACTATCCACAACTAATGGTAGAATTTTGTATATTTCATTCCAGTCTTTTCTCCTATTTCCTATTTGGCAATTATACATGACAGATGACCCATAAGAAAGCAAGTCCTGCATTTCACTCTCTCTCCTAAAAAGACTCTTCAATAAAGCTTTTAAAACAAACTAACAAAAAAATCCTGGTGCTTTACGACAGACCCAATTTTGCTTACAGATTTTCCCCAAATTTAAGATTTTGTTATTGGTTGTATACAATTCAAAAATGAAGGCTGTTAATGCTGAGTTCATAGTATAAACAAAGAGACCAGAGATTAGAAAAAAATGTCAGCACATTTGATTAGTTTCATCCTCCCACATGCCAATGGGTATGGGATGTGGAAAGACTGCAATTCCATTCTTACCATGGTTTGCCTCGACTATCAAGGTGATCCAATATGGCAAGAGAAAAAGACTAATGGTCTCAAATTTTTAACAAAATGGCATTTCCAATTTTTGTAAAATGGTTGTTTAGAACTTAAAACATATTTTCCAAAGAAGCAGTTACAAGAAGAGGTACATATTTCCAACTTACTCTGCAACATCTATTTAATTCCTGGGTTTAAACAGAGGTAACAAAGGTTTTAAAAGATGAGGTAACTATGACAATTCATCGAAATGTGAAGAGAATATTCATGCATATGTTTTTTTTCAATCTTATCCTTTAACGTCTAGTTTATTTCTGCTTTTTAGGATATATAACATTAATACAGTACTAAAGGTATTTAATTTGTAAATATACATAAATTGGACATACAAGCTGTTAAAGCTCTAACTTTATTTAAACAGAGAAGTTTGGACACCATTAGTTGAAACAATAACATCAGCATTACTTTCATTTGCTGCCATACTGATGACAAGATCTCTTTAGAAAAACATGTTCCATGTTTCAGTGGGGACGGCCCCAGGAATAAATCTGCCATGGAAACATCCAGTATACTGTGGGTCTCTTTCGGAGATAAATTGGGTAATAGGAGTTTGGAATCCCAAAAGGGCAGCTCTGAGAGGAAGCAGGGTACTCCCTTTCTCCAGGGGGTCCTCGCATGCAGCAGAGTTCTCAAACACCTTTAGTTTAGGCCCCTCTTAACCTGGTAAGTGGAGCAGACCTTGTCCTCATACATTTTTAAAGGGTTTCAGTCACACACTTGCTGAAATCCATTTGTGGATTTCTGGGACCATGATGCCAGAGAAGAGGATGTGGGCTCAGCCATAACTAAGAAGGAACTCCGTAGTAATGTCCAGATGGGGAAGAGGACTCGAGTTCTGAGACTTCAAAGTGCTGCCCATTTGTGGCAAACACTTCATTGAGAAATGGCTTCTGTGGATGCAGTCTAAGCCTGGGGTGCTTATTTTAGGCAACTATGGTATATACACTCACTTTTATATACACATTTCTCATTTGTCAGATTTCCCACGGTGAACTGGCAACTCCTCTCTGGGTGAAATCCAAACGTGGTGGAAGACAGATTCCTGGTTCTGGGCCAGGTCCTGTCAGTTTCTGATCATTACCTGGTTTTCTATTTCCAACTCCATTTAGGTGACTGAGTCTCCACACAGAGCTCAGGTTGAGCTTTAGACACAAATCTCATCTGGTCATTCATTATATGATTTGTATCCTCCAGTGGCTTCTGCCTTTTTGAAAAGTCCAAATTACCTACTCTTTTCTGGTCTCCTATTCTGCAAATTAAATCTTCATAAGTGATTATACTTTCCACATATGGAATGGAGGGTGGTAGAAAGCTGTCATGTCGGTCTCTCCCATTCCGCCACTCCTCTGCCTTCTGTGTGACTGCATAGGGAAGGACAGTCAGGATACCCTTCTCCCCAGCAGAGTAGTTGGCCCGGTGTTGAAAACTTGACCCAATTAAAAGCTAGTGAGAGAGCAAGGCCTAAATATACCCAGGCCTCAGGATCTAGCCATGGGTAAGTCACTCCTGGACTTATATGAGCTAATATTATTATTATTTAAACTAATTTGAAGTCCGTTTCTAAACTTTCCACTGAAATAAACCTAGAACTCAGACCATATTGAACTAACCTGCTTATGATAGGTGTGGAATCTGTTTATAAGGCTTTGAAAATAACTATGTTTACATCTTTCAACTGAACAGGACATAAGTCGATGGCATGATTCATGATATCCACTCTAGCATATGTAGCTTGACTCCACTGAATCCACTCCCCTTCCTCTGATACGTCTTCTTTAATACATCAGTGGCACTATTTACAGCAAGGATGGTTTCAATGGAGGTTGCTTTAATATTACATTTCCCTTCCTTCAAGAGTCTAATGCCAACTGTAACAGGATTTCTCATCTTTTTTCCTATACTCAGAGAGCAAACTGGGCCATTTAAATCACCCAGTTAATGTACCAGTTGCTGTTGAGGAGCAGATGGAGGTCTGCATTAGACTCCACCAGAATCTGTGCTCCAGAAGGCACAGCCTCAGGACCAGAGGAGCTGAGAACACCTTGAGGACCAGACCCTTATTCACAAAATAAGGAGCTGGGTACTAGGCGAGGAAGTTATTTGACTCAGAGCATCACGGAGTCAGGTGAAGAAGACACCTTTGCCCCATTCCACAACACTGCTCCTCCAGGACATCATGCAGCTCCCACACAAGGAACAACAGCCAGATCCTCTGGATGTCCTATAAATTAGTTGAATCAGAAACTGAGTAATATCAGTGTGTCATTATAGGTCATTTAGAAATAGCTTTAGTTTCATAGTAATAATAAGCTCTGAGCTATATGACATATTGCTCTAAACTGTACAGAAACTCAACTAACTTGCAGTCTTTTCTTAGGAGTATAACGTAGGCTTCTGGTTAAATGTAGCAGATTGACTACACACTTCTCACCTTTCCTTTCCAACAATGACTAAAATGATAGCAAATAAAATAAAAATTAAAGAAATAGCTAAGGGCAAGAGACTAGGAGGGAAGATAGCAGAGGAGTGATTTCAACAAATTTTGGAAAGACAGAATAGACAGAATGATGCCCAATTTAACTTCCTCAACTCTGCGATAGCCTAAAGAACCTACGGAGGAGATACCAAGAAAAATAATTTACTCTCATAGAAACCCAGAGAGGCTCAGGTTTGGAGAGACTGTATACCACAAAAAACAGGAGTGAGACATGAGGCTGGAAACTTTAGAAACTAGTTGTAAGTTTATTTAGAGAGAGATTGGACCTCCAGGTCTCTGCCTTAACCCTTCACACATACAGGACTACTGTCTCTCACCTTGACCACCTTCCCTAAAGAACAGAGAACTCTGTGATATGAAGACCACAGACCTCAGTTACTACAGGCTTTGACTGAAATCAAAAAAGGTATTACATGAAAGCATGTAATCTGAGCCAGGGGTCTCCACTGTTCCTTTCCTTCTCCAAAGTTTCATTCTGCCAAATGTTGGAAGCCAGGCCAACATCTCCAAAGTAGACTAGACAAGTCTTCTCTGGAAAAACTGCAAAGACATTCAGATTGACAAACACTTGGCTCCAAAGCCCACCTGTTGGCTAATCCAGCTATTCCCATAGAGCTTCAAATCAGATTTTTTACATTCTTTTAGGAAAAAAACAGGTGGCCATATATTCAAGGAACTAATCCAGCAGAATAGAGAACGACCAAATCAAACAACAGTATAAAATGAACACCCTCCTTCTCATAAACCACACTGTTTTTCATTGCTTCTAACTCCTTACTGGTGCTAACCTAATCCCACATCATAGGCCATCTTTGGCAGTAGACCAATACTGCAAGGTATACCCAGATTCATTAGAAATATTCTGGACTTAAGCAAGATATTAAATTCTTTCAGAATACCATTTGAGTTCATGTGTGTCAGGAGAGTAATAGCTAGGCTGAAAGACTAAACTTGGAGAAAAAGCCTTCAGTGATATGTTACAAGGCATTCATTCTAGTATATTCACATCATTGGTAAGTATGTCAATGGTATAATTCTCAAACTTCTGGATGACACCACTTTAGGAGGAGGAACAGCCAATATAGAAGCTGAGAGAACCAGAACCCCATCCAAAGAGAATCTGAAGAGATTCAGATAATAAAGGACAAAATTAACTGGAAAAAAAATTAAGTCTTACATTCACATTTAAAAACAACTACGCAAAACAGAGATATGAATTAGTAAGAGTTAATTATTAGTTTTTTTTTTAATCCCTCAAGAATCTGGGTTTCCTATACATTCAGTGACTCATCAATGAAGCAGCTGCCCAAAAAACTAATGCCTTCTTAGACAACAGCAGGAGAGGCAGAGTGCCCAGGGCATTGCACTTCAAGAGGGTTATGAACAAGGAACATGACCACACGGGGGTAACCAGATGGACACAGTTCAAGACCATGCACCACAGAGAAATGTGCTTCCCATCTCGGGTACTTCAGAGAGCCATTCCCTTCCATCTCACCAAAAGGAACAAAAAACTGTGTACTGTGGAAATCGAGAAAGCAAAGCCGTGACTTTACCAAAAGTAACAGGAGTCAGTCAGGCAAGACCCGGACAAGCTGGGTGATAGGAGCCAGTGGTGGTGAGAGTTTCCTCTCCTCAGTGAGAGCGAGATCATCAGGCAAATGCAATTCACAATGAGATATCATGGAGGGAAAGTCTGTTTCTCTTGAACTACTTACTTTAAAAAGTTTAAACCAAAATATCCAATGTAGTGGTCTAATGAATTCTGAAATGAACAACTATGCTTTCTGCCTATTATCTTACAATCAACATTTTTAGCTTTTTAGCCCAGGTCTAAAAATGGCTGTTACCAAGCATGTGTTTTTGTTTTTTTTGTTTTGTTTTGGTTTTTAATGGAATGGTATCATGTACTGGCATGATCTAGAAGTAGCTACATCAGCCCTCTTCTGGTAATGAATCATCAGCACATATAAATGGAAGGTAAAGACAAGATTATTTTATTAAAAGAAACAATTACTAACTCACAGGGCAACAAAGCTTCGGCAGCTATAGGATACTACTTGTGAGTATCCTATACTCCTATACTCCAGGTCTCTGCCTTAACCCTTCACACGTACAGGACTACTGTCTCTCACCTTGACCACATTCCCTAAAAGAACAGAGAACTCTGTAGTATGAATACCACAGACCTCAGTTACTACAGGCTTTGACTGAAAGAATAAAAGGTATTAAATGAAAGCACATAATCTGAGCCATGGGCCTCCACTGTTCCTTTCCTTCTCCAAAGTTTCATTCTGCCAAATGTTGGAAGCCAGGCCAAACCTTGGTTTCTGGAAAACAATTCAAAGGCGCTGGCCATGCCTAGTGTGTTTATCCTTCTTTCTGTTTAAAACCGGTCACTGGCTCAATTGCCTCCTGAACGAAGTTAGCAACTCCCAGCCAGGAGCTCAGGCCTTGAGGACGGGCTCATGGCTCTGGGACACACCTCTCAGGACTGCCCTCCGTTTGCCCAATGCTCTAGCCAAGCAACAACATGGCAGTTCTTAGCACACCTAGCATTTCCTTCTCTCTTTCCTTGCTTCAGCTCTGCTAACACCCTTCCTCTGCTTCTGCCACCCATCCAACACCCGGCTTGAGCCAGATTCAAATTTTGTTCATGGAGCCATGCAATGGATTGGAACATCAATATAGTTCAATACCCACCAACAGTAAACAGATGACAGGATCCATTCTACACTGCAGGCAAAGTCAACACACACAAATCTGGTTAAGATGTGTCTTTGGATAGCATACATGGAAATATCAAAATTATCTAAATCTACATAATTGATTCTAATAGATCTGGCTTCTCTAATAAATTTGTAAATGGGAACATGCCTCTCTCACCCCCAAATAGCATATGTAATGTGGATGTAATTGTTGGCCTCAGCTAATGATATATTTTTAACAACACAAGGAATGATCATCCATATTTTTATGAAATGTAGATCTGTAAAATAAATACAGTTAAATAATCTACAAGTAGGTTTACAACTTAAAGCCTACAGGGACAAATATATTTTGATCTTCCAATAGCTAACACTTTGAGCAAATGGAGGAAATACTCCAAATTATGTAATACTCTATATAATCTCTAGAGTTAGAATGAGAATGTGTTTAACATGTGCTCTGAAGTTAAGCCTATACATTATGAAACTTTAGACGTTCCAGCTTTAAAAATAAAAAATAACAGCTTTAAATAACATTTCTAAATACAACATTTGGTTACTAGGAGTCTCTCATGATTGAAATTTACTTAGCCTGAAAGATGAAATGTCAAACTCCAAATGGAAGGAAACAAAATTAGTGCAAGTCTGTATCTACTCTTCCACTAGAAAAATGGTTTCACTAAGTGAGTTTACTGATTTCCACTCTTGGAGGCTAGAAGTAAAGATAGCTAAACAATAGGAAGAGGTGCTTCCCTAAAGTAATTAAGAAAACAATGTTTCACTTTACTACTATCCTCCAAGCACCAGATCTATATATTTGTATAAGCACAGCACTACCCAAATATATATAAAATGAAAATCCACTATAACAAATTTGTCAAATAAAATCTGAGCTTCTCCACTGTTGTTCAGGCAGCAATACTGCCCACAAGTATGAGAAACTTAATATTGATTAGCCATTGTGGGTTAAAAATTCCACAGAAGTGCCATATTAAATCATTCGGGTAGCTTTTGCTTCTGGAAAGCACATTCCAGCACTTTGGGAGGCTGAGGCAGGCAGATCACCTGAGGTCAGGAGTTTGAGACCAGCCCGACCAATATGATGAAACCCCGTCTCTGCTAAAAATAAAATTAGCCGGGCGTGGTGGCATGTGCCTGTAATCCCAGCTATTCACCAGGAGGCCGAGGCAGGAGAACGGCTTGAACCAGGGAGGCAGAAGTTGCAGTAAGCCAAGATCGCACCACTGCATTCCAGCCTAGGCAACGAGAGAAACTCCATCTCAAAAAAAAAAAAAAAAAAGTAATACTTTTTTCCCACTAAGGTTCAACCCAACCTTGAGGGACAAACCAAAGAAATATCTTATGTCCTCTCTCTTGTGTTCTCCAAGTCATCTGTTTTTTTTTAACCCAATGAAATATTTTAAATATCTCCACAAGCCATAAACAACCTAACTGGTCAGGGAAAAAGGTAAGCAAAGTAGAATTTAGTCCTTGCCACAACCAAGCCTTATGTCCTTGAAGCAACCAAGGACATAAGGCCAAGAAGAGGTATGCCACCAGGATAATAGCAGGTTTGGAATCCACTGTGAGAAACAAAACTCCTGGTGATTAATTTTGAAACTGTGCTACCACCCTGTAACCTTCCTAGAGAATATAAGGCTTCTCAGTTTCAGCTTCTCAGTTTCAGTAATAAATGTCTGACAAAGCCTCATACTTTTATTTTCTCCGTTTTTCATCCCTTCCCCACAAATGATGGAAAATCCAAAGGAATCCTAGCCATAAAGAACTCATACTGTGACAATTTAAAACCCATTCAATCACAGCAACTGCCACTTTGAAAGGAAAAAAGTCACCAGGAGTAGGGGCCAACAATGTAATCAACATCTAATGGGATCAGAAAGTGTATGGAAGTCTGGGCTTCTCATGACACTGAGGCCAAGGAGAACAGTATTACTTCAGAGGTTTCAGAAAAAGATCTTGTTATAAAGGCTTTTGAGATAAGGTCCCTGCCAAAAATATTTCCCGAGGGGAAGATGGGGAACAAAAAAGAATAAACTCTTGGTAGAAAAGAGAGACATTTAGATTTAGTTATAAAAGATGGCTTACTAGCAGAGAATTTGATAAACCATGGAAGGACAAGAGCCTGTAGCCAGAATTTCAGGACTCCAAAACAAGTCACATTCTAGACATTTTAGGGTTCTGGAGGCAGTTAAAACATGTTTCCACTTGCTTGTGGAATAATCTCTAATCAGAGGTTCAATACAATGAGATCCCTACCCACTGAAATATTTACTTTTTAAATTGATAAGCTGAAAAGTTCATCTTTTTTAAAGCAATTTCTCGTGAAGTCTCATCTTGATTTAGAGGAAGAGGGAAGTAAAGGGGAAAAGCCTACCCCACAGAAAGAGGGGAAGTGACGTTACATTGTGAAACTTAAGGGAGGAATTTCAGCCACGGCTCTAGGGCGAGGGGTTGTGTAGGAGAGAAGGAATGGCTTAATTTTTAGGAAAACAGGAAAGCCAAGTGACTACTTTGGTGAATGCTGGAGGAATGGAAAGCAGCAGCGAATCCTATTTTGGATACAGAGGCTGAGAGCCAAGTAAATGAATCCCAGGCGGAGATACTGTCTTTTGTCTCCAGCTGTCAGCTTTTTTCTTGAAAACTGTCTCATCACTTTCTGTGATTGTGGTTAGGAAAAAATCCTACTTTATCTTGTGAACTTTTTATTGTCTTCCTGAAGTTATGTGTTACTTCTGTAAAGCACTCTACTCTCCTTGTTTAATCATCACAACAGGGAAGGGGAGAGGCTTGCAATGCAGTGTTTCCAAATCCAATCACTGGAGTCATTCACATAACATTAGGTTTAGGACCTGAGAAATAGATTCTGAGGTCACAGACCAGCCCCCTTTATATTTAAGCAGGAGGCAAAAACTGAAGCTAGGAGAGATCCGGAGTCTTGGCAAGGCTCTCTGCGACTTCCAGAGGCTTTCTTCACTCAGTCCACTGTTCGGTCCATTTCAGAGTCTGCTCTTTCACCTTTGTCCTCAAATGGTTTATGACAAAGGAAGGTGCTGGACACTGGAAAGGTAACGTCTTAAGACATGACCCCTGCCCTGGAGTAGTTTACACATATGGAGGAAGGTAGGGCGTATACTTGAAAACATAAGTGATAATATGATTAGCAAAAAATCCTACAGGAATCCAGAAGTGGGGGTTTCATCAAGGGGCAACTGACAAAAGCTTTGTGAAGGCAGGTGCATTCAGTGGAAAGAGTAGACAACTAAGGTAAAGACCATGTTAAGAAAGGGAGGGAGATGGGAGAACTATAGCACCCCCAGCACACAAAGGTAGACCTTGGAATGATGGCTCATGATACATTTAAGTCAACAGAAAACTAAGTGAAGAGTAAAGAGAACAAAGCAGGAAAACTACAGAATGCTTTCAATGGCAAGCTAAGGAATTGAGACTATTTTCTAGATAGTTACTAAAGATTTCTACTGGTAGAAATTTCTTCACATGGAAGTTTTAGTAGAAATAAAAGTGGTATATACAAGGCAGCGTCTTAAGGATCACTCTGGAAATACAGTACAAGGTGGACTGAAGAAGGGCTGGAGGCAGGGAAACTGAGAGGAGACTCAGCAGTTTAGGAATGAGGTGATGGGGACCGGTCCACAGAGGGACAGATGGATGTAACAAAGGACGTCCTAAAGGAAAAGTAAATGGGATTTGGCCATCTACTGGATGTGGAGCAATCAAGGCTCTCAATCTTCAAGTAGAGATGTATGGGAGAATGGTGTCACCATAACCAGAGGGAGGGATGATAGACGGCAGCAGGGGAGTGTATGGTCACCTATGAAGATATATCCAACAGCCATTTACAAGTCAGATGCTGAACTAAAGCCCTGGAAAGCCATCAGGAAGCACAGTGTTGAGAGTCGCCCAAAACCAAGAGCCTAACCTTGAGGGTGAATGAGATATCCAAGGAGTCCCAGATCTCAGCCTGGGGCACACTTCATAGTTAGGGGGCTGGAAGAAGCAGAAGTCAGGGAAGGGGGCAGAGAAGGAAAAGCCTCAAAAGGAAGCTAAGAATAAAGAAAGCATATATCCTGGTTACTCCAGGCTGACGTGGGAGGATTACTTGAGCCCAAGAGTTCCAGGTTACAGTGAGCTATAATTGTGCCACTGCACTCCAGCCTGGGTGTCAAGAGTGAGACCTTGTATCTATTTAAAAAAAAAAAAAAAAAAAAGATCACACATAAAAGAAAGGCAGGAGGGAGCTTTACAACTCAGTAGTACAGTATTAAATGCCCAAGGAATCAAAGTAACAGAACACAGAAAAACACACTGGATGGGGTTATTAGATCATGGGCATCAAAGCAGGTACTATGCTCAGTTTTATGTTACTGTCACTTCATTGCCTCAGTAAATATAAAAATAAATTTTATATCTGAGTAAAGTCGATACAGGATGAGCATCCCAACTTTGAAAATCCAAATCCAAAATCCAAAACACCTCTGGCCCCAGGCATTTTAGATAAGGAATTCTCAACCTGTATATGAAGAGTATATGAAATTGGCTGCTTCCCAAATTTCCCTAGTGTTGAAACCCCGGTTGACCCTCTAAATGCCAAGAGACATAGTTCAAGTCTGGTTCGTCCAACATATTCACCAAGAAGGGTCTTGAATAGCAAAGCTATTTCCACCTTCCTATCCCATGTTAACGGTAGGGTTTTGATATAAGATTCCCCTCAGCAGAAACAGGACAGAACAATGTTCCCTGGTTCTCAGTGCACATGCTGCATGTGCTCTCATTCTCTCTCTCTTCTTTTTTTTTTTTTGAGATGGAGTCTCACTGTGTCACCCAGGCTAGAGTGCAGCGGCATGATCTCAGCTCACTGCAGCCTCTGCTCATTGCTGCCTCCGCCTCCTGGGTTCAAGTGATTTTCCTGCCTCAGCCTCCCGAGTAGCTGGGATTACAGGTGTGCATCACCATGCCTGGCTAATTTTTGTATTTTTAGTAGAGATGGGGTTTCACCATGTTGGTCAGGCTGGTCTCGAACTCCTGACCTCGTGATCTGCCTGCCTCGGCCTCCCAAAGTGCTGGGATTACAGGCGTGAGCCACCGCACCCAGCTCTCTCTCTCTCTCTCTCTCTAAACAATTGATTGGACACCACACTGTCTGTGGATCCAGAAACAGAAGGGTGAGCTGATATGGAAGAAAACAGAGTCCCTGTTGTTTACTCTATAAAAACCATTCTCCTTGAAAGATGCCAATCACAACAGTATCAAGATCTGCTCAGAACCAAATAAAACACAGAAAGCTCAGGGGGTCAGCAGAGGGATGAGGACAGTGAGACTTACCAACTTTACTGAGATGAAGTCAGAAGAAAAACAATTCCTTATATCTCTGCATTGTGCAAGCTACATGCTACTCACTGTTTTCCTTCACAGCTTTCTGTGGAGACAAGATTTCCTTTTACGTCTGCCAAACATATGCCCTGTACCTATGTTGTGATCCCATTCATTCCAGCCTCTGCTCAGCTGCTGTTCCATTAGTTAATATTTTCTCTTCTGTGCCTCTTCTCTCCTTTCCTCTTGGCTCACCCCCCAAAAATAAGCAGGTAAATCTGGCTGTCTCTGTATATCTGTGTGTTTGGGGTGTATAAAACTCCACCTGCCACTGTTGGGTTTCAGGGCAGAGAGCAGAGCTAGTCAGAGCAGCATGCTTCATCTCCCTTTCAAACCTGCTCACCCAGGACCAGGGCAGGACAAATGTATCAGACAGACGAAGTTGGCCTTCAGGCCCCCTTATCCACTGCTCCTTACTCTGGTATCACCCTCTACCCCCACGCCTTTGGTTTTACCATCTACTTAACTAATTCTCTGTGACTCTAAGATTTGCCATGTTAATAGCCTCTTCAGACTCCAATGCACAGTTTCCAAGAAGCCAAAAAAGTGGCGGAGGGAAATAAGAAATATAATGCAGTATTTCAGGAACCACCACCAAATAAGAAGAAACATCTGAAAGGAAAAAAAACTTCCTTGGCATGCTGAAACCCAAATGGAAAAGACTGTCTCCCCATAAGGCCAGCTTTGCTTCCCATAGTGTCTGAGGTGTACTGCAAACAGCAGGAGTTGAAGATGGTCAGTGAAGACCCACCAATGACATAAGTCACACAGGGCACTCTGTCATTATCTCAGGGAAGGGGAGGCCAACCATTATGTCTGAGGACAGAGTCACCAAGGAGCATCTTCCTTAGGATTCTCACTCTGTAAAGCAAAGATAATGAGAACAAGTGACTGCTCAAACGTCCAACGTGGGAAAACTGGAAGATTGTTTAGTCCAACCTCCTCAGTTTACACAAGAAGAAAAGGAGATGTAGGAAAAACTTGCTCAAAGGTCACGTAACATGACGCAGGCAGAGCTGGGGTTAGAACCTCTGTTTCTTGAGTCATCATCCCAGTGCAGCCTGCTCCCACAGCACGCTGCCTCCCAACATCTGTTCCTTCACAGAGACATGTGCCTTTATAAATAATTGTTTTTAAAAAGTTACTCAGGTTACCAGACCTTTTCTGTGATCCTGTGTTCTTGTTATTGGAATCCTAACATCAATCACAAAATTATGTCACACGCTTCCTGAGGAGTGCATGGAACTGTTTGTGTAAGTGGTGTGGGGAATTCAGATCAAATATTCAGGGACTCAAAACTGAAGACAAAGACGGCCAATGCTGGAAAACGCATGTGGCTTTTTCTAAGGGGCTGAGTTCCAAGCATGTGTAATTCCACTCCCTCTACTTCCTACATTCTGATGACTGGAAATCTTGGGGTCAGTCCAAGGTCGACCTACACAAAGGGAACTCCCTAGGATAGCCTTAGAAAAACACAGCCCCTGCAACAGGTAAATTTAGGGTACATCATTCCAATAAACTGTCTTGCCTGACAAGGTTCTCTGTAACAGGTCACACAAAGGATTTATACCTTTTCCTTACTGACTTAAGAGGTAGAGAATTTATCCAGAGGGGTTTCTTAAGGTCCTATTTTAACAATACAATCAAAAGTGTTCTATTTGGCCTCACTTTTCCACACATCGTAACTGTTCACAGGAAAATAAAGTCACCCAGTCTTCTGGCTTACAAACCTCAGGCAAATTCTACTTCTCACACCACCACCTTTGCAAATGCCATATGTACTAACTGTATTGTAAGAAATATTTACATCAATCTGGCCAAGCCAAAAGGTATTTTCTTCCATAACTTTAATTAGCACTGTCTGCGTTTTTTTAAGTTGGTATTGCCTACATTTGATTTCAACTGTTAGAATTCATGTTTCCATTTCTCCCATTCATTTGTGCTTGGAAAAGGAATACCACCATAATGTGTACTATGATAAACTTTAAGATACAGACAGCTTTTCTGATAGTTGGAAATCTCTTGCAGTGTGATCTCTATAGCCAGGGTGACAAACACGGGACTAAGGGGCCTGGCAGGTAACTAAATGATTCAGGAGGGCAGCAGTAAGTTCACATATAGATCTGGACTGAGGGATAGGGGCTGTGGCCTCGTGGAGAAGGTACAACCCTTCAAAGCTTCTCATACTTACCCCATTACCACAGTGAGGAAGACTGTTCTAGTTTTGCCAGATCTTCTGACTTCTCAAAAAAGGCGATAAATTCAGAGTTTGGGGAAGTCTCAGTTTTTAAAAATGTTAACTCAAGTTCAAAACAAAACAAAATACTGAGCCCAAACATGCCTATGGGCTGCTGTACTTGGCTGCTGAGTTTCCAGTTTGCTATCTCTCCTCTATAGGAAGTGGGAATGATGCATATTCAACGACGCCTACAAAAATTACTTCAGATTGTTAGTCTCAGAAACCCACTGGTGGCCTGAGGGGACATGCAAAAAGAAGAGGAACAGGAGCAGAGATGGCAAATTATTAAGGTTTCAAGACCTTAAAAGAGACAATCAAAGTATTCAGATTCTCAGTAAAATTACCAGATTAAATCAAATAAAACCCCACCCTTTTTCCACAAAAATCAACAGAGAGTCCTGCTTTCTTTTCACCACAACCCTATTCCTCCATTTATCCCTGACGTCCTGCCAACACCTAACCAGTGGCTAGATCCTGTTTACTTCTTAGTGGAATTATCTTGATCAAGCATGTCGGCCCTTCATTCCCATCCCATTATCTTAGTGTAGAGCCTCCCCATTGCCTAGACCACAAGGGTCCCCAGCCCCCGGGCCCACAGATCTGGTACGAGGCCGCAAAGCAGGAGGTGAGTGGTGGGTGGGCGAGTGAGAGAAGCTTCATCTGTATTTACAGCTGCTCCCCATCACTCACTAACTGAGCTCTGCCTTCCATCAGATCAGTGGTGGCATTGCATTAGATCTTCATTAGAGCATGAACTCTATTGTAAACTGAGCACGTGAGGGATCTAGGTTGCAAGCTCCCTGTGAGAATCTAATGCCTTATGATCTGTCGCTGTCTGCCATCACCCCCAGATGGGACAGTCTAGTTGCAGGAAAACAAGCTCAGGATTCCCATTGATTCTGTATTACAGTGAGTTGTGTAATTATTTCATTATATATTACAATGTAATAATAATAGAAATAAAGGGCACAATAAATGTAATGCACTTGAATCATCCTGAAACAATCCCCTACCCACTCCACCACCCAGGTCCATGGAAAAATTGTCTTCCAGGAAACTGGTCCCTGGTGCCAAAAGATTAGGGACTGCTGGTCTAGACCACTGTAGTTGCTATGGCACCCCCAGACTCCAGTTTCTATCTCCTCCCACCTCACTCCAAACCTAGTCCATACTATAACACAACAACCAAAATGATTTTTCTTAAATGTATATGTCATAACCTCTCTGCAAATATGCAGGAAACTGCTAAGAGCATTTGCTTCTTGCAAGGGAACTGGCGAACATGGAGAGTGGGTTCAAGAAAGCCTTATTTTCCCCTGCATGCCCTTCTGTACTTCTTGAATTTTTATTATGTGAGAATTAATTTCTCAAAAATGTAATTTTAAAATATGTAATACCCCAGGGCTTCTAGATTAAGAAGCAAGACATCTCCCTACCCCAACCCACTGGGGCACATAAATGGACTAAAGATTCGTATAGGTCAGATGAGAGCATACTGAGAAGTAAACCACAGCAGAGCTTGGGACACATGCAGGTGGAAGGCAAGAATGGAGGTGGAAGTTGGCAGCATCTGAGATTAGACGTACAGAAACTGAAAGGAGGGTACATCTGCAAAACTGCCTGCAGGATGGTAGCTTAGCATGGCCTCCTTTTCACCAGCCTATCAGGGTGGTGGCACGGTTGGCCCCTAGTCTGAAGTCAAACATCTACCTACTCTCCAAAGGGAGCAAGTGATCTGCCAGGAGGGACTTGCAGACCCTGGTGGGGATCTCTCCTCTGGCATTGTGGGAACCTCTCCCCATCCTGCTTGCTTCACCTTGACACACCCTAAAGTGAAACCTGCTCTTTGACATACTATGCCCTCAATTTCAGAGCTCACAACCCATACTCCTAGTGAAAGAAAAGGCCAACAGGGGCAGCAGATGAGCACAAGGAGGAGGGAAGCTAAGTCAGCTGCTACACATCCTTCAGGCATCCATATGGATAGGTAAGCAAGGATGACTACATATGAAGAAAGCTGGGGAAAAAAGATAAATACGGAAAAAATGAAACCGATCCCAGAGAAGACAGAGATCATAACTCATGGAGCTAAAGCAGAAGAGAATTTTAGGGGGAAAAACATCTGAGTGTGGTCAAAGATATTAGAAAACACAAAATACATATATAAAACAAAAACATCCATATAGAAAAGATTGCATATTGAAGTTAAAAATTCATTAGAAAGGATGAAATGATAAAAGAATGATGAAATCCCCAGAAAACTGGGTGAGTGGAAGGAGGAAAACAAAAAAGTTTGGTAGGACAATTTAAGAGTAAATCCAGGAAGCCTAACATCAATCTACTGAACCCAAGTCTTCAGATTGGAAGAGCCCACAGGTGCTGAGCAGAATAAAGGAAAAAAGATTCTCATAAAATGTCACAATATCTTGATAATGAGAAAACAGAGTCTCCAAAGAAAGGTCCATCAAAGGTACGAGGGTCAGTAGCATTGATTGGTAGAGAGAAATTCTTTCAAATGCTAAGGGAAGATTATTTTAAACTCAGAATTTCATATCCAGCCAAATTACCAATTAAGCATGAGGACGGATAAGCAGAGGCTCAAAGTATACTTGCCATGTACTGTTTCTGAAAACTTACTTTATAATATACTCCAGGAAAATTAAAAATATGTCTAAGAAAAAGGAAAATAGAGTCCAAGAAAAGTAGAATTAAGCCAAGAATAAAAGGAAAATAAATGTCAGCTGTTCAGCAAGTCCTGAAAGCAGTTAGTTCATAACGCATTCAAAAAGTTTGTATAATCAAGAAAATAAATTATAGTTTTGAGAGAATGAAGACAAATATTACTTCTGTAAATGAGAAAACAGGCAATTACAAAGTCCAGTAAGAACAAGGCTATATAAGAACATCACAGCCCATACGTAAAGCAAACAAAAGTATGCCATGATCCTAAGCCACTAACCAAATGTAAAGAGAATTTGACCTAGATGCCCAGAACACCTCTGTTCAAGTGGCCTATGCTTGGTTAATAACCTAGGATTCCATCTTTATGGTGCATTTATATTTTTGATACCACTTTGAGGGAGTGGTATTGGAGCCTCTGGATCCAACCAACAAAAGCAAACCATCTCCTTGGATTTTCCCAATCTAAGAGTGTGAAAGACACTGTTAGTTCCCTGAGTAAACCTCCATTTCCAACCCTTCTCCCTTGCCTGCCTCTAAGATGTACCTTAAAAACATAAGAGTGGGCTGGGCAATCCCAGCACTTTGGGAGGCCGAGGTGGGTGGATCACCTGAGGTCAGGAGTTTGAGACCAGCCTGACCAACATGGTGAAACCCCGTCTCTACTAAAAATACAAAAATTAGCTGGGCGTGGTGGCAGATGCCTGTAATCCCAGCTACTCAGGAGGCTGAGGCAGAAAAATCGATTAAACCCAGGAGGTGGAGGTTGCAGTGAGCCGAGATTGCACCACTGCACTCCACCCTAGGTGACAAGAGCAAAACTCCATCTCAAAACAAACAAACAAACAAAAATAAGAGCTATTATTCCCCCACCCCTTTTGCAATCTGATCACAGTGAGAGCCGACATGTGAGCCAAAGTCCTCGAGGAGGTTTCCTTTATAAATAAAAAGGCCAAGTCTTGCTAAGAAGAAAGTTTTGCAATTTTTCCTTCCCTGTTTTTCCTATGAAAGCCACATATTAAGAATGATTGGACAGAAGGGTAAAAGGTCCAAAATGAATTCCATGAGTGCCTGTAGCAGCCTTTGGGATCAGAAAACTAACCCCCATATCTACTTAAGACTTCGGTTGCATATTTTTTTGTTGTTGATGGGGAACACATTCCTTAACTGAAACAAGGAATTGGTTTCCTATTCTGAATGAAGCCCAGTTTGATTTGGGTTTCTGTCATCTGCAAGTGAGAAAGATCTAACTAATATATATCTCCTTCTTTACACTCTGCTCCAGAGGAGAAATATTAATAGCCTGTCAAAGACCAAATCTTTTACCTTCAGCCTTAGGAGGAATATGCTGGGTAGGTTTCCCACAGAGCTTTCACTTAAATATTTACGTGGCCCCAACCACAGGCTAATCCCTGTGGTTACGTGGGACACTAGGCTAAACAAGCCACCACATTTGCCCTCCTGGACCCCAGTAAAACAAGGGCAGAGAGTTTACAAATGCATAAAATGCTGCTTGGAGTGTAGGACTACGTTATGCAAGCACAGCAAAGGGAGTAATTTAGATCCATCTGGTAGTATTTCCAAACCTAGCAAATCCTAAAATCCAAAAGCGCTTATTTGATCTGATTCAGCCACATCAACATTTTTATCCACCAACAAACTCTTATTCACTGAACAATGGCACAGATGAGCCAAAATAATATTTGCTTTGAATGCATTTATATTTTAAATTGGGTGTGTCCCTTGTTCCGAGAATTCACCACACCCCAAACAAATTGAATCCAAATGGAAGGTTCTAATTCAGAAGAAACCAGCACATAGTTTAGCTGCACCAACCCTATCTCTTTAGTAGAGTGATTCCTGGTTCTGTTTCTATCCAAGAGGAGAGGTAGGTAACACCACTACTCTAACTGAATTGAAGCCTATCCTCATCCCAGCACTGCTTATTTCATTCATTGAACAATATTAAATGAGTATCTACTATATCAGATACTCTGCCAGGTGTTGTGGATATGCCAGAAAAAAGAAAATACCTGCCCTCAAAGGGCTTATGTCTACTGGGGCCAGCAGGCATAAGTAGAGGGTTCAGACAGGAAAGAGTCACCAAGCTATTACAACATATTATACTGAGTTTTAGAAAAAATAAAACATAGCTGGAGTGGATTCTCTAAACAGAGGGAACAGTGTATGCAAAGGTCTAGAAGCAAGATAAAACATGGCATATTCAAGAAACGTCAAGTTCAATAAACTTGCCTACCTATATATTAGGTAGACAGCTGTAGCATTTACTTGAAATGTGTATGTTTGATGAGGAATATAATGAGTCCACTTCTGGACATGTTGACCTTGGGAAGCCTGAGAGACATCCAAACTTAAGAGCTATCTGGCCGCTGCAGACACTGCTACCTACCTGCCAACCTGATACAGATACTTGGCATAGCCTCAAATCTGAGAAGAGTCACTGTGGCCTTCAAACCTGGGTTAATGCCAATTTTTGCTTTATTTCCACACCATATCAGATTTTTGCTTACTCTGCAGAAAGTGCTAGTAAAGCAAAACCCATAAACCATTCTGAGGGCCAGATTAAAACTCTCCTTGAGTTCTCCAAGGTGACTAATTTCAATTCTTATCTTTATAGGAAAAGAATCTGGCAGGAGGTCTGGATGGTTACTAATCAGTTATCACCCTTCCATTACATCTCGTTGCACCAAGTGGTTGTCACAAATTTGTCTCCTTTTGTGTTTTCCCCTCTAACTTATCAGTGAAGATTAGCAGAAGTTTGTGGTATTGAAATTTGTAGGCAACTGAGGATTTCTGGGGCTAAGCGTGTTCATTTTTAAGGTCCATGGGCTTTTGGCATATACTCCAGGTACCACTTCTGGTCATCCTGGCCCAGTCTGGTGTGTGGGTCCAGAGTTCAGGCTGGTGACAGATTTGGGCATCATTACTAAGGTTGTCATGAGGCTGTGCAAACCTCTAGAGAGTACAAGGAAATCAGGAGAGAGAGGTCAAAGGGAGAACTCCAAGGAACCCAGGAATAATGGGGCAGACGGAGCAACAGGAGACAGGAAGGAAAAACTAAGAGGACAGAAGGACTCCAGGCAATGAAAGCCAAGGTGAAGAAGAGGGAGCAATCATTCAACAGAATCTGATCAGGAACAGAGAGTTTAAGTGAGAAAGAGACTGAGAAGCCTATTAAATAAGGGGTCTTTGTTGACCTTGGAGAGAGAAGTGGGTTGAGAAGGGAAAGAAAACTGAGGACTCAGACAAGAGGTACAGAAAACCCTTCAGAAAGGCTGGCAATAAATAAGCTACGGATAAGAGGAAGAAAGCAGTAGCTAGGGCCGCGAGTGCACAAATGGATATGCATGGGGGTGTGGGTGCTGGGATGTGGGTGTGTGAAAGAAGAGTTTTAAATACATTTAAAGGCTGTTGGGAAAACGTCATTAAAGAGGGAAAGCCTGGAGACTATGGAGGAGAAGTGATAATCAATACCACATGTTCCCGAGGGAGGGGAAAGCGTTCTATCTAGAGCACAGGTATAGAAACCAAACCTCTTCCATTACGGGAGGGAGGACAGATGGATAGATGGTAGCAGTGCAGAAACTTGCAGGTCTGGTGACAAGCTGAGGAAGCCACAACTCAATGGCTCTCCATAAAGCAGGAGGCCAGAGCATCTGCTAAAATTGAGAGAAGTGAGCAGAATTGAGAGAAGTTGAATGAGGGTAGAGAAGATACCAAATAAACATTGTGAATGAGAGAGAGCTTCCCAAGGCAGTTTTTCAGTGAGCACATTGCAAGGGGTCCTGAAATCAATACTTTTTAAAGAAAGGAATTAAAAAACCAAAGTACAATGCTTATAGGAAAGACAAACATTGTATATAATAACATTAATATAACATGTGCTTATGTGTATACTGAATTGTGATGTAAAAATGTTCTTTCTGTGGGTGGCACTCAACATATTTGAATGCCAACAGACTAGAACAAATAAATCACTTATAACAGGGGGTCCCCAACCCCTGGTCTATGGACCAGACTGGTACTGGTCTATGGCCTGTTAGGAACCAGAGCACACAGCAGGAGGTGAGCTGCAGTCAGCCAGCATTAACGCCTGGGCTCCGCCTCCTGTCAGATTAACCACAGTATTAGATTCTCATAGGAGGGGGAACCCTATTGTAAACTGCACTGCAAGGAATCTAGGTTGCATGCTCCTTATGAGAATCTAATGCCAGATGATCTGAGGTAGAACAGTTTCATCCCAATACCATCCGCCACCCCTGCCACTGTCTGTGGAAAAATTGTCTTCTGCGAAAGCAGTCCCTGCCAAAAAGGTTGGGGGTCACTCACTTAGGAGAACTGAGGTGAGGGTGGAAATGATTTTAGTTTGTGGTGGCAGTAACCATCATTATGGCTTATGCTTTACACCTACCCTAAGTTAGAAGAGGTAATTAAGTTTAAATGCTCCTGTTAAATGCTGTGACTCAAGAAGAACACATAAAATATATAAAGTAATATATCTTATCACTTACTTTACTTAATTATGCTAATTAAATCTTTTAAAGTAATTTTACAGTAAATTAACAGGCTATACAAGAACAAGGTCTGTACTACTCCGACCACATAATTATGCTTTTTGCTATCCATTAAAATTCTTACATCAAAAGCTCTTTAAGTGATCTATTTAACTTGTAGATGTGTGTAAAAATGTTAAAAGGTGTTTTATTTTAAACCCACCCATATTTTTATAATTTACAACAGCAAAATGCAAGACAAAAAACACATAACCCTATTATTGTTAAATACTCTCTCATAACTGAAGGCAAATCCCTTCTCTTAGAAAGGTACTTCTCCAACTTCTACAGGAACCAAAGTGACTCCATTAGAGAGGAATGCATTTATTTGCCATTCTCAGTCATTTGTGAGATGCCCCATTGTTACAGATGAATCCCAATTCAAACAGTCAAAAAATGAACATTGCCATATTCCTCATTTTGCCAAATACCAATTATTATTCAGAGACCAAGATAATCCCTCAAAGTCATTCAGCCCTAAATTCTAATCCCATAAATCTGCTTTATGGGTTAGAAGAAAGCCTTTGAAAATACAGTAAGTCAGGTAATAGAGTCTACCACACCCCTAAGTCATTTAACAGACCCATTATCATTTACTAAAGAAAAAAAAATTAATTGGAAAGTATTTTGCTCTTAATGTGCTTCAGAAATTATTTGCAAATATAGCTGTGAAGTCTACTTTGTTTATTTCCAGTAATTAAATTTGGTTGCAGCAGAGTGCGGCCAGGAGAAGCACGTGGCCATTATTTTTCCCTTTAGGGTGATTCGAACTCCTAGAACATGTTAACCCATTTATGCCTAGTGTTCCATTATTGGAACACTAAGCTTGTGGGAGTTATTTATATACTACTGCTCAAGGTCATCGCCAAGATCTGATTTATCACACACACAAAAAATTTGCAACCTCCAGCATAAATGGGTTAATTTTCATCATAACAAAAATGAAGCTATTTTATATGTGTCACACTGTACTAGGTACCACAGAATGCAATATTTTTCTCAGGTAAGTGTTTATTTCTTAAAAAAAGTCAAGTCAACCAAAATGTACAAATAAGCTCAAACTACAAAATGACTCTAGAAAAGATGAACAAATTTGTTGATTAACAAATATTACCTTTCCATGTGGCCTGCATTCATTATAAATTCAAGAGAATCAATGACATTCAACTCTGGAAAAAAAAAACTCCTTAAACGCAGAAGTTCATCTAACTCAGCAGTATTCAACTTTTTGTTTTCAGGATCCGTTTACACCCTTAAATTACCAAGGACCCTAAAGAGTTCTTGTTATGTGGGTTATATCCACTGTTATTTATCATATTCAAAATTAACAAATTTTTAAAATACTTTTAAAAATAATCTTTAAAACCACATATTAACCTAGATACTTTTTATGTATTTTTCCAAAAGAAAATTTACTAAGAATGGTATTGATTTGCGCTTTTGCAAATCTCTTCAATGTCCTGCTTAATGGAAAATAGTAGAGCTTCATGCCTGCTTCTGCATGCAATTTGTTGCAATACGGTGTTTAGGTTGAAGTACATAAAGAAAAATCTGGCCTCATACAGATAAACAGTTGGAAAATGAAGGGTGTCTTGCAATCATCTTTTGAGATAGCTGTGGGTATTCTTTCGTACTTTCCCCAAATTGAACAAATGGTGCTTTTTAGTAGTTAATTACAATATGGAATATGAAATCTGACAAACTTTCTGTGCTCTGTTCCATTAAAATCCAGTGGTCTATTTGCGACTTGAAAGGGTCTTTTACCCATGTATGATTTTGGAAAATACTGGTTAACTGAGTTATGTAGCTTTTTTTTTTGAAATGCCTACACATTTTTTTTTAGAAAATATCCCCCGAAAAGTACATTATTAATATTACTATCAATCTTACCATACACATCTTCAGTACTGGGAAGCTGTCAAGCACAGGGTTGCAAATATGAGTTTTCCAAAATTTCAGTTTTCACTTTCACCTGACAGCTCTAATTTTATCATTGGCAGATACCATCAGGTGTTTTTCTTGAAGTAATAGCCTCATTTCTGGGAAAATATCAAATGGTTTAAGTGTTCAAAAAAGGATTGTTAGGATATACCTTTGTGATGAATTATGTGGCCAATATACCGTTTACAAATAATATACAGAAAGTTGTCGACTTACGATGGGGTCACATCCTGAACAACCCATCCTAAGTTCAAAATACTGTAAATCAAATATGCATTTAATACACCTAACTTGCTAAACGTAATAGCTTGGCCTAGCCTACTTTAAACGTGCTCAAAACACTTGCACTAGCCTACAGTTGGGCAACATCATCTAACACAAAGCTTATTTTATGCTTAAGTATTGAATATCTCATGTTATTTACTGAATACTGTATTAGAAGTGAAAAACAGAATAGCTAAATGGGTACTCAAAATACGATTTCTACTGTATTTGCTTTAGCACTATCCCATCATAAATCTGTAAAATGCTCATAATATAATGTTAACTGGAAAATACAAACAAAACATGTTTATATTACTATGGTATCAGCTGTGCTTCAAGAAGTTTGCCCACCTTTTCCTGAACTTCTTCTGTATTAGACAAAATAGCCATAAAACCAAACCCAAAACTCGTACCCAGAGGGCAGGTATTTATGCCTTTAGGAGAAGAATTTACAAATACAGTCATAAATACCAAATATTAACAGTTATGGGAAAAACTGACAAATATTATCATATTTAAGTTAGATTTACAATTTTTTAAGCATTCAGTTTAACTGACACAAACAAAAATAAATTAAATACACATCCTATTTGACTACAATCAACATGGAAGAAATGAAACCCAGTCTTTTGGCAGACAGGGTATAAAGAAGCATGAATTTACAGGTTCTTCCTAAAAGCACTCTCCGTTTGAGATGCTGACAGAATGGGCTTTGTCCAAAATTCAAGACATTTTTGCTAATCACTTTCTTATATTACTAAGTGTCCACATGATGCAGTATTAACTCCTAAAAGCTATTTTCATTAACATGACTGCAGTACACAAAAAACTACATTATTAATAAAAAAAATTCCAATAGTCTATGTGTCTATCTACCCCTCTGATAATTAAAAATTGGAGAGAATGATTAACCACTCACCAATTCAAAAAAAGATATTAACTTTTTCATGAACGTCCTAAGAGCTTTTTTTTAATTTTTATTTTTTTTTAAGTACGAGGTCCATGCAAAACAAAGGGCCTATTCTCCCAAGGTTCCCCGAAACAAATGCATCCTCTAGGATGTCCTGCACTTTCAGGCTCCTCTCTTTAGCACATGCCTAAGCATACAAGCTCCACAGATTGCTAGCAAAAGTAATGTCAATCCCATGATTCTAGGCATATCAGTGTCTGCTTTCAACTATCACATTTGCTATCAGGTTGAAAGAAAAAAAAACAAGCGAAACCATCCTTGGCTTGGGTTTTATGAGAAACGTTACCATTTTTCTGGTCTAATAATTATTTATATGTAAGCCACCTCTACTTGACTGCAAACCTGTTAGGGCTGGGCCCACCTTTTATGCCTTTGTCTTCTCACTGTCTACCACCATGGCTTTTAAAAGATGGTACCAAATACCAGCAGTTATTGTTCACCAAGCACTTATGTGCAAAACGTTTATACATGTCACCTTAATTCCCCATCATGACCTTAATAGGTAGAGAGGGTTGTCCTCTTTCTATAGAAATAAAGAGGCCAAAGATAAAGTAACTAGTCCCCAGTTAGCTTCTAAGTAATGCAAATGGCATCCAAACACAGGTTTGGGACTAAACAAGTGATTCTCAAACTTTGTTGAGCATCAGAGTCATCTGGAGGGCCTATTAAAGGAAATTCCTGGGCCCTGCACCCTGATTTTCTGATTAAGGAGATCTAGAAATGGGCTTGATAATTTGCATTTCTAACAAGGTCTCAGGTGATGCTGATACTGCTGGTTCACGGACCACTGAGAACAGGTGCTCTAACCACATTAGCCTCAGCAATGTGGAGGTTTCAACGTGTTGAAAAGACAATGATGGCTAACGAGGCCATCAAATTCATACAGAGTAAAAAGGATGGAATCCTGACACATTTTTCAAAATTAAATTTGAGAAATGTTTTTTCCTACTTGTATATTTTTCTACCCTACCATCCTGGCAGAGAAAGGCTGATAAGAAACCAAAAGTCCTCAGTCCTCTACCTTATAGAGAGGGAACGTTCAAGACTGGCCCTAATAAGCAGGAGAGTGCTGTTGTCTCTTCTAAGACAATCAACAGCTCAGTGGCATCTGCTGGAGTTAGAGAAGGTAGACAGCTTTCAAACTTGACTAGCTATTTGGAGAAGATTGCAGCTAAATCTATGCGACTGTGATGGAGAGGACCCTTAATGGGAATGGAAGCCGAAGGAAGAAGGAGGAAATGGAATCTACAAGAGGAGACATCTACTCAGAACATTAATTCTGGATCAGATATTGGCTACCATGCCAAAGGATCATAGCTATGTTACTACTGATTTATCAATAGTGGCCCTGATTCACTTGGACAGCTGAAGAGTTCAATGTAACAAACTTCTGCCTAGGAAGCTGCAAAATTGGTACCATTAAAACATGGCTCTTTCAAATTGCTTAAAACTCTCCTACTGAAATGTACACATTTTCAGCAACATTTCATTTCTCAGAGTAACATGACTTTCAAGGACAAGGCAAAAAGACTGCAATAATTTTACTGCAGGAATCTACTCTGAAAAGTAAAAGCTATAACACAAGATTGCAGTAATTTTATTGCAGGGAATCCACTCGGAAAAGTAAAAGCTGTAATATAGCTATTACCTACGGGGGTTATCTCCAGGAGCATCTTAATTTTCCTGAAACGTTTATGGTGTGGCAGAAAGCAGCTGGACTCTTGCATTCCACACAGATCAAGACACAAGCCTCACACTTCATCATGGCAATAGCAAAATAACTGAAGGGAATAAAAAAGGAAAGAAGGAAATAAAACCAGTGGCCTTATATCTAAAGAGAAGAAGAAAAAAAGAAAAAAAAAAACACGTGGTCAGATTGGAAACCAAACCACCTGATTTTGCCTAAGTCACGCATCTCATCTGGTTCTTTAATTCCTCATTTTACAACAATGTTCTGGGAATGAAAAGAGGCACTTTGCTCTTTAGAAACAAAAATTAAGTGATTCCGAAAGATATGATTTTTCAGTTGTAAGACTTTGTGAGGTAAATATCCACTAAAAACTGCTTCCTAAAGCCAGCACACTTCGCTGCTGCAATGCTTTTTTAATGCAGTTTGTCCCTGCCAAAACTTGCATTGACGTTTACATACAAAGCATTACACAATCTTCCAGGAGACTTGGTTTCTCTATATAAATACGAAAACGGCATCTGCCTCCCTCCCCAGTGATACAATGAGCAGAGGGCCTTAGTCACGGGTCAAACACCTAAAGTCTGGCCTGGTAATTATTAGCTCCCAGCTTGAAAACTAGCTCACTGAACTTAAAATCTTTTCTTCCTCTCAAAGGTTAGTTAGGATGCTGGCCAACTATCTTCCAGAGGTCTTGTGGGATTAATGAAAAGGTTAAAATATTAAGGACTTACACTCAATGAGAGCTATTCTCATCCATCTCAGCTATTATAAAAGTAAACACTCCCCCTTACTTCCCTGTGATACTCTAGGGGGCTGCAAACCACAGCCCATGGGCCAAATTCACCTGCCATATGTTTTTGTAGAGCCTACAAGGTAAAAAGAATTTTCCCACTTTTAAATGGTTAAAAAAATCAAAAGAAGAATATCTTATGATGTAAAAATTATATGAAATTCACATTTCAGTGTCTGTAAATAAAGTTGCACTGGGCCAGGCATGGTGGCTCAGGCCTGTAATCCCAGCACTTTGGGAAGTCGAAGTGGGCAGATCACCTGAGGTTAGGAGTTTGAGACCAGCCTGGCCACATGGTGAAACCCCATCTCTACTAAAAATACAAAAATTAGCCAGGTGTGGTGGCACATGCCTGTAGTCCCAGCTACTTGGGAGGCTGCGGCAGGAGAATCGCTTAACTTGGGAGGCGGAAGTTGCAGTGAGCCAAGATCACGCCACTGCTCTCTAGCCTGGAGGCAGAGCAAGACTGTCTCAAAAAAAAAAGTTGCACTGGAACACAGCTATGTCCATTTTGTTTACATATTGTCTGTGACTTTTATCTTACCATGGGACAGTTGAGTAGTAATGTCAGAGACCATAGGACCTGCAAAGCTTAAAATATTTACTAAGTAGCCCTTAACAGAAAAGTTTTGCCTATCCCTGTGCTCTGGGCCCAAGTCTGCTATGCCTCTGAGTATCCTGAGACCCTTAGAGAATTAGCCCTGCAAACAGGCAGCTGTACTGAGAAGCAACATTCTGTTTGTTTTATCCCAACCCAACCTGGTATCTAACAAATGCTTCTCCTTCTAGTTCAAAGCAAGGCTATGACGTCACAGAATGAACCCCAACCTCAATGTCTGCACTAAGGGAAGGGTAGAGCAGCTTTCTCTATGGGGCCACATTTTCAGTAACTTAGTCCCGTACTTAGAATCTTATACTCCGCCTTCTAATAGGTCTTCACAGCAGCTCTAGAAATCTCAGGCTTCTTTTTTACCACTATATTAGGGTACCTTTGGTTGAACGTTCCCAAAACCCCTTGAGAAAATTTAAGGAAAATATGAACACACCCCCTTTTCATTTGTTGTAAGTACACCGGGGTCTCTGGGAACTGGAGGGCTACACAGAGGAACTTGAGCATATCTCTTGATTTTTTTCCCTTCTCCACGCACCCAACTCCATCATGCTTCCCTCACTGCAGGCCAACCCCTCTAGTTCATACGTCACCAGGATTTACACCTCCCCTGCTTCAGAGACAGACTAGGAGTAGAATCATACCCCGTTTCCAAATGCCCGGGAGACAGGTCAAATTCACACGTCTAAGTGTAACAGTGTAAATGGAATGCAGGGCAATCCCTAGAAAATGAGAAGGGAGAGATCTGAATAGACAATACCTTAAATATCCACTCTGCCTGCCATAATATAGGTAGGGAAAACAAGCCATTTAAATTTAGGAAGAGAGACAGTAAGTCTCCTTCCAAAGACAAGGCTAATAAGACCCTCACAGTATGGGGCAGTCTCAGGCATTTGAATTTCAACTTTCATTAAAATCCTAGGTCTTATGCCAAATGCTAGGAAAAACTGTTGTTCTTTTTATAGTTCCCCTAAAAAATAACTATATTATTTTGGTCCTGGCTGGAGTCAACCTCTACCTTCAATCTACATTTCTTTTGTGCTTGCTTCCCCTTCACCCCTTCTACACACACACACACACACACACACAAAACCATTATCACCAGCAATTCTGAAAAAACCTATACAGGAAAAAATTCAGACTAGATATTCACTCCCCCAAAGTGGGACTCTTGTTTACCCAGCAACGATCAATGATGCCACTTACAAACACATTACACAACCCCACAGGGCTTCTTACACATACAGCCAGAGTCAGTCCTTGGGAGTTGGCAGTTCTTGGGAAATTCCCAATATCTCACATAGGGCTTTATTTGTATTTATCTGGGAGAGGGATGGGCAGAAGATGGGATAGCACTACTCCCTTACTTTTTTTCTTTTGAGATGAGGTGTCGCTCTGTCACCCAGTCTAGAATGCAGTGATGGGGAGAACTCCTACGCTCAACTAATCCTCCAGCCTCAGCCTCAGAGTAACTGGGATTATAGGCGTGAGCCACCACATCCCAGCCACTTCCTTACATTTAAAGGCACCTCAGCACTTACAAAGCTTTTTTGCACACCTTGTTGTATACAAAGTGATCTTCAACATCCCAGCAAGGGAACTACCTCCCTCCATATGGACAAAAAAACAAAACAAAACAAAAAAAAAACCTAACAAAAAAACCTATAAAAGATTAGGTATCAGGCTCAAGGGAACACAATGGGTCATAAAATCAGGGATCCAGGTCACATTTCAAGCCTAGGGTATTTATGGTTTTGTTTCATTTTCTTGTTAAAATAAGAGCCTAAGTTACTGACCAGTTAGCATGTGGCCTCGGGCAAATAATAAATTGGGTCAGAGAATCATGCACAGACATGACTTGGCCAACAGTTGGCTAATTATGACAATTTAGCAATGATTGCATTATTAAACTATTTCAGCAGAACAGGTTTCACACTCCCCTGTATCCCAGGGCACGTTCTCTGCAGCTCTTTCCTTCCTATCGTCCCTGTAGCAGGCCCTCAGTGCTCAACCCTCTGCTCCCTTTCTTTAAAGGCTGCCCTGGAAATCCTCATCAGCTCTCATAGAGGCAACCACTGGCACACCAAAAGTGACTTCCCAAGAGACTCTTGGGTCTGGCAATTCACTCCTCTGCTACTATTAACCCAAATGTAATTATGTTTAAATTTTATCCCCTCACCCCTAGAACTCATCTTCTCTTCAGTGAGGTATGTTGTAAAACCTTCACGTTTATATAAAATCCACCCATCAGTGTTCATATACATTATCTCATCTTCACGGTAACTCTGGGAAGTAAAGAGGGCAGCACTATCATTCCCATTTAATAGGTGAAGCATGCCACTCAACCTCTGAGCTTATTCTGTCAGGGGCAACATTCCTCAGCCACCTGATGGCCAAACCAAAATCCAGCAACATACTGAGATATGCTACAGCATGATGAGCCATGAAAACATGCCAAGTGAAAGAAGCCATTCACAAAACCATATCCTGTACAATTTCCAGAACAGGCACATCTACAGTGACGAAGCAGATAAGGGAGGCAACGGGAGGCAGGGGTGACTGCTAATAGCCTTTCTTTTGGGAGTAATGAAAATGTTTTAAACGTAGTAATGGTTGCACAGTCCTGGGAATATACTAAAAACCACGGAATTGTATACCTTAAATGGATAAGTTGTATGGTATATGAATTACATTTCAAAGCTATTAAACCTAACTTCTGTATTTATATGTCTTATAAAAAAGGTATGTCTGCTAAAACATGATCTTAAATTAGAATGAAATAAAGTGGAATGGAAGATGGATAAAAACCCAAACCAGCTATATCTTCAACTCCTTTCTGTTCCCTTCCTTCAAAATGTCTCTCTCACTTAGCAAATTCTGTCACTATTGTAGCCAACGAATCTTCTATCTTAATCCAGGCCTCAACTCTACAAACCTGGGTTACTGAAACAACTCCTCCCTGATTACCACATCTCTAGTCTCTTCCCTATCCCAACAATCCTAAAGACGTCCGAAACTCTTCTTCCACAAAGCACCATCTTCCTATACCACTTCCCTGCTAAAACATTAGTACCTAACTCAGCATGGAACTGAGGTCCCTCAAGGGTCCAAATGAACTCTACCTTTTCCCAGTTCATTCTAGCGGTCTCACCTAGTCCTCTGTGACTAACACACGTGCACAGCACCACCACTCCTAGAAATCCTTTCTTCTGCTTACAGAAAGGCCCTTAGGATGTACCACTGTCATCAATTTCCCTTGAACATTCCAGACCATAATGTTTGTCTACCTACCATTAGTAGTCTGACTCACTTGATACTTAGACAACAAGAAAAATTTTGTATCCTGTCTCCCAGTAAGGGTCAAAAGGTAGCTAAGGTAGCTAGATGATACGACATCTTCTGTGCCCTGCCCCTCCATCCACTAGGCCTAGGATACTGCTATATACAAAGCGTCTCTCAATTTAGTGACCATTAAAGAACATGAGCTCCCAGAAATTTACTATCTAATTTAACACCGCAGAAGCTGCTGGCAAAACAAAAATTTTTTTAGTTTGGGAGGTGGATTTCTTTAAAATCATCCCTTAGTAAATCTTTGGTTACCTGGGAACTAGTTTTAACAAGCATCTAGAATGTCCAAGCACTGAGTTTAAGGGGAAAAACACATTAGCTAAAACACACCACCTTGGAGGAGCCAACAGTTTTACTCAATGGTATCCTGACTGGTTAGTGCAGGACACACGACAGGAATATTAACGGTGACTGATGTTATCTATAAAAGCTAGGCTTTTTTTTCTTAAAGGTGAGAATGCAGTAGAGAAGCAAAAGGTATCAAAGGAACAAAAGAAGAATGGCAGCAAAAGTTAGAAACTAAGAAGGCAGCAGCACAAACAGATGGGTGGGTGAATATTTGATGGAGAAGACAGGGATGAAGGAAATAAAAGTCAGACCAGCCTTGCAACCTGGAGGGAGACAAGGCAGAATAATTCTCTGCTTACCAAACCCATGGAACACCAGCAGGCAAGTTCCCTCCCTGGCGTCAGGGCCCCGCAATCTCTCTCCAGGTGGGGACTGGGCCTTTTGACTTCAACAGACTCTACTGCAGGGAACCAGAGGCCAATGAACTCTTTTTCAATGATACCTTTTTCAATGATACCTTAACTGATAAAGAATGCTTATGTGGCTAAATTCCTGTCTCTTGAATTAAGCTACTGCAATGAGGACACATCAAAAAAACACTTCCTTCATATCTCTAGAATAATGTGGGTTTTATCTCCCCCAAGGTGACACCAAAACAAATGATTAAATTGTGGTAGCCTTCTAAATCTGATTAATGTTATTCAGACTCTCCCACAAACTGTTTGCCATTATTACACTTGCTAATTAGGAGCTGTAAGGTCTTTATCTTCCCCAACCTACAGTCACATGCTCAGGATGGAGCTTTGCTAAAAGCAGGACTCCTGGTTAATACTGTTAATGAGTTTAGCACTGCCAAAATGTCAATAGTTTTTTATTTGGTCAGAAAGGGCCTAATTTACCTAGTTCAGCTGCCCTTGGTAATGTTCATGGAAATGTCAGAGCAGCAATCAGGGGAAACAAATGGCAATAAAGATGATTACTAGAAGGGTGACAGCGAAAACCCCACTGACAGACTGCTTTTATTTTTCTCTCACCACTGCAAGATTTCATTCAGAGATAAGGCAACAGAGTACACTGAGTTCAGCACCCAACATAACTGCATATTTTTTCTAAAGTATAATTACATTTCTGCAATTTTGAAACGGACATAATACAAGAAGCTTAACTGTAAACTTTCCCAAAGAAGGAAGAGAGAATAAGAAAATGTTTCAGGGAAAGAGGTGGGAAGAGCTGAACTGTTTAACATTACTTTCTTTCATTTACAACAGGGTGTAGGATGCTAAAGAAAAGGGTACCTACAGGAGGTAGATCTAGATCTAACTCTTTTACCACTTTTGGACTAGGAAAAATGTTTATGACTTATTCGAGACAAAGATTCCTTCTTTAGCATTTTCAACTTAACCTTTCTTAGGTGGTTAGGAATGTAATAGTTCTAAGTCAGTAATGAATAATACGGCTGTTCATCTTTAGGTCATCCACGCCAGGGTGTCCAAACATGGGCTATATTCACTAAAGCGTGCAACAGAATGTGGGGGAATGCCCATGTACCTGTGCTGACTTCGGTGGCTGGACTAAGCCTTTCACTGATAGAATTCCAAAGTTTACTGGGGCACACATCAAATTCATTCAAGTTTTTAGGAAAAAAGAGAACCATACAAAATAAAGAAAAATAAAGCACTCAGCCTAGTCCCCAAGGGCTAACGTCCTTTAGAATAAAAAACCTAGGTACCCAAGATAACAATGTGTCGTCCCCTTTGCACCCACTGCATTCCCTACCTAACTCCCTGTATCCCACACAATGGGACACAGAAATGCTTCATGTTTTCTGATGTGAGGCCCATTTAACTTTTTTAGCATACTAGATGAAGCAAAGAATAAGATAACTTTTCCACTTAGAAAGTTGAGAAACAAAAATTCCAATGCCAAATTCCATGTGACCTGAGCTATATCCCTAACTTCCATGCATGTTACCTTCCAGGTAATTCATAGATCCGTGCTTTTTAAATCAAAGGGCCCACACACTACCAACACTGGTGCTAAGAAAAGCCTTTGACAGAAAGATAACTGCTTCACTTTACCTCTTAAATTGCCCTGCAAAAAATATATATATATACAAACAAAAAGCTGACATAATTCAATCTCTCCTTGGGGAAATTTAACATTTTGCTAAGACAAGGATAAAAATATTTGCTTCATTTTTCTATCAATTTACCTAGATTAAGCATTTAACCACGCCATTGATTACAGCTGTATCACTCAAAATGGGACCCTTAGTGAGCAAGTATGTTCATGTTAAGACAATAGCAGGAAATATACTTATCTAAGAGGCCTTTGTTTACATTTCTAAGCACAGAATTGCAAGGATATAATGCAGCTGACTCAGCTGCCTGTGGATTCCTATGCGCTTAAGAAATGTCTTGCTTTTCCTTGACTCAGTTTCCCATCATTAACAATGGCACAGTCATCTCTTCTACCACCTACCTAGAACACTAGATTCACAAATGGTTGGGTAAGGATTAAGCATTGTGTACACAGTGAGGATCCCTTGGCTCAAGTCTGGAACCAGAAAACAGATGAAACCCATAGACAAGAGGCCTACTTATAATGAAGAAAAAGAAGAAGGTTCCTTATGATCAGTCATCCTTACTTTAGTAAAGAATTTCCTAGTGTGAAATTTCAAAGAAAACCTGATATCAAGATCTGAAATAAAGGGAGTAACCATCCAGGATTGCCAGGACTAGCATAGTTTTTGCACTGAAATTCCTGGGCAAACAGAAATAGTTGGTGCTATGGTTTGAATGTGTTCCCCACATTGGGAATGTGTCCTGGGGAAAACTTAATCCCCAGCACAATAGTGTTAAGAGGTGGAAAGTTTTAAGAGGTAATTAGGCCATAAGGGCTCTGCCCTTACAAATGGATTAATGACATTTATCAGGGGAGTAGGTTCCTCAGAAAAGGATGAGTCTGTCCCCCATTCCCCTCTTGCCATGTGATGCTGTCCATGATGTTATGAAGCAGCAAGAAGGCCCCTGACAGATGACAGTCCCTCAATCTTGAACATCTCAACTTCTACAACAATGAGCCAAATAAATTCCTATTAATAAATTACTCAGTCTGTGGCATTCTGCTCTAGGAGCACAAAATGAACTGAGACAGTTGACCATCCTTAACAGAGACTCAAACAAGTAAGAATATTTGCATAATCAAAGATAACTGATTAACTTAAATATAGTTACTTTAAACTCAATTCTCTGCATTAAAAATTGGAGATTGTTTAGCTTTAGCTTGTTTATATATTATCTTTTTCTGGATTTTGCTTGCACCAAAAGGGAAATGGGTAAGGTTTAATTATCTGAGGTTTTGCCACTTACTGTGGGAGTCCAGGCAAGTTATTTAACTTCTCTGTCTCAAGTTCCTCATCATGTCAGGCACACAGGAAGCACTCAACTATGAGCCACAATTATTATCTCTAATATTGTAAGTCTAGTGGAATGGCCGTATTTGTTCTGCTGGTGATTTTCAAATACCACTCATCTGAATAAATACTATGAATTTTTTCTTTTAATCTCAGAGGAGCCTGCAAGTATAATCAGGTTGATAGGCTCTCCTTTAATTCTTCTCTCTTTCCCTGACAGATCTAAATAAAAAAATAAGCAATTTAATTTCCTTCTTCAATTTAAAATTGGGCTCTACTGTGCTCATTTTAGCATAACCAAGTGATAGAAAATTCTTTTAATGATAAAATATCATTATTTCTTTCTCAGTAATTTCTAATTATCAGGATACACTTGTCCATGTTAGGATATGTTTCCGCTTCCAACAGCTAACCTAGAAACAGGAATAAGCTCATCAGAATTCTAGCAACACCAGTAACAAAACATAATTAGGTTCTTGGAATTTATGAGCCCATTCTTTCAACAAAATACAGTAATTATTCTTTTAAAAATGAATATGATAATGCTTGGATTGCAAGGAAACGAATTATGGGACATTACTCTGCTATCGTATCTGGCAAGGTTCCCTTTACTTTGCTGTCCTTCAGTCATTTAAATTTTCAATGGCAAGCAAATATAACCACTGATTATCACGTGGGTAGGCAGCACAGAATCACAAAAACGTAATAATGTTGACTAAATAGCTGCTGTTTCTTGGGGCTGCCAGCAACCAGAGATTGTAGAAATGGGACAAGAAAGAGTTTAAAGAAGTTACTGTTACTTATTACTATTTCACTATTGTGAAAACATTAATGAACTAAGGAGAGAGAACTATTAGTTCAATAATACTAGAAAGAAAAATAAAAGAATATCTTAATCTGTATTTATCAGAACAGTACTGAGGGGCTGAAGGTGACAATGAACAAACTTTTGGAATAGAAAGACAAAAGCAAAGTTTCCTCCAAAGCAGAAAATTCATTCATTACCAGTTACAGAAGGAATGCCATGAGTATGTGTCCTTTCCCTTTTCTAACAAAATATTCTAAAGGGGGTCAGAGGTTTCCCACTTGCTCAGGGTTTTCTAAGAACTGCCCCCAGGGAATGTACTGTGGATCAGCAATGAGATCTTAGGAAAGTTGATATAAAGCTGGAAATCAGGGATTGTATACTTCATTCTGAGTTATGCCTACAACATTGCAGGGTCTTTCTCACTTGGGTCTTTGACTTTTTTGGTATTGGGTTAAGTATGACACAGAAATCTAATAGGACATAAAGTAGCAGACACTCCCAGCCACTGAACATACATACAAACTTGTAGGGGAAGCAAAACATGAGAAACAGGATCAGGCCACATTTTAAAGAATTTAGATGTGTGTGTGTAGAGACTAAATGCAATACAACTGTTAGGAAAGAGGGGTTAAAGTAGGTATGGGGTGGTGCCAAGGAGAATCAGCTGTACTAAATAAGGGTATTTTCCTGATTAATTGTATTAAGCAAATGAATGCAATTAACACTAGGCAAATGGTCACAATAATAAAGATCAGGAATCTTCTCATCCATATTAGACGGGATGAGAAAAAAAAAACAGTGAGCAATATCAAGCCTGGATAGGTTAAAAAGCATTATGCTCTGTTCCTGTCTCCTTCCTTCATCTCCCAAGTCTGCCCACTATGTTACACCCCTAATTGCACTCCTAATTATGGGCTCCTCTCAGGATATTATGTGTATGACTGACATTCAGGGAAAGAGAGGGCTTCGCCTCTGCACAGAAAAACGCTGGCTTCTCCAGCACATACAAACAGGTAAACATTGTATACCCAACATGTGTATGAAGCAGGATAGGGGACCTCCAGAAGCTCATCAAGAGTGCCACACAGGGGATTTACTTCAGTCACGCCATCAGACAGTACCACTTCCTGTGATAGCTTCAATGCTTGTAACAATGTGTGGTAGCAATTACAGTGGAGCATAAATCAGATCTGGGTGTTAGAAACTTCTTGGTCCCTTCTTCTAAATGATGTGTTTTAGCAAACCAACTTCCCCCTAGGAAAGGGGGAAACCAATAGGGAAGCATTTGTACTAAGGTGAGATCATTTAATTTTGACTAAAGATACTTTTGTTTTGTTTTGTTTGAGATGGAGTTTTGTTCTTGTTGCCCAGGCTGGAGTGCAGAGGCACAATCTTGGCTCACTGCAACCACTGCCTCCCGGGTTCAAATGATTCTCCTGCCACAGCCTCCCGAGTAGCTGGGATTACAGGCGCATGCCACCACACCCGGCTAATTTTTGTATTTTTTAGTGGAGATGGGGTTTCACCATGTTGGCCAGGCTGGTCTTGAACTCCTGACCTTTAGTGGTCCGACCGCCTTAGTCTCCCAAAGTGCCAGGATTACAGGTGTGAGCCACCACCCCCATCCTAAAGATATTTTGAAGGTTAACAGAATTGAGGCCAGACTAGCATTTTGGAAGCTATTTCCCATCATTCAAAGGGACAAGTTTCTATTACAATCCTTTGGTGGGTCTAATACTGGGTGGGCTATGGAATCACTAAGTATAAATGTTTTCATCATCCAAGTTCCCACAATCAACTCTTTCTATTTTCATAAATACTCATTTCTGAATGAATGTTATACCTTATGCTTGAGAAAATGTTTGCACTGAATGACATTTCTGGCTAGGAAGCCAGGCTCTGACACCTCCTGCACCATGCCTAGATTCCCAGCTTGGCTTTCAGCATGCCAGTGAAGTGGGGGCAGAGAAAAACAAGGCCAGCTTGCAAATGCTTCACTCACACAGCTTGTGGCCTTCCCTTTACTTCCTGAAAGCCACAAAAACCTAAGACCATCCTAGCAACCAAAGCCTCCAGCCAGTCCATCGCGCGGGTGGGCCACTGGATTAATGAGCTCCTTAAAGGAAAAAACAAAAACACCCTGAAGCTACAAGCAGCCCCTCCTCCATTGTGCTACAAAAATAGTAACTCTGACTCTAAGAGCTAAATTGATTATATGACACAGTTTGCCAAACCAGTAGGTAAAATGTTGCTCTAGATTAGCATTTTGGTCAGATACAGTTTAAACAAAAATTAAACTTTTAACAGTACACTTGTAGTTAGCAACACAGTTCAATTTAGGAACTTCTCAGTAATAATTTTGTCATTATTTATAGGAAGTCACCATTAAAATACAGAAACACTAGCAATGCGTAATTGTAGCAATTTTGGGCCAGAAAATAAAATTCAGCTACCTCTGTGATTAAAAAGGACTCCACTAGGCCCCAGGGATTAAGCTTCCTACATTAGATTGGTTCACAGACTTTGCAAAACAGATTAATACTAGGCTCATGCAGAGACAGGTATAGCCCGCCCTCCATTTCCATGGATTCTACCAACCATAGATCAAAAATTTCAGGAAAAATAAGAATACAAATAAAGAAACAAGACAGTATAACAACTATTTACATAGCATTCACACTGTATTAGCTATTATAAGTAACTAGAGATGATTTAAAGTATACAGGAGGATGCGCATAGCTTATATGCAAATACTACACCCTTTTATATATATAAAGGACTTTAACATCTACAGATTTTGGTGTAGCGGGAGGTCCTGGAACCAATTCCCCTTGAACACCAAGGGAGGCTGTATATGTAAAAGAGTCATAGGTTATTAAATGTTCAAGTGAAATTCCCTTTTTACAAAACATTCTAAAATTGATTTCACTTGTTTTGTTTTTTTTTTTTTTTTTTTAAGCAGGCCAACCCCAACTCCCATCCCATACCCATGGATGGGCTGTCAAAGGCCACAGGTGGCAAGAATCTCAAGGCCACAGTGGCCACATTGATTCTGGCCCCAAAGGGTAACCAGTGTGGGAACAGCACAGCAGCCCATGCTGGCTCCCCAAGCTGCTGCCTTCCTCCTTGCCCCACACGCCTCCCCTGACTCCCTCCAGACACCCTGGCAGCACTCCTTCACCATTGTAAAGGCATTCTTAAATAAGCAACAGGCTGGAGACTGAGTACGCAGGCCTGGGTAGAACAACAGATGGTCCTAATTTATTATAGCTATGTGTTTGGTTTTTTTAAACTGAACTTTATAGTCTTTGGATTATTTTACAAAGACCACCCTGGGGCATCAAGGTACCCTTGTTTTTTCTTCTTTAACGTCAGACACCAATTCTGCACAATACACTGCTCAGTTTCTTCATTTACACTATTTTCCCTCTCTCCTCCCCCACTTTCCTTCCTTTGATCTGCCCTAAAGATATTAGAAAACACAAAGTTATGTAGGTGTGCTTATAACGAACACAGATTGAAAACCTACATACTTACTCAGTCGTTAACTGTATATTATGATATATAAGATGGACTATCAGAGTTATTAAAAATCAAGTTGTTTGTTTTTTGAGACAGGGTCTGGCTCTGTTGCCCAGGCTGGAGTACAGTGGTACAATCTCGGCTCACTGGGGCCTCGACTTTCCAGGCTCAAGTGATCCTCCCACTTCAGCTTCCCGAGTGGCTGGGCCTATGTGTACTCGTCACCACACCCAACTAATTTTTCTTCTTATTTTTTTTTTTTTTTTGTAGAGATGGTCTCACGGTGTTACCGAGGCTGGTCTACACTCCTAGGCTCAAGTGATTCCCCCCACCTCAGGCTTCCAAATTGCTGGAATTACAGGTGTGAGCCATTGCACCTGGCCAAAAGGAATCAAGTTTTTAAAAAGAAGCTATATCAAGGAAAACTTGAAAAAAATGCAGAATATGATTCTTTAAAACTCAAGTATGATCCCTTTAAAGAAATCTTTATAACTAAAGACATACCGGCCAGGCATGGTGGCTCACACCTGTAATCCCAGCACTTTGGGAGGCCTAGGCAGGCAGATCACCTGAGGTCAGGAGTTCAAGACCAGCCTGGCCAACATGGTGAAACCCCATCTCTACTAAAAAAAAACAAAAAACAAAAACACAAACAAAAAAAAAACAGCCAGACATCATGGCGGGCACCTGTAATCCCAGCTACTCGGGAGGCTGAGGCAGCAGAATCGCTTGAACCCAGGAGGCAGAGGTTGCAGTGAGCCGAGATTGTGCCACTGCACTCCAGCCTGGGTGACAGAGTGAGACTCCATCTCAAAAAAAAAAAAAAATTACCAAAATGTTACCTGATAGTAAAATACAAAATTTTTTGTTTACTCATTTATTTCCCAAGTTTTGTATGAATATGCACTATTTTTATGATCATGCCTGCATACTCCTTACTCTTTATCCTGCCCTTTCTGTAAGGAGTCCAAGGTGGAAATGCTCATGTGATGTGAACTAATTAAATTTTTCTTAAAAACAATTTTAAAAACCATGACTTAAAAAGCACGGTCTGCTTTAGTTATAATGGCAGATTCTGAACTATACACACATGTATTATATATACATAAAATGCTAGAAGACAGACTATGGTCCTTTCATCTGCATTTGAGTACAAACAGTACCAAATGGTTACTTCATACCACTCTTTATTTATGTGGTATATGCGATATTGGCATCTACTGTGGAGAGACTGGAATAAACTATATGTCTACATCACCCATCAGCCATCTGCATTGTGAGTGAACAGCCATGAAGACCAAAGATGCCCAAATCCTGACCTGTCTCTGAGCCTTATTATCCAACAGTCTACTGCACATTTCCACTTAGATGACCAGCAGGCATCTCAAACTCAGAATGCCCAAATCTAGACTCATCATTCCTCACGAACTGGATTTTACTAGGAGATCTCCAGTCTCACCTATCAGCAGAATCCCCTCAGAAACCTGGGTATTATTCCCAATGCCTGTCCTTCCCTGCAACCTACCAAGCCATCTTCCAGCTCCAACAGCCATGACAACATGGTCTGAGAAAGGAGTAGCATTATGCAAACAGCAGGGACTTCAGGAATCAAACCCTAATTGAAACCTGGCCCTGCCATCTACCAGACCTGTGACCTTGGACAAGATCCTTAACCTGTCTGAGCTTCTATTCTCTCACATCAAATGCCCCTAAAGACAGGATCTGTCTCATGGGACCATGGCATACTTTAAATGAAGGCCATTCACTAGAAAGTGAATGCTGAGGGTCAGGCACTATTAGGCACTATGCAGGTACTAGGGTCAATGGTGAATAACAGCCATTGTGGTACGAAATACCAAGTCCTCAGGCCTTTACAGTGTATTAACTGCTACAATGCGAACTACCCAATGCAACGGGGAACACAGGAGAGGAGATGGAACCTAGACCGGGGGTGGCAACATCAGAAACAGTTTTCCAAGGTAACTAACATTTAAACTAAGTCCTATATGATGAGCAGGAGGTAGACAAGCAAAGTTTAAGGATGTGGATAGTATACCAGTGGAGGAATAGCAAATGTGAAGTTGTGAAGTCCAGAGACAACCAGGCACCTTGAAGGTGCTGAAATCAGCGGTGTTGGCTGGAGGATAGAATGTGAGCGACGTGGCTGGAGATATAGGTGGAGTGATCAACAGGGTATATGGGGCTGGGTACCTCGAAATGAAGGGTTTCTAGGCAGGGAAATGACCAAACAAATGCTTTCAAAGTGCTTAGCACAGCTGAATGCTCTTCTTGAAACCTTTAATAACTGCCTTCATTCTCACCACCATATAGTCTGGTTTATGCTGTCCAGAAATTTACAAATCAAGTGTCTCTTTTTGCAAGCTGGCCTTTTCCAAATATTAACATGTTAGAGTATTTTTAAAAAGCAATTTTAAAATTTTTCTATGTCGTTGGTATATTAAAGGCAAGAATATAAAGGGAAAAGCCCATGAGTCTTTAGCTGGGGTTTTTGATAGTCAGATGTGCAATGAAAAGGTTAACTTCTTTTCTGAGTCATAAACCTCAGAACTCTCCACACAACTGATCTCAGTAACTTCCCAATTCCAATTGCTGTGTTAAGTAGCACTTATAAGACACTACATCAGCCTCATCATTTCACGACATGGTGTGCTCCAGTTTCCCACCCAACCCACATAAGCACCAATGTTCAATGCTCAGAGTCACCCGAAGCATTGCAGGCTGATTGCTTTGATGAAAACTTAATTCTACCACTGAGGAATATTACAGTGTCGTATTGTGAATGAAATTCACCCAGTAACCCAGACCTCATTGGAATACCTTATTAACTCTATATAGTAATCTATGAACACTGACATTAAAAAAAAATTAGTAAAATGAATTTAAAACTCTTTCATTTCTACTGGATTAAGAATCATTCACCCCAGAAAAGCAATTAACATATTTGTCTCTTGCAAATGAATATCGGAGCTTAACTGCATGGACTTCGTATCTTTGTAAGAAAGGATGTCTTTTTGCATGTAGAACACAATTATAGATAAAATTATCCCCCAAGCCCCATCTTCTAATACTATTCATTTTTAATTTGGAAAGAAACCTTGATAAGTCCAGATGCATTACGTTACCATTCTCACAAGCTCTTACGAATTTTTAGAATAATCAGAGTATCAATGGACAATATACATTTAACAATACTAATTTGTAACAGGATGCTTTGAATATCAGAATTATTACTGTGCATCACTAAACAGTTTTGTTGTATTAAAGGCAATATGTTTTAAAAAGTATAGATGTAGCTTTTGAAATGCATAAAGGGAATACTTGCAAAATGAAATTGAAGTAATTCTGTACCATACTGCTTCACTAGAAGTATTTCAACAAAATAATATGGTATTGCCATTCTTCACATTTATCATTTCTTAACACAATCTGCAACAATTCCAGCTCCTGGAGCTACTCCCATCATCCCAGGACTACAACTTGCTTCCATTCGGCCTCCACACTGATCTCTTCTCTTCCTGAGAGAGGACACCCAGAGCCAAGTTCAGATACTCTCATGTAATCTGGCTGGAAACAAAGCTCTCCAACCCCAGTTGTACTGGGTGGGCCCCTGGGGCTCAGTGTTTGCCTTCAGAAGTAGATAGAGGCGAGCTGTAGCCCAGATCCTTTTTCATGGAAAGGGAACCTGGGGGTGGTGGGTTCCAGGGGCTCACACCGCTGGTTGATATAAAAGTAGTTGCCCTATGTGTAACTTTTCTATCTATCTCCTAGTATTATTTTACTTATTTTCATTATTCTTTATTATCATGTATTCTGTCAAGCACACTGCAACAATGTAGGGTATGTTCTGATACGAAAGCATTTCTCCAGCCACCAGCCACTCTCACCAGCAAAGGTGCTGAGACAGAGACATAGGTGAACACACTGTATTATAGAATTCTAAGTCGTAAGTCAGAGGGGTGAGGAGTGTTGCCAGACTTCATGGGGTACTTGGCACTCACCAGGAGTTGAGAAAGGCCTTCCAGAGAAGGTGACATGTTGAGTCTAGAAGATGAGTTGGTGTCACCAGATGGAGAAACGTCATCACAGGAAGAAGGGGCAGTATGAGCTTTGTTTTGAGAGGGCAGGAGGGAGGAGGAGGAAGAATACTGACTACAAGAAGATTTTGTATTGCACAAGACCTGTGATTCTCCTTTTACCTGTTGGATATTCAGACCAACCTAGGTTGGAGGCAACAGCTTAGAGGTGGCAGTCAAAGCCATGGGAATGGAAACCACCACCATAAGAGAGTCCATGGAGATGACCCAGCCATGGAAGTCCAAGGGGTCCAAAGCTCCACAACCAAGTGGGAGGTGGAAGAGCCTAGGGCTTAGGTTTAGGGCTTCTTCAGTTCCCTTCCCATTGCCCTCATGGTATATGCTGGTCAGCAAATGACCAAACTGCTTAACAACTTCAAAACACTGGCAGGAATATTCTACCACTTCCTCCTTTTGACCATTAGCCAAAACCTCAATAAAGTATCAGAGGCTTTAAAAAACTTCTTGCAAATAAAAAAGGTAGCTATAAATGAAACACGTGGCCTTCGTTGCTATGGGGGATATTCCAAATCCTCTCAAACCTCCAGCCATCATTGCTGCTTCAAAGCAATGCTCTCACCAGTGCTTCTGTAACCTTCTTCCAGTTAACCAATTGCAACTCGTACAGTAATTCACAAAGTGTGCATCACTGATAAAACTTCTACAGTAATTCACAAAGTGTGCATCACTGATAAAATCTTTACAGTAATTCACAAAGTGTGCATCACTGATAAAACCTTATCTCCAGGAAAGAATGGTCATGCACCACATGAACACGGTCTGTTTCTCTGCAGTGCATCCTTATTCTGGACACAGGCAGTGACCACAATGCCACCTCTCTCCCATGACCTCAATCATGATGGTCATCCAAAGGTTACTGGGCACAAGAGGGATTGAAAACAATAAACCTGGGACAAAATTAGGGCAAAAGTCATAAAAATTTAAAAGGAATTAGTATTGCCACTTGTTAGCTTATTAACATTCTGGCTCTGTGAATCCAGAAAAGAAAATACCCAGTATTCTGACTTGACACTATTTGGATAAACATTTTCCCAGGCAATGAGCTTTTGGCATTAAGGTAGAGAAAGAAAAAAACAACAGCAGGCAGTGAGACTCTCAGCATTCCTGCATATTGTTTTCATGACATATTGGTCTACACTTAAGAACTTCTCTTAAATTATTTGAGTGCTCACAAATATAGCTACTAATGCTTCTAAGGCACTTCTACTCTACTTGGCATCTTCAGCAAGTAGGCCCTATAGTAGCAAAATATAATAATAATATAGCAGCAAGAACTGGCAATTACTATGTATTTACTAGGCACTGTGATAATCACTATATGGGTTATGTCACTGGCCTTCACAACATTTATCTAGGGAAAATACTTTTATTATCACTACTTTATAACAGGGAATGTGCAGCCCAGAAAAGCAACCTTCCCCGCATCACCTAGCTAGGAAGTGGCAGGGCTATGATTTCAGAGTCTATAACTTTAGAAAAAAAATAGTTTTACAGACAAAGAAACTGAAGTGACTTGACCCAGTGAAGTTAGCAGAGAAGGTGCCAAAAAACAGAGGCCTTTCCTAGTCATTCAACTTAGTATCCTGACCCCAATATGTCATCACTGCTAGCTGGGGATGTTTTAATGCCAAATAAAGAAGACGCTCCATCTTTGACACTCAGGGAATTAAAGGGTTTGAAGGCAGCTTTATCAGCATCAGACACTTTCTTCAGCAGTAATTACATGTGTGTCCAGACAGCATTTTCATAAGCAGTTCAGATGCCCAAAATGAGAAACAGTTTTGGAAGTCGCTCTGTCAATCCTACCAAAAGGCATACTGACTTCTGCTCCCTGCTTCCATCAGATTATGCCAAAAGAGAGACAGAGACAGAGAGAGGATACCAAATTTGATTTTAAATCTACCTATTCTAAGCTGGAAATAAAAACTCTTCCTGTCCTGGAGTCCAATGCACTCATTTTTCCCTCTCCTCAATCTTAACACCCTGTTAATAATCAGCCCAGGCCCAACAGCCTCTGAACCACTACATTTCCTACAGTAGTCCCATATGGCGCTTACTCTTATTCAAATACTTCATCAAAAGTGCTCCCAATCAAGCATGAAAATAAATTAGATTTTGGTTTAATCACGATTAGAGTCACATCACCAAGAAATAAAGTAACAGAGTTACCTAATCTAACAGACCAGCCTGTGACTTCCTGGCTGCTTTCCACAAGCCCCTCTTGCTAAAGCCCTCTCCTAAAACTCCTCTTTGAAGACTGTGAAATCACATGTTGGTGGAAAACTGTTACTCTTCAAATGTCACAGACATAATTCTTAACTCTGTGCCTGCCTGACATTGCTAGTCAGGCCACAAGTAGAGTTGCTGGGTGTCGGCCTGTGAAAAGTAGCCCGGCCCGACAAAGCATCAGAATGCTTCTTATTCTTGGGCACTCTGGAGGAGCCTTCCTGGGCTTGGGCAGAGCCCATTTATTTTCTGTGGAGAGGCTATTCACTCTTGGGCTGTATTTTATACTCACTTTCACTCCTACTGGAAATACCAAGGCGTGAGTACTGTGCAAAGCCCCAATATGGAGAAAATAAAAAATGGACAAAGGAGAAGAGGACTAAGGGATTGATAATCCAGAATATGCAAAGAAACTCTGTAACTCAACATCAACAAAAGCCAAACCAGATTTAAAAATAGGTTAAGGACTTGAACAGATATTTTTCCAAAGAAAATGTATAAATGGCCAATAAACACGTGAAGAGATGCTCAACATCACTAACCATTAGGGAAATGCAAATCAAACCCACAATGAGATACCACTTCACAGCCATTAGGATAGCTACAATCAAAAATATAAAAATTTTTAAAAAGAAACGGAAAAGAACAAGTGTTATCAAGGATGCTGAGAAATTTTAAAGAAAGGAGAGGCTTGACCAATCACTCCCTGTCAACATACAGCAGCTAGCAAACCAGCCAAAGAGTAAGCTCATCTCATTATTCCCCCCGCAAAAAGAAAGGCGTATTGTCCCTGCTAGGCTCCAACAATCTTTGTCAATAAAAGCCTGTTGAGAGCAATTACAACACACCCTAAAACCACAGTTAAAGCTAAAAATAAATTCTTATTACTAATTACAGTTGATCATTGAACAACACTGGTTTGAACTGCTAATGTTTGATCCACTTACATGTGTAAACTTAGCTTCTGCCACCTGGGACAGCAAAACCAAACCTCCCTCTTCCTCCTCCTCAGCCTACTCTACATGAAGACGATGAAGATGAAGACCTTTATGATGATCCACTGCATGAATAATCAATATATTTTCTCTTCCTTATGATTTTCTTAATAACATTTTCTTTCCTCCAGCTTACTTTCGGACTATGGTATATAATACATGTATCATATAAAATGTGTTAATTGACTTATGTTATCAGTAAGTCTTCTGGTCAACAGTAGGCTATCAGCAATTATGTTTTTGAGGAGTCTAAAGTTATGCACAGCCTGGGTGACTGGCAAAATCCCATCTCTACAGAAAATACAAAAAGTAGCCGGATGTCTTGGCATGTGCCTCTAGTCCCAGCTACTTGGGAGGCTGAGGTGGGACGATCACTTGAGCCCAGTGGGTAGAGGCTGCAGACTGCATTACTGTACTCCAGCCTGCAAAATGGAATTCTACTGCAGGGGTGGCAGGTTGGTGTTTCTATGCCAGCATGGTTTAAGGGTCAACTGTATTTTGATAGTGTGATCTGTAATAATGTTGTATCTAGATATGATTTACTGAAGAATTAAACTTTCTCCTTTTAAAATAATTACAGAATATTCCAAAACACATACCTTAATGTAAATATCCTGTAATATAGAAATAGAGGAAGTTGAGGCAGAAGAGAAAAAAATATCCCTGGGAATTAGAAAAATAAAATCTCAGTACTACATTTCCCCTTTTGCCACTAGCAAGCCTTCTTCAGGCCTCAGTTTCTTTATCAGTCATGCAAATGGTTAGGACAAGATATCGCTTAAGTCAAATATATGCTTAATAGCACCACCCAATAGAAGCACTTCCTTTGTCTGATTCCATGTTTGCCAGGCAATTTTCTGGTCATAATCTGACTGCCAAGTAGTTTTTCAATAGGAAATAAGTGTCAGCATTCCAGTCTCCTTGCAGTTATATTTGTTATAAATCAATAAATTGATATTAAAGTTCATAAAAATAAAGTCTGATTCTAAATAGTTGAAGGAAATGGGTCCATGTGACAGTGGAAGGCAGTTTTCAATTTTTCTAATTCAAAACCCACCTATATTATACAACATCAGCATCCATCAATACTGAACCATCAATCAAGGGAAAGCAATTTTCAAATCATTCTTGGCCAGTGTCCATGCCACTCATTTTTTTAAACCATTCCTTTTTAGGGGAAAATGAATTCACATACACTGAAGATGTCAAAAAAATAATTACAGTGTATTTTTATGGTACATAATAATTACTTTTGACTACAGAAAATGATACAGTTTGAAAGTTTGGGAATATACACAGGCTTCAAAGGCGGGAAGCCAAAGGAGAGGCATCTGACGATGGATCACTCTGCCCTCTTCTGAAAATACCTTCTTTAACTGGCTTTCAGAACACAACTTTCCAGGCCTTTTCTTTGCTAATTCCTCCTCTTCCCTACATCTCCCCCTGCCTACCCCGCCCCCCACCCCCACAAAATATGAAAAGAATAAGAAAGTAAAACAAATTCAGGCCTGCGTTGGAAACTCTCCAGGGAGATCCAGATACTCTTCCAGGGCTTATGAAGCCCTAGGTGATCTGGCCAGAACTGTTTTCTTGGACCTCATCTCCTTCCACTCTCCCCCTGCTCACTCTGCTCCCAGTCATTGCTGCCTTGCCACTCCTGAAGCATAGCAAGAGTGCCCTGGGCTCTGCACCTTGGCCCTCACTCTTCCTTTCTGCCTGAAATGATTGTCCCCCATCTTCACATGACTGTGTCCCTCATTTCACAGACTCCCACAGTGAAGTCTTCCCTGATCACTCAAACAGCATCCCTCCCCATTTCATTCCCTGAGAGTTTTTCCTTTACAGCACATATCACCACTGAACATTTGTGTACTGTCTATGTATCTGTGTAGGATGCATAGAACAGGGACTACATCAGTTTTGTTTGTTGCTGTATCCCCAGTCTTACAATAGCATCTGACATGTAGAAGGCACACAATATTTGTTGACTGAATATGTGAACGGTTACAAGATAATAAATTACAGTCAAAATGACCAAACTAAATTCCATCGAATGGGTACTTTCACCAAAATAGAAAAGGAGTTAATCCAACACATCTGTCACAGTAAAATGGCAACTGGGATTTGGTCCAAACAACAACTTCAAAGACTGTTGATATCCTATCTACCACATATTGACTAGGTGCTGGCAATATAGTGATCAACTTTACTCTGTCTCTGCCTTCAAAGACCTCATGGTCTCCCCAAGGAGGCCAACTTGTAAGTATTCTGAACACAGATAAGGGAAGGAACAACTAACCTGGAGACACCGGGGGCCGCTGGGAGAAGAGCAAGAAGACTCTAAGAGTGCTGTGTGTTCTATGGACAAGTTCACACAACCCACAGGAAAACAGGAACAAGGAATTACTCCCACTCTCACCACATAACCAGTCAGAGGCCTCCATTCCTTTTCTAACTGCAAGGCCATCTTTTCCCTAGTTGGCATTCTTCCTTTGACAACTGCTTCAGTATTTCTCACAACCCCAGCTGAAGTTAACTGACATGCGCACACACATTGAGGTTTCATGAAACTTTCTGTTCTCAAATAATCACACACCATAGATTTTGGTTTAAGATGCATTTCCACCTCTGGCCCCATAAGTCCTATGCGCGTTCCAGGCACTGATCAAATCTCATGACAAGGGATCTGCTCAAAATATTCCACCAACCAAAACATCAGGCAGCCTTCACCACACAAATTTCCCAGTTCAATGGGCTTTTTTATTGCTTATTTACAAAGTTAACAAACTCAACATATGGTTTTTGGTATGGCAATTGGAATTAATAGCTGCTAACTACAGAATTTTTTTCCCTAAAAGACTTTCTCAAGGTTTAAGGTCTTTGCTGAATTTAAGAAATATCTTGAAAGATTCATACATGCAAAGTGCTTTACAACCTTATTCACTCCTGTGGCAATGAAAACCCTTGAAAAGGTTTCCTCTTTCCTCTCTGTACCAATTTTGGCTGTTTCTAGTCAACAAGAGAAAAAGGACATTGGCTAGAAAGACAGGGTATCTCTGTAGTTCCAGTAAATATTTACTCTATAAATTGAACTTCTGTTTATCTGTGTAATCCACATTACTTGCTTTTTTCTTTTTTTCACCCCCAAGAGTGAAAGATATCACTGTTGGGAATCCGGGCAGATATATGGGGGAGGAAAGAGGGTTCAAAAAAATAATTACATACAATTTATCTCTGCTATGACATCCTCTCACCAATGTAAATAATCCAAGTCCTAACTAATATCTATCAATTCTTGTTGTCTTCTTTGGCTTGTCTGATTTTATAACCTTGCCAACACAAACCCCTCCTCTCAGAATCTAGAGATGGCTTAAAATATAATTTTCATTTTCTGTAATTTGATTCCCTGGATCAAAAACTAACTTTGAAATCTTCATCAACAACTTCTTTTTTTTGAGACAGAGTCTCGCTCTGTCGCCCAGGCTGGAGTGCTGTGGTGCGATCTTGGCTCACTGCAACCTCCACCTCCTGGGTTCAAGCGATTCTCTGCTCAGCCTCCCGAGTAGCTGGGATTACAAGTGCCCGCCACCATGCCCGGCTAACTTTTGTATTTTTAGTAGAGACAGAGTTTCACCATCTTGGCCAGGCTGGTCTTGAACTCTCGACCTCATGATCCACCTGTCTCAGCCTCCCAAAGTGCTGGGATTACAGGCATGAGCCACCACGCCCAGCCCATCAACAGCTTCTTAATTTTGCTATAAATGCAGGTTTGATCTTCCAATTGCAGCCCCACCTGGGAGAAAGCCTTCCTCATGACTTGCATTGGGTAAATCAGCTAGGCAGCTATTACAACTGCACACTTGACTTTATTTCCTGAGTATCACCATGACATTCCCTACTCTAGATAAGTGTGCCCACTCACACTCAGGGTTCTGGCATCTCCAATTGGTAGCAACTACCTCTAAGGTGCTTCCTTAAGATAAGAAGTCTTGGGACTTAAAAGCTTCCCAATTGGTCAAAGCACTTCCTCAGAATCAAGCTTCTCTCCCTGCTTCCAGGTCTGTGGCCATCCCAGTTCTGATCACCTACCTGGTCTTTGAGTAACTTCTCTGTTCATATCACATGTTCTCCTTTTTCTTGTCTTCCACCTGGTTCCAGCCAAACGAACCATCTCTGTGGCTTGATCTACTGCACCTGATCCACTGCATTTGACTCAGGACCTCAATGTCATGTTCAGCATGTGCTTCTGCAAGACCTGGCTGTCAGCCGCTGCCTTGCCATGCAGCCGTGGCCACTAACTTCACTGGGCCCCTTTGGCTTTCTCCCCAAGCCTCGGCACTCTGCAGCCCCACAGTGATTTGGCCAACTGTAGAAGGAACTTAAAGCCCTGCCTGCAGGGCTGGGAAAGCCCTAATTCTTAAGATATTTAAAGCTTTATTCTTCTCTTTCTGGCACCTCAAGTATTGTAACATCAATCTCTGAGATGTCTCTGAATACACAGGTAGTGGGTCACAGGTTGTAATATTCCACCTTCCTTGCAGTGAAAAAAAATAGAAGTCTCTCTCCCAACCCCCACTGAATGAGGATCACAACTATTCCTTATCGACGAATCTGCTTTTAGGGCTCTGGAAAGTCAATGCTTTGAATTCCTCCACCACTTGGAGGCTATGGCAGTGACTATATCCCTTTACTCTAATCATATCATTTCATTTTTATCAAAATATCTGGGTATTGCATAGGGATTACAATACAAATCAAGTTAAACAGGCTTATTAAAATAGAATACTCCCTCCTTGGAACATGTGATCAAAAGCTGAGGGCAGTAACAGAAGCTAATGAAAGGAATTAATGTACACATGGATTCCTCTGAGTGTGCTCTGGAGAAAGGCTACCTGGGCACAAATCTTGACTCCACCTTTTACAGTCTGTGTAGTTTCGATATGCTTTTCCCCCTTCTTATGCCATAATTTCTAAACCTGTAACATGGGAATAACAGAAGGCACCTCAGAGTTTTAGACAAGCATGTCAATATCTGGGAAGTGCTTAGAAAATGTGATTCAGAGTTATTACAAACCACAAAATGAACAGCTATAAAGCAAAACAAAACAAAAAACTAAAAACCATTGCCAGGCATTGGGAATTAAGAAGTCAGGGTTTTAAGGTAGGTGCGGTGGTTCACGCCTACAATCCCAACACTTTGGGAGGCTGAGGTAGATGGATCACAAGGTCAGGAGCTCAAGACCAGCCTGACCAACACGGTGAAACTCTGTCTCTACTAAAAATACAAAAATTAGCCGGGAGTGGTGGCACGTGCCTGTAATCCCAGCTACTCAGGAGGCTGAGGCAGGAGAATTGCTTGATCCCGGGAGGCAGGTTGCAGTGAGCCGAGATTGCGCCACTGCACTCTAGCCTGGGTAACACAGAGAGGCTCCATCTCAAAAAAAAAAAAAAAAATGAAAAGAAAAAAGAAAGAAGTCAGAGTTTTGGACAAGGCTCTGTCATTTTGTGGCTTCTGGAGTGGGTTTAAATTGGTTGCAAATTCTTTGTGACACCCCTCTTGGAGAGGTGTTTTCTACTTACTTCTTTAACCTTAATCTAGGCTGGGAAAACAGCTGTTTTGACCAACAGAACACACAGAAATGATCCTGTGCCCGTTTCACTTCCATATTTTAAGAGAACAGGCACCTTTACCTCCTCTTTCTCGGAACCCAGCTGCCATGCTGAGAGGAAGCCCAAGCCACATAGGGATGCCCATGTTGAAGAGAATTGAGCTGATCTCCCAATTCACAGGCAACATTAGTTTGCCATTCATATGATTAAGCCATCTTGGAAGTAGATCCTCTTGCTCTAGTCACTGACACAAGTCTTCCCCCTGAACTCTGCCCAAACTGCAAATCCATGAGTAAATAAGATGGTTATTTTCAACCTCTAAATTTTGGAGCAGTTTGTTGGATTCTGCACCAGGTCTTGACCCTGCTCTTCTTACGCTTATGCTAATGCTATGGCTAAGACAGACATTCAACAGCTCATTACAATGAAGTGTGATTTTCTAAAGGCAGAGGACTATAAAGAGGCAAAAAAGGGTGTGTGAATACTAGGTGATCTTTCAGGCCCCTTCCAATGCTGATATTTTATAATTAATTTGATGATGAACAGCACAGCTGCGAGCTGGCCACTTGGAGATAGTCACACAAGATAATCTAGGTAGAGAACAACTTTCTTCTATACAATTCTCCTTCTTAATTAGAGCATCAACGAAGAGGTGGCATTTCAGGAGTTACTCAACACGCAAATGGTGAAAGCATGGAGAGTTGCCTCTATGGCCTAATTCAGAAGTGGAATGATCTGATACAAAATGATTTGAATGAAGATCTAAGAAGAAAGTAAGGGAAATATGATTTCCAGGGGCATCCAATGTTTCCAAGTAAATAGTGATGCAGAATTTTGTCTGTCCATTGTTTAAATAATGTTTAAAAGGCAAAGAGTTTAAGTTGATTGCTTTGTACAAATTCTTTGAGTAAGAATATTTTTTCATCTCCAGAGGTTATGATTGCCATGGGAGAAATTTTTTAAAAATAAATTTTTATTTTTGTACATAAATAGGCAACTGTCTACCAGACAACCAGATCAAGCAGACAACTACTCTGCAAGAATAAGTAAAGTCAAGTTTTACCCTAATATTGTTAAACCTTAAGATATCTTCCTTCCAGATACCTGGGATTATTTAACAAGATTAAACTACATACTGGCCCCACAAATTTAACCAAGACCAATAGAGCTAACTGCTGATCTAAAAGTCACGACCACGAAGAATATGCCAGAGCTGTCCCTTGGAAGATTTCGGGAGAATTTAATGCTGCTTAAAGTGTGGCCATTCGGCTTCTTGATCATGGGGGAGAGAGGTTGAATTCAAACATTTAGTTTTTGCAATGCTTTTGATTTGCCTGATGTTGAAGTCCTTCCTTAATCTCAATTTTAAAAAAAAATCCCTTCAAATCTTTATGACAGGAACAGCTATAGCCAAGAAAAAAGAACAAATCACTAGTTTATCCGTCTACATTTTCCTTTTGTATTTCTGTTGTTACTGCTATGAATTCCTTTGCTTTCAAAAAAGCGTTCAGACTTGACATAAGCCATTTATGGTCAATAAATACATAAAAATATGTTTGAATGTTCATAGAGGCAATTTTACTATCTGCTGTAATCAACTCAGGATCTTAAATGGCTATTGTTCAAACTAAAGATACAAAAGGAACACACTCATGAATTTCCTGTTTTCCATTTTGAAGTACACATGCAAAACACCTCATGCCCAACACCCATCCCTAGGTCTCCTAATTGTGTATCCCTCGCACACAAATCCCTCCTATCTCCCTAGTATCCAAGCATTCCTGGAGTACTAGGTGCAGAGGCCAACACCTCAGTGGTTGACCAAAGCTTGCTGCTGTCACTAACAGGATCAGCAGATGACAACCAGAAATTGATTAAACTCACTCTCTAGTTCAGGATGTTACAGAGTCAGTGTCAACATTACTGTCAAAGAGTCAATGACTTCTGTGGCTAGGGGACCCTTACAGAAGGAGTAAGCCCGCAAGTCAACACCAATGAGAGCCATTTTGTTTATGATACCCAGGATAATGGCAGGTATTTTCAGAGTTCTTCCTACCCCTGAAATGCCTACTAAACATCAGGCTGAAACTGACCCCACAGTGACCTCTAGACAGCATTGAGGCTCCTGGGCAATCAGAGAGATGGCACTAAAGGGGCCCTGAGGGGTTTTATTAGCTCTGCTTCCAGGTGAGGAGGAGGACTCAACCATCAAAAGTGAATGGCAACTTTGCCCTACAAGATATTAAGCGAAAACTAGTGTTTAAGAGAAAAATGACAGGGAATAGAAACACCAAAGATCTAATGTGAGGAATACAAACGAATTGTATTTGAATCTATGGATACTGCTCTGTGGATATTAGAAAAATGGTAAATACTAAAGTTATTGCCCATGTTAAATTGAACTGAGATTTAGGGTCCACAAGGTATGAACCACACACTCTCTTGCCTTACAAATTATCTTTACACATATTCTAATTTAAAATATGTACAAGCCGAGGCAGGCGGATCTCTTTAGGCCAGGAGTTTGAGACCAGCCTGGCCAACATAGCGAAACCTCTTCTCTACTAAAAATATAAAAAAATTAGCTGGGCGTAGTGGCACATGCCTGTAATTCCAGCTACTCGGGAGACTGAGGTAAGAGAATCGCTTGAACCCGGGAGGCAGAGGTTGCAGTGAGCCGAGATTGCACCACTGCACTCCAGCATGGGTGACAGAGTGAGACTCTGTCTCCAAAAAATAAATAAATAAAAATTTAAAAAATTAGTGCAGAAAGTAAAAATAACTACCATTCAACCTGCAGGATAACTAACATTGATTGGAAAGAGGTACAACTAAATCATGGTACCTAAAACTGGCTCGAAAGCAAGCAAAAAATGAATGAGCAGACACCGATGAGAAGAAAAGAACATCTGGTAAAGGATATAGCTGAGGAAGGAACTTATTTCCTTAGGAACAATATTATGTCATATACTGCTCAAATAGTTTTCCAGCCAATGCAGGGACTACAAAGCACTCTCAACTCTTTCATTTGCCTACAAGCTTTATAGGGATTACTTAGGGAGTGGATACAACTAGGCAAAAAAAATGGGTAATTTTATGTGGCACCTGAGTGTCACATTCTCTGCTCACCCAATGTGCTCAAGGACGTGCCAATAGGACTAAAGTCAATTCACATCTCTTCCTTCACTCAGGGTTCTAGCCCCCCCTTCTCCTAAGTCTGCGATTCATTTAAACAAAGGTTACTGGACAGCACTCTGCTGCATAGAAACATCGTGAAGGGCCTGGCAAAGAGTCTCTGCAAAAGAAATGCCTTCAGTTTTGGGGTTTTCAATGACCTTAGAAGATCACCAAAGGCTTCTCCTGAAACAGGGTTAGTGATGGAGCAGGGCCCTGGGTTCTAGTTCAGATTTGAGACCGTTAATTATAAAATTGGCAAAAGTCACTTAAATCCTCATGCCTCCTCCCTCACCTCCCATTTTTAAGTTCTCACTCTCAGCATTTCTTGAGTCTTCTACATCACAGGGGCAACAGCCGTTAAGGATTAGCAAATGCTCTACTTCATTCAGCCAGCACCTCAAAATGCTATTTCAAACCGGAGCAGGAACAGCACAGCAGCAGCATGACACTTAAGAGCACCAGGCAGGGCCCAATAGCATTCACCAGCCCGACGGCAGACCTCCTAGGTTTCCCCCAACCCCATTTAATCCCCCCTCTTTCCCATCACCAGGTGTTCCCTCACACACACACACCCCCGCAGGGGCTCCATCCCTGCATTTTTCCCTTCACCATTGGTAGTCTGACATCACCATTATCTGCCTTCCGGCTGCTTTTACACTGTTTTCCTTTTCTTCCTCTTTCCTCTCTTCAGCCATACTCAAGAAACACGGACTACTTATGCTACTTTTGCCCCCATAAATGGCTCAGTGATGGAACCAAGAGGGAAACCCACAGACACCAAGCCTCTAGCTGTAGACACTAAGCACACAGACTTCCTCTTCTTTTCAGCACCCAGTTCTACGGGCTTCTCATCACTTTTCAGGTATTCAAAGCTTTGAGGGATGTGCCCGAAGCATCCCTAAAATCATGAAAAAAGATGGCTTTGGGCATCTTACCGCTCACACATTTGCATAGTGTTTGATGTAGCTTTAATTTCAAAGCTGGTCTCAAACACTCAAGTGGATAGGTTACAGTGGGAGCCCAGGAATTGCAAATGCGCTTGCCTCAAAGACTCAGGAGTCCAGATCCGGGCAGGAAATAAAGTTCTAAAGCGGCTTTGAAGTGCTTTCTCCCCAGACCCCTCCCCAGCGCGGGTCATTCATCTCAGCCTAGGGAAGAGACCACCTTGCCTGAACGTAGCCAAACGCATCGCACGTGGGAGCCAAGTGGGAGATGAAATAATCCAATGCGTCCCCCTCACCACCACCACCCCCACCAAATTAGTTACCGTCGGCTTAAACTCATCGGGAATGTCCGTGTATTTTACCGATCAGGGAAATAAAAGGGTGTATATAAATTAGTGGAAGCGGGTGGGAAGGAACAAGGGATGCAGACTGTCGTGAGTAAAACGCCTCGCGGCTTGGTGAGAGGTTGTTTCTTTTTTAAGCCACTCATTTCAGACTGAAATATCAAGCCAGTTCAGGTCATTTCCTGAGTAGCACTACAAGTTAAAACAAGATCCAGAAAATCTACTAATCTTCAATTGCGCTGCCTCCAGACTGGGAGCACAGGGGGATAGGGTGTAGGGCTGTGGGGAGGTCGAGGGGAGGGGGATTTGTGGAAAAGCAAACGCCCGAGAAACCCTAGCTCCCGACCTCAGCTGTTTCTTACCTCACTCAGCTCGGCCGAGGAGTCGTTTCCATATTTCATGGCAACTCCGGAATTCATGATGCACTTTTCAGAGCTGGGCTCTCAGTCCCCCAGGTCTCGGAGCTTAAGAGTTGGACTTCACAGGCTCAATATCCACTGCTTGGTCCCTTCTGCCACATTTTAGTCTAGACAGCCATTTTCACCCAGGACAGTTGCGAAGCGCAAACGGAGGATGCAGGCACTCTTAAAAAGAGCAGCCGTGGCTCGCGTTTCACGGACGAGCCATTGCTGCAGGAGGCTCGGTGGCGCGGCGCGCTCGCAGCTGCGGCAGCGGCGGAGCCCGCGCGGGGACCCTCCCGCGCGCACCCAGCGCCCCGTTCCGGGGCAGTGCCACCCTGGGCGCCGCCTCGCCACTCCTACGGTGCCTCGCCGCCCCCCATTACCAGGATGGAGGGCACTTCCCAGCACGAGCCGACACCCTAGAGGGCACCGGCGAGCTCCCGAAAAAACTAGGGCGGTGGGGCGAGGAAGATCCGCGCCTCGGATTCCAGAGAAGGAAAGAAAGCTAGAGGGAGCCGGAGCGGAGCTGCACTTCACGCCGAAGTTTCCCCTTCGAATCGTCTGGAGTTGTAAGTGGTTTCTGATTGAACACAGCTGTCTAGCTGCTGGCCACGGGGTGCGCGGAGGAGGCGGGGCTAGAGGGAGAAAAGGGTGGGGGCGAGTAGCCTGGAGGCCGAGCAGAGGAGACCGTGCTGGGAGAGCAGAGCAGGCATCCTTCCAGTTCTCTGCAATAGTAATTAAGGACCCGAGTCCAGGAGGGGGAGTAGAAACAGGAAAAGCCACCTGAATAATCGTGCAGGAAATTAAAAAAAAAAAAAGAAAAGAAAAAGAAAAAAAACTTCCCTCATAGGAGCCGCTTTCCATGATTTAATAAGGTCAAGACAAACCTAAACACTGTACATCAGACAGCACGGTGCACTTCTCACGGAACATTAAGATTTTACAAGGGTGCAGGGCAGTCATTTTCCCTAATCAGTCTAAAGTCAACGCTACGGGTGTAAATTCAATGTCAAACTCCCTCTGTCTGTCACTGGGGCAGAGTACATTTTCTGCATGTCCATAATGAAGATAGAGGCCCCATCCCTTGAAAGATGTCGATAGGCTCCCCAACCCCCATCCCTTGAAAGATGTCAGATAGGCTCCTCAACCCCCATCCCTTGAAAGATGTCAGATAGGCTCCCCAACCCCCAGACCTTCCTTAATTGAGCGGAGGTAGAGTTGTATTTATGGAGTGTGGAGTATGATTCAGAAAAGATTCAAGGGGCTGTTATACCCAGTACACCCCTGGGATCTGAGCTCCCCTTCAACTTTGAGTTCCCGAGGTAAAACATCCTGTGTCTATTGGGAGAGAGATGAGATGGGGGAAGAGGGGAACTAGGATTTTTCTCTCCACAAACTTAAAGTTCCAATGAATTTGAGATGCACAGAAAAATGTTCTGATGCTTCAAAACAGTAGGTCTGCGAGATTGCTTAAGAGACCTCATCAGTCTCTTTCTACACAATGGGGACAAAATGTCTCCATCCCCAATAACAGAACTTGGCATATCCTGAAGCCTTCTGTGAAAAAGCCATTGTATTGTCAACTTCCATGGTCTTTTTAAAAAATCATGTTTATTTTGCTCTTTAAGAAGGGGCAGAGTGCAACTATTTGCATATAACGTTTTACCCATCCCCCTTCTTGTTGAGTTCATTCATTGCCTGATGGAGGTGCTGCTGGGATTAGGAAGAGTTTGCTGCTCTTTCTAGAGCACTGGGTCCCAAGTCCTTGGGCACTGCCAAACTAGAGCACATTCTGCATGGGGAGGAGATGGGAAGCTACATTATTTAATTTATCTTTTCATTGAAATCTGTTGAAAACTGCATGTTTGAAGCTGGAAATGGTGGTATATACATAACTATGAAGAAGATTCAAGCACTGCCCCTGCCCTGAAGGTGTTTATAGACTTGTAAAACATGAACAGAAATGACAATTCTAGATAGAAAATGATACTTGCCATAAACACAGTACAAATGAGGAGCGACTGCAGTTCAGAGGAGGGAAATACGATTTTGGCTGGACAGGGTCTGGAGAGAAGATTCTGTGAAGGAATCTTAGAAGAGGCAGCATGTGAGTTGACCTGTGAAGAATGGCTGAGCCCAGCAGAGATGGGAAGTAAGGGGAAAGCGTTCCAGGCCACTGTGAGAGAAAGTATGGATGGAGACTGGAATGTGCAGAGCGGGCATGGGGATCACAGGCATTCCATTCTGGAGCATAAGCTGGGTGAGAAAGGGGGGTTGGTGTCAGACAGTGAACAGTTTTAAGTGCCATGTTAAAAAAATGGGCCTTCTCAATAGGCAATGGAGAGCCACTAAAGGTTTTTTAGCATAGAAATAATGGAGATCAGAGCTGTGCTTTTAGATATTCCAGTAGATTTAAATCACACTCATGAGTAACTAATATGAACTCAAATAGGCTAGTGTTGAATGTGATTCTGGTGTTTAAAGATACATATTTTTCATACGACTCTACCCCTAAAACCAAGCAGATGACTTCATCTGGTGTTCAACCAAAAGAAAAGTAATCTGTTCCAAAAGTAGAGGAAAAACTAGCAGTGTTGAACTTACTGAGAAGCAGTGTCTGTAGATTCTACTTTATAGACAATATAAGGCATTTTCAAGGGTAATGTTGATTGTATGAGATTTTCTTCATAAACAATGACTTGAATACTTCAATACTTATACTTCACATAAGATTCAACTCCACCACAATCTGGCAGCAGCAGATGTAGTAGGTTGAAAGTGGGAAATGAACATGCCGATTGTACTATCAAGACAGTTCAGCAAGAGGTTAAAAGGGCCTGAATTAAGAAGGGACGGCTGGCATGGTGGCTCATGCCTGTAATCCCAGCATTTGGGAGGCTGAGGCGGGCAGATCACTTGAGGTCAGGAATTCAAGGTCCAGCCTAGCCAACATGGTAAAACCCTGTCTCTACTAGGATCATGAGGTCAAGAGTTTGAGACCAGGCTGGCCAACATGGTGATACCCTGTCTCTAATAAAAATAGAAAAAATTAGCTGGGCGTGGTGGCAGGTGCCTGTAATCCCAGCTACTCGGGAGGCTGAGAAGGAGAATCGCTTGAACCTGGGAGATGGAGGTTGCAGTAAGCCGAGACCGCACCACCACACTCCAGCCTGGGCAACAGAGTGAGACACCATCTCAAAAAAAAATAATAATAATACTAAACTTAGCCAGGCATGGTGGTGTGCACCATGTAGTCCCAGCTGTAGTCCCAGCTACTCAGGAGGCTGAGGCACGAGAACCACTTGAACCAGGAGGCAGATGTTGCAGTGCGTCAAGATCGTGCCACTGCACTCCACCCTGGGTGACAGAGTGACTCTGTCTCAAAAAAAAAAAAAAAAAAAAAAAAAGAAGGGACAATGGAAATAGGAGGGGACAGGCAGAAAGAAAGTAGATGGAAATTGTGGAGAAAACAGGAGAGCTTAAAAACAACTTGTAGATCTAGAACTTGGCTGATTGGGGTTAAGGTAATGTCCTCAACAAAATTAGGAATTCCAGAGAATAAATAGCTTTGGGAGGAAATTAGGTTTGTGGTATCATGAGTTTGAGGTGGCATCAGGATATTCAAATGGAGATGTTCAGCAGGAGCTTGAAATGGAATTATGGAGATAAGTCAGGGTTGAGCTGGAGATGGAGGTTCGAGGTTATCTCTGTTAGAATAATAAATAAAACCGTGAAATCAGGTAAATTTGCCTAGGAAGAGAGGACAGTGAAAAGAAAAGTGGTCTAAGGATACTACCTTAAGGAAGGCTGTTTTGTTTTGTTTTTATGGAGGCCAAAGAATAAAAGAGGAAATGATACAGAAGGTCAATTAGGGAAATGGGAAGATAACCAGGAGACCTCTGCATCTGGGAGTCTAAGGAAGATGCCAAGGCAGAAGGAGGAGCAGCATCAATATTATATGCTACAGAGGGTAGAGAAGCCTACTGACTGATAAGGTCATTTCAAAGACATTACTGTCCTTCAAAGATAGATTCCTATAAAGCTGAGGAGAAAGAAGGCAGATAAATTACCATAGGGAGTGAGGAGAAACTGGGGGTAGTGACCATGCACAATTCTTTCCATAAATTTGATGGTGACAGGAAAATGGGAGATGAGACTATCTTTTGGAGTAGATAAGCAATGTTGAATAGAGAGTAGAATGGGTGTATTTGTAAGCTGGAGCTAAGGGAAACCAGGAGATGGAGCAAAGTTCCTAAAAAGGGAGAAAAGGGGAGCAGGTGTCAAGGACAAAAACTATGAGATTAGCTTTGGAGTAGGCTTGGATAGGAGGGGATGCTGATACTTCTTCCTAGGAGAACAGAAACAAGAGAACGAGAGAGTGTACACAGTAGGGAAGACAAGAATTCAGAGATATAATAACTAATACTTATTTGACGAGTAAACTAACTTCCTCTTTGTAATTGTGAAGGGGAAACGAAGACTAATGATAATTTGTAATCAGATTCTGACTCAAGGAAAGTTAGACAGAGAAATGCCTGTCAATGCAAGGGAATAAGCAGTTGTGATCCCCACTCCTGAAATTGTTCAAGTATAGGTGGGACATGCTGAACCCCATTGCATGTAAAGAGTAGGGCTTCCAGGCCGGATGCAGTGGCTCACACCTGTAATCCCAGCTCTTTGGGAGGCCAACACAGGCGGATCACGAGGTCACCAGTTCGAGAGCAGCCTGACCAACATGGTGAAACCCCCGTCTCTACTAAAAATACAAAAATTAGCTGGGCGTGGTGGCACACACCTATAATCCCAGATACTCAGGAGGCTGAGGCAGGAGAATCGCTTGAACCTGGGAGGCGGAGGTTGCAGTGAACCGAGCCGAGATCACGCTACTGCACTCCAGCCTGGGCAACAGAGTGAGACTCCGTCTCAAAAAAAAAAAAAAAAAAAAAAAAAAAAAAAAAAAAAAAAAAAAAAAAAAAAAAGAGTAGGGCTTCTTGCATTGAGGGAGTCTAGACTGGTTTTCTTATAATGTAAAATTCCATGAAATGATTTTTGTTGGTGGTAATTTAAATGTCTTACGATTTTTTTTCACCTCATTGTCTTGGATCTCTGCTATCAAGAAAGCTAAGATACTGCTTTGAACAAGAATGCAACTGGGTCAATATTATAAGAACGTTAGAAACATATGGACCAACTCGTCATGTCTTCTCAACACACCAAAGAATAAAGCCCCAAGTAGGTTTCAGGCTATAAGTAAAAGGTTTCACAATTAGAGCTTGCCAGCGTTTACCAAGTGTATAACTCTACATGACTACAAATCCTGTTATACTGTGGCTGCCTTAACATGATCTCTCCAAGAAAGCTTCTCCAAGTCCTCCTGCTTCAGCAGGGATTAAGCTCCTATGGAGAGGTGTGGGCAGGAGGTGGCAGGGGAATTTATCAAGATGAGGGAGCAGGTCTGGGAGAAGGAGGAAAACCTGCTTTGCAATCAGGCAATAGCCTGGTGCTTGGGTTCCTCTCCTTCCTGAGGCCTTGTCTTCTCTAAAGCCCAGTCTCTTCTCATCTGGTCCCTGGGATGAGAAGAGGCAGCAGCAGTCTTGGGAACATTTCTAGGTAAGTGGAAGCTGCCCTGGGCATGACTGGATGAGGCTGTGCACCAACACCATGCTGTGGGCACACTGGCATCACCTTTCTGCTGTTAGAGCAGTCTGGCCTCTCTGTGTATGGCTGCCGACTTCAGTGAATCTCTACATGGCAGAAACTCTATTCTGGGTCTGGTCTGTACCCTCTACTGGTGATAAACATCAGGTTAATTGAAGCAATCTTGAGAAAAAACCCTGAACCTCTAGCACTAGGGAAACTGAAAACCTTGGAATTAGTTGGCCTGGTCCACTGTCTCTACCCCTGGGGTGCCCCAGCGATCCTTGCCTACCCCAGCAGTCCACTGTGCTGAGGAAGCCTGTCCTCCAGCCCACAAGAGTACCCAAACTCTAAAATTGTCCCCTTCTCCATTGACTCTCTCAAGCTAAACAAAACGCTGATACCTCAGATTTTAGGTTGAAAGCAGTCTGGTTAAACTAATTCACACACACGTGAATAATCTTCTCAACCACGCCCAGAGTGTTTACATTGTAAAAGGAGAATGCTTTGAAATAATTCTTAAATTGGTGGGATTTCCTGAAGAAAGTGAATTTTGAGGGCATAGGGGGATTTCAGAACCCTATGGAGACTCAGGAAGTCTCAGTCCTTTGAGTCCTTGAGGATCATAAAAATTAGGGAGCCCTCAAAGTACATACTCCAAAGAATTTCCTGCCCTAAATCTATAAGCTCACCCCACTCTCCCACCGCTGTGACTCCAGAAATGCTCTCCCTATCCAAACTCCTGTGGCCTTCTGATCAATTACCGGACCAGCTCCTCTCTCAGGTCCTGGTTTGGGAGCCTCTCACCAGCCTCAATGGCCTGCCCCATAACGGACATCATTTGCTCAAGGAACTACAACATGAAGAACTCAGGAAGCATTGCAATGAATGATCTGTATCCTCATCTCTATATCCTCAGAGAAAAACATGGACAACCTGCAAGGAATTCTGTAGTTACCTAGCTCATCCCTGCATCCCATTCATATAGATGAGGATATGTAGGGTCGGCGAGTTTGTGGTGTTCATTCAGAAAAAGTAAAGCACCCACTGTGTGCTAGATATTGTCCTGCATGTGCCCTGGGATTCAGTGGTGTATGGGATGGAAAAGATCCCTGCTTTCACAGAGCTAGCACTCTTGATGGGAAATGATTAATAAGTACCTTTAAAGAGATAGTTACAGGCCGGGCATGGTGGCTCACGCCTGTAATCCCAGCACTTTGGGAGGCCAAGGCGGGTGGGTCACCCGAGGTCGGGAGTTCAAGACCAGCCTGACCAACATGGAGAAACCCCATCTCTACTAAAAATACAAAATTAGCCAGGTGTGGTGGTGCATGCCTGTAATCCCAGCTACTTGGGAGGCTGAGGGAGGAGAATCGCTTGAACACAGGAGGCAGAGGTTGCGGCGAGCCGAGATCACGCCATTGCACCCCAGCCTGGGCAACAAGAGCAAAACTCCATCTCAAACAAAAGAAAAAAAAAAAGATAGTTATAGGGCAACAAGAGTGAAATTCCATCTCAAAGAAAAGAAAAAAAGATAGTTGTAGTTTGTGTTGGATGCTATAAAGGAATTAAACAGGAGCTATGATAGGGGAGAGTAGGCCCCTTAAGTGAACAGGTCAGACAAGGCCTCTATGCAGAGATGACATTTCAGCATGTAGGTAAAGAAGGAGCCAACTAGGCAAAAAGTGAGGGAAGGGTGGACAGGCAGAGGGAACAGTAAGGGCAAAAAGCCTAGGGAAACAGGGCTTCACCTTTTTAATACATTTTAATAAACTTCAAGTTTTTATTTAATTGAAATTTAAGCTCATTATAATAGTTTACTAGCAGTGATGGAACATGATGAAAAAGATCATGTCAGAGCCAAATCGTGCAGAATATGTATAGACTACACATTTCACTGTGTGCATGAAGATGCCACAGGAAGACTTTCTGCAGGGCAAAGACATGATCCAGTTTACATTTTTAAAAGGTAAATCTATGTCTTCACAAGCTTTACCACTAGGTAACCTAAAAAGTAAAAACCAAGGACAGTTCCTCCCTCATACAAGTATCGCTGCTAATAAATTAAGAATTGACAAAATATCCCTGTTTTGCAACCCTTAATGAATTAATAGATTTAAGTATTAGCATAATGGCTACGAACATTACAAAAGGACATAGAGCCAGACACATGATTTCTGATGGAAGAAAACATTACCACCTACAGAGCCACCTTAGCAGTTTTTACATGAAGAAATGTTACATTAACCACAAAAAAAACCCTATATAACTCTACTAGACAAAACAATGTGGTTTCTTCATCAAATAAAATGCAAAGGGAAAAAGGGAAGTAAGCAAATGAGAAACCACCAAAAGAAAAACTCTGCATATTAAAAGAGACTCAAAGACATATCGACCAATGGCAATATGTGGACTTTGTTGAGATCCTGATTCAAACAAAGTAACTATAAAAAATTATGAATTGTGAAAATTACATATTATACAGTATTCAGAAATATACTTTTTGGATATTTCATGATGTTAAGAAATTATTAATATTTTTAGATGTGTTAATGGTCTTGTGGTTACATTTAAAGAAAAAGAATCCTGTATTTTAGAGATATATTAAAATATTTAGGGGTAAAATGACATGATGTCTGGGATTCATGTCAAAGTACTAGAGGAGGTGGGAAGACAGGGTTATTGATGAAACAAACTGTAATGATGAATTGATAACTACTATAGCTCAGTGATAGGTATGTGGGAATTCATGCTACTCGCTGTCCAAGTGTATGTGTACAAATCTTCAAAATCAACAAGTTAAATCAAGATAATTATTCCTTCTGTGTAAAAACTGGGTTGAAGTGCCATAAAAGTAAGGCAAGGAAACCTGTTAAAGGCTATTGCAGTGGTCCAGGTAAGAGGATGTTTGTGGCTTAGAACTTGGTGAAATCAATGGAGATGGTAAGAAATGGACTTGAGATGTATTTTTTAGGTAAAACTGACCAGGATTCAGTGAATGATTGGATACAGGTAATGAGAGAAAGATAGGAATCAAGGATGACTACCAGTTTTTGGGTTGGTGTGGGGAAGGACCAAGTTTCGCAGAGGAAATCAAGTGTTCCATGTTGGATGTGTTAAATCTGAGATTCCTATTTGACATCTAAGGGGATGTCAATAGCAGTTGCATATATGCATCTTGGGTTCATGAGAGACTCCAGAAAATGGTGATGATTTGGAACTTATTGGCATATAGATTATAGTTGATGTTGAAGGTCATGAGAACATATGAGGTCACCAAGGGAGAGAGTGAGTAATAATGCAGTCCCAGGACTTATCCTTGAGATCCTTAATTCTTTCAGGTTGGATAGAAATTACCTTCCACCAAAACCAACTTTAATTGCAGCTTACAGATTTCTGTAAATAGAATCATAAGAAAGAACATCCAGAGAAGAACAGAAAAACTGAAAACTGTATCATGTTTTAAGAAGGACAGTGGTAACCTGTGTGGGATGCTGCTGAGAGTTTAAGAAAGCTGACAATGAAGAAGTGTCATCTGGCTTTGGAGATTACTAGGGACCTTGAGAGAATCAATGTCATTAAGTGGTGGTGATAGAAATTAGACGAGTGTGGATTGAATGGTGTGTAGGAAGTGAAAACACTGAGAGAGCATATGGAGATAACTTCTTTTTTTTGAGACAGAGTCTCACTCTGTCGCCCAGGCAATGGCGCAATCTCAGCTCACTGCAACCTCCACCTCCCAGGTTCAAGTGATTCCCCTGCCTCAGCCTCCCAAGTAGCTGGGATTACAGTCGCCAGCCACTATGCCCAGCTAATTTGTTTGTATTTTTAGTAGAGACGGGGTTTCACCATGTTGGCCAGGCTGGTCTCGAACTCCTGACTTCAGGTGATCCACCCGCCTCGGCCTCCCAAAGTGCTAGGTTTTCAGGCTTGAGCCACCACGCTAGCCTGGAGGTAACTTTTGGGAAGTATGTTGCCCAAAGCCTTACTACTAGTAAACTATGAGAATGAGATCTTGAACCAAAGTCTCTACTTGTACTTCTGAGCTTTTCTTCCTTTACTATGTCCCTTCAGTCAAGCTAGTAGAAGCACCTCGGCAAGGATTAGAGAATCTGGGCTGTTAGCATGGTTGACCCCTCCTAAAACTGCTCACTGAAGTCTGTCCCATCATGGCCAGGTCTTCACCTTATTGTTCATGAAGTCAGCTACACTGCTTTAGACCCAGTGACTTACCACTAAAAAATAGTTGGGATGCAGTAGGTAATTTGGTTAGTCTATGTTTAAAACTGGCTAAGAAAAGAACTACTTGAAGACTATTTCCAGATTACATCTCACATACAGAAAAAACAAACAAAAACCCAACCTTCTCCAACTGCAAATATAACTCAAGCAAAGAAAGCACCCCCGTGGTGTTTGTCTGTCTCATTAGTTACATTTACAGACTGCTTCACACCCAGCCTAGGCATCCTAATAACCCACAGTCATTTGGCATCAACATCTCCGACATTATCAGTGGGGATTTGATAATGATTTGAGATTCACTACTTTATGCAAGCATCATGTGATGCATCAAATACCCCTTCACTGTCTGATTAGATATTTTCGAGCCTAAAACTTAGTATCTGTGTCATTGTCAATATTCAGAGTATCTTTCAAAAATTTTTGCTCATTTGTTCTCCAAATTTCTTTAAACTATATCACATTTTCTATGGAAAGGAAAATTAATCAGTGGAGATTAGAGATTTGGAAATCCAAGGAAGTTAAAAAAAAAAGTTTTGAGTCCTCCCAGGAGTACCTGCATATGGTCAATTTCCTGGAGAGGAAAACAAAAAAAGTATTTTAAATAGATGCATAAAAATAGATCTAGTAAAATTTGGAGAACATGCTTAAATTAAATGAATTCCAAATGCCTGCCACTGTTATTTCTGGAGCTGTTTGGGCTAAAACAGCATCATTCCATTACTGTCTCTTAGCTAGAATGTTACGGCAGCTACCCAAAAGGGGCAAAAAAAAAAATGAGTATGATATGATGCCTCATATACTTAATAATAAAGGAGTCAGTTAACCTGGTATTGTATCAAGCTGAGGGGTGAAGGAAGGTCTGAGGCACAGGCTGGGAAAGCCACCTTCCTAGCCTTTGAGTTCATGAAGTGCCCATGGATGGACTGCTATGGTAGGGATTTCCTACAGGGACAGGCTGAGGCATGAAGAATGGGCTCCTGCCTACTTTGATAAGACAGCTTCCCTCTCCCAGCCATCCTCAGTTGTTTTGCATGATTATCACATGAGCTCAAACTTCCCCTTCTAAGCAAATCCTTTCAAATTGGCATCTCCAGCTACTCTTACCTGTGCTCCAGTTAATATTCTTTATGTGACAACCAGACACTCTTGCTAAGTTCTGTCATCACTATAAAACCATGTTTAAAGCAGAATTTGTCACCTTCCACCAAAAACCAACTTTAATTGCAGCTTACAAATTTGTGTAAATGGAATCATAGTTTCCAGTCTAATAAGTTTGGAGTCATTTTCAGTTCCCCTTCCTTCATCTTCTCTTCCAGTCATGTAGTCCTTTCGTCCCCACTTGCTCTCCACTTTTACCGCTTAGCAGCACCTTTCCCAGGCCTTGTCACCTTACATTTTGGTTACTATAGCTCAATGATATGACTCCAAAGCATTCCATATACTCTAGCCCAGCGATTTTTCTCCAAAGTACAGTTTTCCGTAATGTCATTCTACAAGTTATATTTTATGTTTTATTAATGGATAATTCACATATCATAAAATTTACCTTTTAACATAATTTAGTGGTTTTTAGTATATTCACAGAGTTGTGCAGCCATCACCACTATCTTATTTAGAACATTTTCATCACCCCCAAACGAAATTCATACTCATTAGCAGTCACTCTGTATGTATCCCTCCTCCAGCCCTGGCAAACACAAGTCTACGTTGTGTCTCTGGATTTACCTATTCTGGACACACCATATAAACAGAGTAAGACAATATGTGGCTCTTTGTATACGGCTTCTTTCACTTAGCCTGTTTTCAAGTTTTATCCATGTTGTATATGTATTAATGGTTCATTCCTTTTTATTGCCAAATAATATTCCATTATATGGGTTTACCATATTTTGTTTATCCGTTCATCAATTGATGAATATTTTTGTTGTTTCCATTTTTCAACTATTATGAATAATGTTGCTATGAACATTTGTGAGCAAGTTTTTAATATGGACATATGTTTTCAATTCTCTCGGGTATATACCTAAGAATGGAATTGCTTGGTAATAGGGCAATTTTATCTTTAAGATTTTAAGGAACTACCAAATTACTATAATTTCCAAGATGGCTGCACCATTTCACATTCCCACTAGCCATGTATGAGGGTTTCAATTTCTCTACATCTTTGCCAACACTTACTGTCTTTATTCTTGCTATGTGGCTTTGATTTGCATTACCCTAAAGATTGATAATGTTGAACATCTTTTCATGTGTTTGTAGGCCATTTGTATATCTTCTCTGGAGAAATGTTTATTCAAATCCTTTGCCCATTTTTAAATTGGGTTGTCTTTTTATTGTTTAATTTTAAGATTTCTTTATATACTCTGGAGATTAGACCTTTAGCAGATATAAATTTGCAAATATTCTCTCCCATTTTGTGAGCTGTCTTTTCCCTTTCTTGGTAGAGCCCTTTGAAACATCAAAATTTTAATTTAATGAAGTCCAATTTATCTATTTTTTCTTTTATTGCTTATGCTTTTGGTGCCATATTTAATAAATGATTGCCTAATGCAAGGTCACAAAGATTTACTCCTATTGTTTTCCTCTAATAATTTTTTTAGTTTTAGCCCTTATGTTGAGGTCAATGATCCATTTTTTGTTAACTTATTATTGAAAAAAAAAGTATTCTTTCCTCCCACTGAATAATTTTTGTACCCTTGTCAAAAACCAATTAGCCATAAATATAAAGATTTATTTCTGGACTCTCAATTCTATTCCACTTATTTGTATGTCCATCCTTATGCTAATACTACACATCTTGGTTATTGGAGTTTCATACAAAGATTTAAAATCAGAACGTGTGTTGAGTCCTCCAACTTTGTTCTTCTTCAGGGTTGCTTGGGCTCTTCTGAGTCCCTTGCATTTCAAAGAATTTTAGGATCAGCTTGTTATTGTGCCAAGTAGACAGATGAAATTTTGATAGGCGTGCACGGAGTCTGTAGATCAGTTTGGGAATATCGACATTTTAATAATATTAGGTCTTCCAATCCATGAACATAGGTGTCTTTTCGTTTACTTAAGTTTGCTTTGATTCTTTTCAATGGCATTTTGTAGTTTTCCATGTATAAATCTTGTACTTCTCTTGTTAAATTTATTCCTAAGTATTTTATTCTTTTTTAATCTATTGTAAATGAAATGTTTTTCTTAATTACATTTTTAGATTGTTTATGAATGTACAGAATTGCAATTGATTTTTGCACATTGATCTTGTATCTTGCAAGCTTGCTGAACTCATTTATTAGTTCTAACCTTTTGGTGTATTTCTTGGAATTTTCTATATACAAGATAATGTCATCTGCAAATAGAGATTTTTTTACTTCTTCTTTTACAATCTGGATGTTTTTATTTCTTTTTCTTATTTAGCTGTCCTAGCTAGCATCTCTAGTATAATGCTGAATAGAAATGGAAAGAGCAGACAACTTTGTCTTGTGCTGCTCTTGGCAGGGTGGAGGGGAGGCATTCAGTCTTTTACCATTAAAAATGATGTTAGCTGTAGGTTTTTTGTAGATTCCCCTTTTTCTTCAATAAATTTTTATCCCTGACCACTTGAATGGAAAACACTTCTTCCATTTAAATGCAAGTCAAGGTGTCTTCTTACTATCTTTCCCAAGCTCATTCCCACATTAATGTATCTTCCTGTTGCTCTTTCTCCTGCGTGGAGTGTCAGCTCCATTTGCCTGTCTAAATCCTTTTTTTTTTTTTCTAAAGACAGAGTGTTGCTCTGTCACCTAGGCTGGAGTGCAGTGGCACGATCATGGCCCACTGCAGCCTCAACTTTTCAGGCTCAAGCAATCCTCCCACCTGAGCCTCCCCAATAGCTGAGACTACAGACGTGCACCACCATGCCTAGCTAATTTTTTATATATATTGTAGAGACAAGGTCTTGCAATGTTGCCCAGGGTGGTGCCTGTCTAAATCTTAACAATTCTTTGGTGCCTGTCTAAATCTTAACAACTTTTTAACTCTTGTCCTGACATTAACCTTTCTGTTCTCTGAAGTCCTTCAGCACTCTCACCTTGATAGCTCCATTAAAAGGTGAGCTGTATGATGCTCAGTTCAATTAATTAAAGAGAAAAACAGGGCTGGTATGACTGTATCAGTATTAGAAAATATTAGGAAACAATTCTTACTGAGTTGGTACATGACTACTGCCCCAAACCAGAGAGTGCCCACTCCCTCCTCAGGTTGCCCCATCCCCATCTCTAAAAACCTCCAGACCTTTCCACAGTTTAGCAGCCATAAGACTAACACTTTGGGCTAGGCATGGTGGCTCATGCCAATAATCCCACCACTTTGGGAGGCTAAGGCAGGAGGATTGCTTGAGCCCAGGAGTTCCAGACCAGTCTGGGCAACATAGGGAGACCTTTGTCTCTACAGAAAATCTAACAAAAATTATCCAGGCCTGGTCCCAGCTACTCAGGACGCTGAAGTGGGAGGATTGCTTGAGTCCAAGGCCACCTTGAGCCATGATTTTGCCATGGTACTCCAGCCTGGGAGACAGAGCAAGACCCTAAGACCCTGCAAAAAAAAAGAAAGAAAGAAAGAGAGAGACAGAAAAAAAGAGAGAAAGATAAAGGAAAAGAAGGAAAGGAAGGAAGGAAGGAAGGAAAAGAAAGAGAGGGACTAACATTTTGATTTTGCACAACCAAGGTTTCTAAAATCTTCCTCCATTGCTATGGCTAGTCCCCATTGACAAGTATTTTGAATATTATTCCTGGAGAAAAGAGGCCATATTTTTAAAATGAAGCCAGAGTCAAATAATAAATCTCTTTATCAAAGATACTCAATTACATTGTCCAATTAAACTATCATCATGCTCTTACAGAATTTCCTAACAGAATTTGAATCAACATCCCCCAACTCCTTTACCACTCTCTGAATATGAAACCCATTTACTGTTATACATTCTTTTTTAAATTTCAGTAGCTTTAGAGGTACAAGTGATTTTTGGTTACATCGATAAACTGTATAATGTGGAGTCTGGACTTTTTAGTGTAGCCATCACTCAAATAGTGTACACTGTAGCCAATAGGTAATTTTTTACCCCGTGTTCTTCTCCCACCCTCCCCCACTGAGTCTCCCATGTCCACTCTGCATGCCTCTGCATACCCATGCATGCAGCACTTTGCTGGCATCCCCACAGCTTATCTCCCATTTATAAGTGAGAATATGTGGTATTTGGCTTTCTATTCCCAGGTTACTTCCCTTAGGATAATAGACTCCAGTTCCATCCAAGTTGCTGCAAAGACAGTATTTCATTGTTTTTTTCCAATGGCTCAGTAGTATTCCATTATATCTACACATATATACACACACACCATGTTTTCTTTACCCACTCATCTGTTGATGCGCACTTAGGTTTATTCCATATCTTCATGATTGTGAATTGTGCTGTGACAAACATATGAATGCAGGTGTCTTATTTATATAATGACTTCTTTTTCTTTGAGTAGATATCCAGTATCTGGGTATTGCTGTATCAAATGGTCTGTTACACATTCTTAACAATACATTTCATTTCTTTCCTTTCTTTCTTTCCTTTCACCTTCTTTCTTTCATTCCTTCTTCCTCCCTCCCTCTCGCCCTTCCCCCCTTCCTTTCTTCCTTCCTTCTTTCCTTCCTTCCTTCCTTCTTCCCTCCCTCCCTCCCTCTCTTCCTCTCTTTCTTCTGTGTTTCATACCATTATCAATATTTTAGAATTTCATATTCTAGAACTAACCAGGCTCTGAAATACTTGGCTTATTTTCCCAGTTATAAGGAATACACGATTTGAAGGCACCAGCAGCCTACTCTTGGCCCTTCAGAGCCTGTTATGTGGAAGCCTGCTATGGTTTGAATGAGGGTGTCCCCTTCACAATTCATATTGAAACTTAATCCCCAATGGAACAGCGTTAAGAGGTGTGGCCTTTGGGAAGGCTCCACTCTCATAAATGAGATTAATACCCTTACAAAAGGGCTTGAGGTTGAATGGAGTGCTCTTTTGCTCTTCTGCTTTTTTCACCATATGAGGATACAGTGTTCCTCCCCTCCAGAGGAGATAGCAACAGGGGTGCCAACTTGGAAGCAGAGAGCAGCCCTTACCAGCTACCAATCCTTCTAGCGCCTTGCTTTTGAACTTCCCAGCCTCCAGAACGCTAAGAAATAAAGTTCTGTTCTTTAAAAATCACCTAGTCTGTGGTATCCTGTTACAGCAGCACAAATGAATGAAGATAAAGCCTATGACATATGAGAAAGCTAGCCCAAACCTTTGTCCAAACTAATGAAAACTACTTATTTTTTTCATATCTAAATTATTAAGTTTTTGTTCTGTTTCTTCACATAGTTCATATCTCACCTTTTTCATTTGAAATTATTTTTCAAACACCTTCCACTACTGTCACTAGTGATAGAGAGGGAAATGTGTCACATGGGAAATAAAAGCTAACCCTGAAATGCAAACAGCTACTATTTGGGAGAATTTGGGAATTTGAAAAAACACAAAATGGATAACAATATTGGACTAATTTATTTTATCTTTCTTAAGGTGGGAACCTCCTTCAAAAGTGGACATTTCTCTGGATTCTTGAGACAACTGCATTAAATTAATGCTTTTTCATATTCCATCCTTCCTTCATTAAAAAAATATTTATCACCCACTATGTGCCAAGTATCTTGTTGGGTACTAGAGATATAATAGCAATTAAAAAGAAGTCCACCAGCTGGGCACAGTGGCTCATGCCTGTAAATCTCAGTACTTTGAGAGACAGAGAAGTGAGGATCACTTGGATGCAGGAGTTCATGGTTACAGTGAGCTGTGATCAAGCCACTGCACTTCAGTCTGGGTGACAGAGCAAGACCTGTCTCTTAAAAATTAAAGAGGTACACCATCATTGCCTTCAGTTAAACTTAGAGTCAGTTTGTGGTAGAATGCAAAGATGGCCCCATACTTTACCCATGCCTGTAAACATGTCCTTTGCCTATAACTTTGTAGTACCCTCCCACTCTGACTCTGGACTTGTCCATGTGACTAACTTTGGCCAACAGAATAAGATGGAATTAATGGTATGCCCGTGTCTCCTCCTTAGGAGTCTGTCATGTTTCCTCTTACATATCTGCCGCTAACGTGAGTGCATGTCTAGGCCAGCCTTCTGGAGGATAAGAGACAGGTTCAGCAGTTGCTCTAGTCACCCAAACCAAGGTCTGGCCAGATCAGCCATCAAGCCAGCTTATCCTCAGATATATGAGTGAGTCCAGGCTTTACAGTCAAGAACAGCAGCTGCCCTGCCGACCTGCAACTGACCCCAAATACATGAGCAATAAACACTTATTGGTGAATGTCACTGATATAGTCTTTTAAAATTACACAACATTGTTGTGGCAACAGATAACTGACACATTGCTTAATCATTAAAAAAAAATAATAGCTGGCCGGGCATGGTGGCTCACGCCTGTAATCCCAGCATTTTGGGAGGCTGAGGCGGGTGGATCACTGAAGTCAGGAGTTCAAGACCAGCTTGGGCAACATGGTAAAACCCCGTCTCTACTAAAAATACAAAAATTAGGCTGGGCGCGGTGGCTGATGCCTATAATCCCAGCACTTTGGGAGGCTGAGGCGGGCAGATCACAAGGTCAGGAGTTAGAGAACAGCCTGGCCAATATGGTGAAACGTTGTCTCTACTAAAAATACAAAAATTAGCTGGGTGTGATGGTGGGCACCTGTAATCCCAGCTACTCAGGAGGCTGAGGCAGGAGAATCGCTTGAAACCGGGCGGCAGAGTTTGCAGTGAGCCGAGGTCGCGCCACTGCACTCCAGCCTGGCTGACAGAGCGAGACTCCATCTCAAAAAAACAAACAAACAAAAAATTAGCTGGGTGTGGTAGCATACACCTGTGGTCCCAGCTACTGGGGAGGCTGAGGCAGGAGAATCACTTGAACCTGGGAGGCAGAGGTTGCAGTGAGCTGAGATCACACCACTGCACTCTAGTCTGGGCAACAAAGCAGAACTCTGTCTGAAAAAAAAAAACCTATAAAACTGCAATGTCTTCTCTGAAGGACAGGGAATACAGAAATATGAATACATATAACAGAGTTCACATAGACTGGTGGGGAGTGAGGTTAAGGAACATTTCTTTAAGGAAGAGATGTCTGACCTAAGATCTGGAAGACATGCAGAAGTTAACCAGGTGAAGGGTAGGGGAAAGAGGTGTTCAAGTCACAGAAACTTCAAATACAAAGGCCCTGTAGGGAAGGAGTACAGATGCTGAGTTACTTAGAAGGTCAATGCAGCTGGAGAATGGAGATAAAGAAGAGAATGCAAAGAAATGAGGCTGGGATGATAGGCAGTGACTAGAACAAATGAAAGGCTTTGTAGATGATGTGAAGGGTTTAAGACTTGATCCAAAGAACTATGAGAACTACTGAATGGTTTTAAGATGGATACAAGTTATTCTTCTCACATGCTTACTTTGCTATGAAATGGGTAGGGAGTTTCTCATATATATACCTTGAAATTTGCCCATAAAATTCATAATCTAGTCCTGAAAAAAATATTTATTTATCCATCTATTTAGTCAATGAACATTTATTGAGAGGTTTCAGTTGGGAATAAATAAATGATTGAGAGATTAAATGAATGAATGAGCCTGTGTCAAGCAATCTGATTGGCACTGGAGAGACACAAACACAAGATTCCTCCTCTTGATAAGCTCACAGTCTAGTGGGGAAGAGAGACACACAAAAAACAGACTTCCTTGTTAACCCAGAGAAATATGAGCAATGTGCTTTAAAAGTGTAGAGAAGGGGCCTGGCATGGTGACTCATGCCTGTAATCCCAGCACTTTGGGAGGCCGAGGCAGGTGAATCATGAGGTCAGGAGTTCATGACCAGCCTGGCCAACATGGTGAAACCCCGTCTCTACTAAAAATACCAAAAAATTAGCTGGGTGTGGTGGTGCGCACCTATAATCCTAGCTACTCGGGAGGCTGAGGCAGGAGAATCGCTTGAACCCAGGAGGCGGAGGTTGCAGTGAGCCAAGATGGCACCACTGCACTCCAGCGTGGTGACAGCAAAACTCCGTCTCAAAAACAAAAAACAAACAAACAAACAACAAAAACGTGTAGAGAAGGAACATCTAGTTCTGTGAAGGCCAAATTGCACTCACTGAAAGCAAAGTGAGCTTGAGGAAATTATGGCTCCTATTCTGGCCCGAGAGTTCCTGTCATATCTGATAGCGGTGGTTGGGGAGGAAGGAGGGTTGGAGATATGATGGCAATGGCGAGCTACTAAGGAAAAGAGATCTGGAGCACTTTCTACTCTGGAAGTCCATCTCCTAATGCAGGAGTCACAGATCAGTATTGGCCTTCAGCTATTTTCTTGGGTTCCTATTTACTAGGGATGTTCTTTATGCATCATCTGGTGGAAGACTCCAGAGAGTCTGGAAAGATTCTTATATTTCTAAATAGATATTCCATATTCTCTCAAAGCTCCCAGGGAGACCTGTATAATAATCTGCCATTTTCTTTCTCTCTCTCTCTGTCTGTTTTTTGTTTTGTTTTGTTTGTTTGTTTGTTTGTTTCAGACAGAGTCTTGCTCTGTTGCCCACGCTGGAGTGCAGTGGTGTGATCACAGCTCACTGCAGCCTTGGCCTCCTGGGCTCAAGTGATCCTCCCGCTTCGGCCTCCCAAGTAGCTGGGACCACAGGTGCAGGCCACCATGCCTGGCTAATTGTTATTTTTTGCAGAGACATGATCTCACTATGTTGCCCAGGTTGGTCTTAAACTCCTAGGCTTAAGCAATCCTCCTGCCTCAGCCTCCCAAAGTGCTGGGATTACAGGTGTGAGCCACTGCACTTGGCAGATATCTATAATTCTAAACAGATATTCCAGATTCTCTCAAACCTCCCAGGGAGGCCTGTATAAAATCTGTCATTTTCTAGGCAAAATGATAGAGTATAATTTAAAAATCATGGGGCTTCATTTTGCCTTTAATTGGAGTTTTAAAATGATAGAATAGACAAATAAGAGCTCATTTTTCTAATTACAATTTGGATGGACTTGGGAGTGAAGGCTGGATGACTGTGTCCTTCAGTTTTAAAGATTTTTATGGGAATTCCATTTCCCTGCAGGTCCTGAGTTGTTCAAAATTAGAAAAGGGCATGTAAATGCTGTTAGTGTCAGCAGCTTCACCTGAAAGAACTGTTTTTGCTCAACTCCACACAGTATAGAGCCGGATATTCTGAGTATTGCTGAGTGCTCATGGTGACATGGTCCAAGAAGGAGTTTCAGGGGAACCCTGAACTCTCCACCTTTGACCCCACTTGGTCATTTTTATTTTTATTTTTCTGAGATGGAGTCTTGTTCTGTCACCCAGGCTGGAGTGCAATGGCGTGATCTCGGCCTACTGCAACCTCTGCCTCCTGGGTTCAAGCGATTCTCCTGCCTCAGCTTCCCGAGTAGCTGGGACTACAGGCATGCACCACCATGCCCAGCTAATTTTTGTATTTTTAGTAGAGACAGGGTTTCACCATGTTGGCCAGGCTGGTCTCGAACTCCTGACCTCAGTTGACCCACCTGCCTCGACCTCCCAAAGTGCTGGGATTACTGGTGTGAGCCACCACACCCAGCCTCCATTGGGTCATAACCTTCACTTTGGGAAGTCAGTTCAAAAGTCCAGCAGGACTGGTCTTAGTGCTCTTCCAAGAGTTTTGCTCATTATCCTGGATTCTGGCCTTTGATTCTCATATTCTCTTGATTTGTAGAGTTAATCTGCCAAGAGCTTTGCTCTCCATCAGTAAATAAGAAACTGTTTTATGATGAAATACATTATAAACTCTATTCAGTATTCACGTTCTTGGCAAATAAAGTTTGTGATCCTTACTATTGGCTGAGGTGCTTTTAAGGTAAAGATGAGAAGATGTTAAATATAAATCCCAAATTTATCTCTGGTCCTCAATTCTTTTCATCCCTTCATGCCTGCTAGGGAACCCCCAAATTCCTAACAGTATCCATAGCTCTTCTTCAACAGCAGTTCCCAAAGGTACTGCCTGTTTTATTATTAGAAATTGAATATTCTTTACGTACTAAATATAGTTATGTATCTAGTGGGTGCTCAATAAGTTATAGGTATTAGATTAAATCATATGAAATTGCTTTTAATAGAACAAAAAGAGAAGACGTTGACAATTTTAAATAGTTCAACTTAATACTAAGTTCTGCTGCATACAGCCAACATAGAAAGTCGTTTGAATTATGTTAAGTAATTTCAGCAGCATCCAAAAAGGTCAAATGCCCTTCATGTGCTCCTTTTTAAAAAAAATGACAGCAGGCCAGACGCAGTGGCTCACATCTGTAATCCTAGCACTTCAGGAAGCTGAAGGAGGAGGATTGCTTGAGCCCAGGAGTTCAATATCAGCCTGGGCAAGATGGCAAAACCCCATCTCTACAAAAAAAAAAAAAAAAAAAAAAAATAGCAAGGCATTGTGGTGTGCATCTGTAGTCCCAGCTACTGAAGAGGCTGAGGTGGGAGGATCACCTGAGCCTCAGGAGGTCGAGGCTGCAGTGAGCCATGATCACACCACTGCGCTCCAGCCCGGGTGACAGAGTGAGACCCTGTCTCAAAAAAAAGACAGCAGAAGATTGGGATGATTAGGCCATTTCTTCTTTCGAAGTGCCCAAAACAACTAGGTACAAAGTAGACCTTCAAGAGATACACGTTGGCCGGGCATGGTGGCTCACACCTGTAATCCAGCACTTTGGGAGGCTGAGGTGGGCAGATCATGAGGTCAGGAGTTTGAGACCAGCCTGACCAACAAGGTGAAACCCGGTGTCTACTAAAAATACAAAACTTAGCTGGGCGTATTGGCACACGCCTGTAATCCCAGCTACTCAGGAGGCTGAGGCAGGAGAATCGCTTGAACCCAGGAGGCAGAGGTTGCAGTGAGCTGAGATCATGCCACTGCACTCCAGCCTGGGCGACAGAGAGAGACTCTGTCTCAAAAAAAAAAAAAAAAGAAAGAGATATGTTATATTAAGTAGTCTACTTATCATAAGTCATATTCACAACTGAAAGGCTATAACTTGATAATATTGCTTAAGACCCTTTGTACTGCTAACTGAATTAAAATACCAATAACAAATACCAAGAAAAAGAGAACGAAGTTTGCAGGCCTCATCTGCTAGCACAGCCACTACCCATGTCTTGACAGAAATGAATTCTCATAAGGATTGAATATTCTCCTAGAGCTCATTTATATTTCTGTCATGATCCAATAAGTTCCAAGAGTGAGAGAAACTACATTTCACATAGCCCACATGAGCCCTGGCACATCTAATCTGCAATCTCTACCTTTAATTTATATCTGAAAAATGAATGAATGAACATCTACAGGGATATAAAAGTCAGGGTCTCATAAACACAATGCGTAATTCTATTACACCTGATGCCCAGCTCTGAACATATGCTAGCTTTGTATCAAAGAGGGTAAACCAAACTGCTCCCCCACCACCAGGAGACATGCAAATCTGTCAAATAACATAGCATTCAGCCCAACCCACTGATTTGCTCATATATGTTTGTGTGTGTGTATGTATTTTTAAAACCAAGTTTTAATTTTAATAGCATTCCTTTTTAATTTAAGCAAAGCAAAATGGAAATGACACTGAAACAGATGCAAAAGTATGGTGAAAAATGTCTACTTGGACAAAGCTATTTTAATGAAAGCAACACTATGCAGGCTTCCTGATTCCTTTTAGTTATTCAACCACCCAAATTAGATTCACTTCACTGGCTGTCTTCATCAGATTTCACAAAACTGGGGACTACCGAAAAGAAATAAAAGGTGAGGGTTTTCCTTAAAGCGGGATACCAGGTTTTGAACACAAACATTCAGATTAAGTGAAGGAACTTGATTAAACCCACAGTTCAAAATAATGATGAACTGAATGCTGGAACTCAGCTGCCTGACACACTTTAGCATATGAATTAAATTTTCTGTTCGCTAACCCACTTAAAAAAAAACTATATTCAAACATCTCCTTTCAGGGAATTGGCCATATGTGAAATGAACAGACCCTTGGGTCCACATGGGGCTTGGCTTGCAATTTCTGAGTTTGCTAGAAAAGTGAGTTTATTGCATTACATTACAATGGACACTGGTAGATTTATTTGAGTAAATGACACTATAATAGCCATGCCTATTTAATCAAATGGGTCATCACTAAAATTCATACAGGTGTACCAGCAGTTGTTTCATGACTGATAGTATCATAAAGGGATGTTTATGGCCAGGTGCTAAAGAAGGTACTTCAAACAAGGAGGTGAGTACATGTGATGACAGGGAAAGAGCTGTCATGATGTATGACACGGATATTCCTAAGCACATTCACAATTCTGGAGCAAAATGTTTTCCATAAAACCTTCGTTCCACAAATAGAATTTAAAAATGGCATTGTAGCATATGGCCATGTAAATTGTAAATGCAATCCACATGTCTTCAACAATGCCAGTGTGGATGGGCTAATGAAGATGCAAATGGAAAAAGGTATACTACTAAGTTGGCTACTTCAGAACACCCAGATGGCCCAGAAATTCCAGACCATTTTGTGAATACCAAAAGGAAAAATGTGATCAGGATATAATTACAGCCGTCATAATTACAGTCTTACAGATTTAAGATTTCACATAGTTTAAATATCACAAGATGCAGAGGGAGACCTAAATGCTTTATGAATCATATAAGAAGGAAAAAAGGAAGCAAATCAATTATGAAGAGGTGGAGGTCAGAGGATTTCCAATTATTGATATTGCACTGTAGGGAGATGGATTGAGTTTTGTGGTGTAGATTAGATATAACTAAGTCTTGAAGAGTTTAGTTAGCTGGGAAGGAGCTACAGTTTGAGTACATTCATTTTTTAAAGCACTGTACTTTACAAACATGACATCACTGTTATTGCCATTTTGAGATGAAGACAACTAAAGCTCAGAGAGATGAAACAATTTCCCCAAAGTCACAAAGCTAGTAAGTGCCCAAACAGAGATGCAAATTCCAAGTCTAACTAACTCCAAAGCCTACATAAGAGCTAACCAAGGCAGTCTTTCATATATCACCTTTACAACTTTTGCCAGACTATGTACCATCTGGGCTTTAATCTACTTAACATGATTCTCTAAATTGATGGATTTATACTTCAAAATGTTTATTTAAAATGGTACATATACACCATGGAATACTATGTAGCCATAAAAAAGAATGAGATCATGTCCTTTGCAGGGTCATGGTTGGAGCTGGAGGCCATTACCCTTAGCAAACTAACGCAGGAACAGAAAAACAAATACTGCACGTTCTTACTTATAAGTGGGAGCTAAGTGAAGAGAACATATGAATACATAGAGGGGAACAACACACACTGGGGCCTATGGGAGGGTGGAGGGTGGGAGGAGGGAGAGGATCAGGAAAAACAACTAATGAGTACTAGGCTTAATACCTGATGAAATAATCTGTACAACTAAGTGCCATGACACAAGTTTGCCTATGTAACAAACCTCCACGTGTGCCCCGGAACTTAAAATAAAAGTTAAAAAAAATGAAAATTTTATAATGCTATTTTATTTTAATTATTTTTTTGAAACAGGGTCTCGTTCTGTTGCCCAGGCTGGAGTGCAGTGGTGTGATCTCAGCTTACCGCAACCTCCACCTCCTGGGCTCAAGTGATCCTCCTACCTCAGCCTTCTGAGTAGCTGGAACTACAAGACACACGCCACCACATCTGGATAATTTCTTATACATTTTATAGAGACGGAGTTTTGCCATGTTGCCAGGCTGGTCTCAAAATCCTGGGCTCAAGCAATTCACCCACCTCAGCCACACAAAGTGCTGAAACTATAGGCGTGAACCTCTGTGCCAAGCCTTCTAATACTATTATTAATGGAAAATAACTGTAAGTGGCATAAGCAGAAGGCAACTGTAAAAGTAAAAGTAAATTTAGTCTAGCTAAATACTGTTGCTTACCAAAGCTCTGATCCTGGGGCCGGCCTTTTCCTTGTAAAGAGAGCTCCGAGAAGCAGAGAGGTATTAGTGAACTTCTTGCACCCAAATGAGGCTTTTCTCTTGATGTAAACATAAGGACTGGAAGAGAACTATAAAGGGAATTCTATTCTTGTCGTATGATACCGTCCTATTTGATGCCATGTGGTGTGCCACCTGTATTCACTGTGTCTTCCACCTGTGGCATGCTGGCCTTGTTTTGGGAAAGCATGTTCCCATTGGCTGAGCATTTTCTGTGAGCTGGACCAAGAGAAGATGGAAGGGAGTGATTGGATCTAATCATTTTTTTCAAACCAAAATTCAACTTGAAGGAAACTAGATGCCTGTTTCCATGCATGGCTCAATTAAATTTTATATATAACAAATATGAGATCAAACTCAAAATTAAGCATAGAGCTAAAAATCTTACACAATGTTGATGTCTAACAGCATTCAAACATGTTGGCTCTAGGAACTACTGGATATTGTTTACCAGGCTTCCTGGATAAACTATGGGATATCATTGTACAAGCCACAGCAGGCCTCTCCCTCTTGCAAAACTTTGCCTTGGAGAAGACCGGCTGGAAGTTCTTAGTGCCTTGCCTACTCCTGGGCAAACCCCAATGGCCATATGAGGCCCCAAAGTTATTTCTTAGCATAATTTTATCCTGGGCTTCTCCTTACTTCTATTTAAAAACACAGAACAACAGCATGGCTATTACAGTACCAAGATCATCACCATAAAATACTAAAACCCAACTCCATGTGTCAAACAGAATGATCAAAAGATATTTGTGCATTCTTATTTCAAAGATATTTTATTTCCTAATCTTCTATAATTTGACTCACTAGTATGCTTATTAGCGTATATAAACTTTTGCAAAAATTCAACCAGTATCCTGGCTTTTTTTATAGCATGTACTCTGTCTGCCCAGAAAAAACCCACATTCATGCATTCAAGCCTACTATGTAGTACACACACACACACACAATTAGTTGTTTGTTTTTAAAAAACTGAATTTCAGTAGCAGAGAGGGTAAGGGATCCTAAGTGGCAAATATATAGAAACTGAAAGAAATGCAAATTCAGATTCATGTCAGGAAACAGATTTTCAAATGGTGATAACATTGTACACAAGACTGTTTAAGAAAATGCACCAGACTCATTGCAAAAAAAAAAAAAAGGCTGTTTAAATGTCATCTTGGGAGGAACACAGTATTAACTGGCAAAGCAGGGTGATAACCTACAGGCCCTCTACATGTTCCAAATATTTAGACTTCTGAGGAAATACATGTTTATTTTAGAATTAGGAAAGCATACTACTTATCTCTTAAAATTTTCAGGAACCAGCAACTGGTTTAATTATTAGCAGAGTTCCTTGGCCAAACTATTGCTTCCAAAAAAGGTGATATCCTCACATATTAAACATTCCTTTTTGCAATCCTAAGGCCTGGCACAGTGACTGGCACAAAAACACTGCTAAATGAAAACCATGATGGGTAAATTAGTATATAGGTGAGATCTTGCTCTTAAATACAATATAATGTGGCCAGAATTTGGAAATGTGAAGAGAGAGTTGATGTGAATACCAATTGTTTCACCTTCCTCTAGCAGAGTACCAATGTAACACTCATGATACTTTCTCAAATATTTCCAATAGCATAGCCTACACTTTCTTAGTTGACACAATTGTTTGTTCTAATTTTCTAAAGGTACATTTTTATGTAAAAGGAAAAGCATAGGCATGAAACAATATTCCACTACACACTTGTGGTTCAGTAATCATTTTGCTGTTTTAGTGAAATATCCTCAGAGCAACTGAAAATGCTAAATATAAAGGAATGAAAACAGAAACAAGGATAATAAGCAATTTCTATTTCTACTGAAATCTGAAAATATAGAATTTCTGTTTTTAATTTGAAGTCTAGAAATAAAACCAAAATATATCTTTTCTATAGCTGAGTCTAAAAACCAAGTTTTCTTTGTAAAATAAATAGGAAAACTTTTTTTTTAATAAGGAAAAGCATTATTCTCCAGGTTATACCATTTTAATACATCTGACCCCAATTTTTAGATCTTGGTTTCTGGAACCTGAAGCAACTGGTTCTCTGCTGATTGCTAATTTGAGGGAGGAAAATGATCAGGAAGGAGGTAAAATCTAAGTCAGAGCTCGGCCTTCTGGATCTGAGAGGAAATGCATAAACCAGGCAAGTGCGGAGCCCACATTAGGAAACTCCCAAGGGGGATGGTGATGTTCTGTAGTTAAAACTTAAAGTCTTCTCAATTAGAGAATTGAGAGATAGCTTCTCAATTAGAAACACCTCAGTTCTAAGAAGATGCTGTCTTTTATTCCTGAACTTGACTGCATAAAAGCAAATGCTCCCTATTTCTCCAGTTCACAAGCCTTCTTCAAATGCAAAGCCTGGGTTAAGCACCAAAGAGCAATGTTTCTCAAACTTTAGAGTGAATACAAATCCCAGAGAGCTGGTTAAAATGCAGATTTTGATTCACTAGGTCCGGGGTGATGCCCATGATTTGTATTTCTTTATTTTTATTTTTTATTTTTGAGATGAAGTCTCGCTGTGTTGCCCAGGCTGGAGTGCAATGGTGCCATCTTGGCTCACTGCAACCTCCACCTCCCGGGTTCAAGCAATTCTCCTGCCTCAGCCTCCCAAGTAGCTAGGATTACAGGTGCACACCACCATGCCTGGCTAGTTTTTCTATTTTTACTAGAGACGGAGTTTCACCTTATTGGTCAGGCTGGTCTCAAACTCCTGACCTCAGGTGATCCACCTGCCTCGGGCTCCCAAAGTGCTGGGATTACAGGCATGAGCCACCGCACCTGGCCCATGATTTGTATTTCTAACAAGCTCCAAGGTGGTGTGGATGCTACTGATTTGTGGACCACACTTACTACCAAGGACATAGAGAATACACACCTGTGGCTTCCTTGACTTTACCATCTGGTGGGGAAAGTCTATAAGTAAATATGTAACCATTGCAGTTTGACTGCACACTTTTCCTACTTACTGATTATCTAATATGGCTGTACTATAATTTTATTTTATTTCTGCATGAAAACTTCTTTTCATGAATATATTGAAACATAATTGTATAAAATCATACAGAAAAAGAAGAAAAGACATATCTGTTATGAAGTTTTACTTTAAAAAAGAAATCAATTATGAGAAAACAAAAATTACACATTACAATTTCTTGACTGAAATAAATGCAAGTGTTTCATTAAATAAAGAGAAAATCAACTCCCCCTACAAACATCCAATTATTCAATTAAACTTTCTTGGGTAAAGTCAACATCAACCAGTAATGTTGATTTTATACCTATTTCTACCTCCTGTTTTAAAGAATCAGCTATCAAAAGATAAGAGTTTCCTACTTATTCCATAAATATTTACTGAGCATCAACTATATATTAGGCACTGGGCTGGGTACAGAGGATAGCGAGTTAATGAATGAGGGAAGCCAAACAAGAAACAAGTAAGCAATGAATTGGTAATAGTTAGAAAACTAAGTGATCAAGATGAAGAACCAGCCTCCAAGATAGCCTACAATGATCCCCATCTCCCAGTATTCATTTCCTTGTACAGACCTCTTCCAAGCTAAATAGGACTGACCTGTGTAACCAATAGGATACTGCATAAATGACAGTGCGTGACTTCTGAGGCTAGGTCATAAAAGACATTGTAGCTCTGCCTTGCTCTCTTGGCTCTTTTGCTCTGAGGGAAGCCAGCTGCCCTGTCATGACGGTATGCATGCAGCCCCATGGAGAGGCCCACATCATGAGGAACTAACCAAGCACTAACTTGCCTGGTGTTTCAATAGGCCACTTTGGAGGCAGATTCTCCAGCCTTGGTCAGGCCTTCAGATGACTGCAGCCCTGGCTGATGACTTGACTGCCACCTCATGAGAGACCTTGAGCCAGAACCACCCAGCCAAGCCACTCCTGGATTCCTGATCCACAGAAACTAGGTGAGACAATAAATGTTTATTGTTTAAAGCCACTAAGGTTTGGGGTAATTTGCTGTGCTGTAATAGGTAACTAATACAGAAGAGAGGTGGGTGAGAAGGTGAGAACACACCTACTTAAACAGGTGGTCAGGAAAGGCTTCTTTGAGAAAAAGACATTTAAGCTGAGAATGGATAAAATGGAGCCAGCTCTGGGGTGGAAGGTGGTGGCAGTGGTGGTAGGAAGAACAGCATTCCCAAACAAGAAAGCTGAATGGCAGAGGGAAGATCCGGAGTTGTATATGGGACAGTGTGGCCAGAGCAAATTCCTGCAGGGAAATGGGAAAGATGAGGTCACAGAGGCGGTCTTAGCCATATCAGGTATGACTTCTTGTGAAAAGTTTAAATTATATTCTTAACACATTGGGAATCCTTTCATGAATCTTTAGAAGACTAATGCAATTCTCTCTGTTTCAAAAATCTCACGTGGGCCTGGAGCAGTAATGCACAACTGCAGTCTCAGCTACTCAGGAGGCTGAAGCAGGAGGATCACTCAAGCCCAGGAGTTCTAGGTTGTACTGCACTATGATCATACCTCTGAATAGCCAGTGCACTCCATCCTGGGCACCATATCGAGACAATGTCTCTAATAAATAATCTCACTTGGGCTGTAGTGTGGAAAGGACCACTAATGCCTGGCTTACTATCTACTTTTCAGTTATTTAGAGGCTCAGAGAAGAATGACCAGGAAAGATTTGAAAGTATTAGGAGTTACATAAATATCTAATTGTTACTAGTATTACTCTTGCTATTATTCCAAACTCAGGCCTGGTATGGCCTCTGCGGTGTTGCAAGGGAGGAAACAAATGGACAGGAGAGAGCAATGAGGATTTTGCTGGTTTCTATAGAACCCCAGAATCCTTTCTGAGGCAGCCTCTGAACCTCACCAAATCCAATTCCAAATTTAGGAAGGAGTTTCTACTTGCTAGGCAAGTAGAACAACATCAAAATGTTGATGAATAACAAACACAAATGCATAGTACAAATATTTACTTTTGGTGTGGGCATGATTTTTAAAAATATATAATTTTTAATTATGCAGATAATATTCACTGTAGAAAAATCCTTGTTTATTACACACATAATATTCATTGCAAAAAATTAAGAAATGTAAATGTGCAAAAGAGAAGAAACTACCAATCACCCAAATTACACAAGATAAACATTGTTTTCATGTTGGTGAGTATCCTTCCAGTATCCCTATGCCCATATGTAAAATATACTGGCTAAACCTAAGATTTTAAAGACTTTTCCTTCTCTATTATAAAAACCATAAATTCTGATGTTAGGCAATTTGAAAGACACAGAAAATATAAAGAAGAAAATAGATGGCATGAATAACACTACCTCTATTTCTTTCTGAGAATCTAAAGGTAGCACTGGCAATCTATCCAAGCCTGCAGCTGTTACTCTGAGCTGACATTTTCTACAAATATTCATTTCCTTAATTTCAGCCTACCTTTTTACCTCATTAGAAAAGGAAAATAAAAGTTGAAGACTGTTCACTTTGTAGGAAGTTTTGGAACTTTTTTTTTTTTTTGGAGACAGGGTCCCCCTCTGTCACCCAGGCTAGAGTGCGGTGGTGCAGTCATAGCTCACTGCAGCCTCAAACTCTTGGGCTTAAGGGATCCTCCCACCCTAGCCTCCCAAGTAGCTGGGACTACAGGCACATGTCACCATGCCCAGCTAATTAAAAAAAAAAAAAATCTCAGTAAAGGCAGGGTCTCACTATGTTGCCCAGGCTGGTCTCAAACTCCTGGGCTCAAGCGATCCTCCTGCCTTGGCCTCTCAAAGTGTCTATATTACAGGCATGAGCCACTGCTTCCAGCCCTGGAACCATTTTTATAACTCACAATGAGATAAGTTAGAGGGGTGGGAAGGAAAGGTGTTGTGTGATAACATTGGGAAAGAATTCCCAGTGTTTCCTTCTTACCACAAACTCTAACCAATCCTAACCCTTTGAAAGATATTATAGGGGCAGCGCTTGAAAAGACAAACTAAATGTTAATGATTCACACAATAAGAGTGCTCAAACTGAATTTTCAACCTCAAAACAAAACCCATCTGGAGAAGTGTACTAAATTCTGATTGTTTTCATTACTCGGGCTTCTCGCAGCACTTTTTTTTTTTTTTTTTTACTGACTTAAATCTAACTTTGAAATAGAAATTCTTCTCATGGACAGTAGCCACTCTTACTTTCATATGGCTTCCTAGACTTCCCTGCAAAGTCTTTTGCTGCTGTTAGGCAATCACGCAGAATCACAAGTGCTGTGGGCTCAGAGAAACTTCAGTCTCGGTGGTAATCTTGACTACTTTATTGAACAACGGAAACTCATTTGCTAAATGGAAAGTATTGTAGCATATGGTGCCATTCCAACCAAGGTTTAATCCATTTGAAAGCAGACTTTCAAGAACATAAACCTATATTTTCCTTCTAAAAAGAGTCACTTTACAGTTGAATTTCACAGAAATTTTAAACCCTTGATCCACAGCCAACACTGACATGGTTTTACTCCTCTAATACAACAGTTACCTTTCTGAATTCACTGGAAACATTTTTAGCCAACAAGGTTTAACAGACACATGATCTTAATGTATCTGAACTCTGGAAAACCAAAAGCTGGGAATCTGGACCATACTGTAAAAAGTAATCTGAGATGCCAGTGAGTGTGGAGTAAGGGGCAGAGAGGCATTAAGCAAACACACGAATTAGGGTTTTATTTATATCTTTGATTATAAATTAGATGTTTTGTCTAGATTAAAGCCATTAATATGCACAGGTATGAAAAATGTGTTTGAATGTGATATGGTCTGAATTTTTCACATTTAAGTATGAATCAAGACAACACAAGAATAATATGGGATACACAGAAGAACCAAGACAGAACCAAGGCTACCTGGTTAAAGGTTATTTCCGGTTCCACAGCAAAAGAAAAGTTAGGACACATAACATAAATCATTACATACTATTTATGTATCATTTGGGTGCTGTCTTAGTCCACTTGTGCTACTATAACAAAATACCTGAGACTGGATAATTTATAAAGAACAGAATTTTACTCTCACAGTTCTGGAGGCTGGGAAGTCCAAGATCAAGGTGCCAAGATCTTCCAGATGGTGCCCTCTTGCTGTATACTCTGGAGAGGCCAAATGCTGTGTCTTCATATAGCAGAAGAGATGGAAGGCCAAAAGGCCTAAGCTAGTTCCCTTTAGCTCATTTATAAGGAATCCTCATTACTTTATCACTTACCAAAAGGCCCTACCTCTTAATTAGCACCACGATGGGGGTTAAGTTTCAATGCGAATTTTGGAGGGGACATATTCAACCCATAGCAAGTGCTATATGAAGTTTATAATGAATTTTCAATAGTTCTCACTACACTATATGGATTCAGTCATTCTTAACACTCTCTGTGTTATCTTCATAATCTTCTATGGTAATGAATATATTCCAGTATTATGTTAAACATAAAATGGCTGAATTAAGGTAGATTATATTCAACTATTTAGAATCAAGATTCTGTACATGATCCCTTATTTCAGATTCTGTCAATAAGGTCTTTTTCTATAATGAAATAAAAATTTTATTCCCCTAAAATATCTCTTAAAGAGAGTGCAGCATTTCCTTGCAAGGAATGCTTTTATAATTCACATATGGTAAAAGCATAAGATGCTAATGTCATGTTTGGCAACAAAAATGGTTCCTAAATTTCAACATATAATATTAGGAGAGAAATTTGCATCCCTCCAACAAAAAAGAAGGAAGCAGACAAGAGTAAGTAAGCAGCGGCATTGCTTGGGAGAGGGGTGTGAAGGTACGGAGAAAAGCTTCAGATCTGGGATAAAGGAGGATCTCTAGAGGACAGAAGTATCAAATAGAAACTCCTAAGCTGTTTGCTTGAAAAGATAGGTATGTGTGTGTTGGGGGGTGGGATTTACATTTAACATAAATCTCAGCTGGGCGCAGTGGCTCACGTCTGTAATCCCAGCACTTCGGGAGGCCGAGGCAGGCAGATCACCTGAGGTCAGGAGTTCGAGAGCAGACTGACCAACATGGTGAAACACTGTCTCTACTAAAAATAAAAAATTTGCCGGGTGTGGTGGTGTGAGCCTGTAGTCCCAGCTACTCGGGAGGCTGAGGCAGAAGAATCGCTTGAACCCAGGAGGCAGAGGTTGCAGTGAGCCGAGGTCGTGCTACTGTACTCCAGCCTGGGTGACAGAGTAAGACTCAGTCTCAAAAAAAAAAAAAAAAATATATATATATATATATATATATAAAAATCTCATCCTCTATGTACTCTTTCCTTACTAAGATATTGCCTACCAATTCTTTTGTGATCATAGATTCATCACTAAGTTCCAAGTCTGGGTTGCAATGAGGAGAAAACAGAGCTGGAATTAACAGAAACAAAAACTGAAGGACAAAGAGCAGCTGACATTTGGGCTTTTTAAGTAATAATTATTAGGTTGGTGCAAAAGCAATCGTAGTTTTTGCCATTAAAAGTAATGGCAAAAAGCACAATTACTTTTGCACCAACCTAACATTATTATACCTCAGTGTGGAAAATATGAGGAATATTTAGGAAAAACATTAGGAATACCTAATAGTATTATTCCTCAGTATGAAAAATAAATCTGACACATATAAACATGAAATAAGATGTAACAACTAACAAATGATTATTCTTCTCAATACAAGTATAATTGACACCATAATTCACAGATCTACTAATCCTTTTCTGCCTTTGTACCTGGCAACATTCACTTCTTGAGCTAATGTAAATGCCAGTCTTATAAATACGACTTACCTCTCCCCTGAGAGAAATAAATGACATAGTAAGTGTTAGATTAGAAAGGAAGAGGTGGAGAGGGTTAGGTTTGAAGAGGGACTGGCCATCTGAGAATTAAATGAGATGATGCTGGCAAAGCGCTTCTACTGATATCCTACATGTACTAAACACTTAGCAAACGTGACCAGTTATTCATAGGAATAATCGTAGGAACACATTAATTCCTTCTGCCTGCTTCTGTCTCTAGGGAAAGGTTTTGCCCTGATCCATGACAGAGACTATTACCTAAAAGATACAAGTGGGACAGGGCTAGGGAAGAGATTATCCCTCTGCCCCAGAAGAATCTACTGAGAAGTTAATGTGGGATCCACCTCTCTTACTACTAATGGTTTTCCTCTTCACTTTTAAGTCTAGCTGAAAACAACCTCCAGCATTCTCGGCAATTAGGATGAAGTCTCTGGGTTTCAAATGCATCTCTGATAGATGCCTCTAACTGCATCAACGTGGCAGATGCATTTCTCTCAGCATTTAATGCTAATCCTCCTTGTTGTCTAAGGATAAATAACTGCACAATCGTGTCAGGAGGCCCCAACATAAATTCACCAGGGGTTTTAATTACTCTCCAGTGACAATATCTCATACAAAATCAGAGAAGTGAAAATCCAGTCAGTGTGTGTACATGTGTGTTTATGTCCCAGGCTATCCCCAGAACAGTCTGGGGATCATCATTTCTGTTCCAATAGAGGAATAAGACCAGGAACCCATGTCCAGTTCAGATGTGTGAGACAGCACTGCACCCTGTCGAATGGGTCCGAAGAACAAATGATTTCCCAATGACACTGCCTGCAGCATCCCTCCTTCCCTTGGGGGCACATAAATGAGTAGCTACAAACTCAAGCTGTGGAGTCAAACAAACCTGGGTTCACATCTCAGCCTGCTACATGCTCACTTTTTCATGCCAGGCAACCTCTGTAATCCTCAAATTTCTCACGGGTAAATGGGGATCATACCTATATATGCAGCATAAAGTTGTGAGGATTAAGCAAGATAATCTATGCAAAACAAGTGACACAATATGTAGTGTACGGTAAATCCCCAATGAATATTAGCAACACCAAAAGAAATGCAGAGGGAGTTCCTGTCCCTTTGTTGCAGAGGACATGTTGCTATGAGGGTCCAGGTGTTCTTCCTCCCACCCAGGCCTCTAGTTGGGTGAATTGGAAGAAGAGCATCTTATCTCCCACCTGGGCCTAAGAGTAAAGATGGTGAATAAACTATATATATACACACACACACACACACAGAAACATATATCCACACATACATATATACACACATACATATATACATATATGTATACACACATGCATATATACGTATACACACACATATATAAACACAACTGCTGTAGATCTCACAAATGAAAATGCTAATGTCTGCAAGTTCATTCTATACATAACTTTTATAAATCCAGAAAGCCATACAAACTAGTTTCAGAGGATTATCTCTTTCAAAGAAACAGTCCAACAACCAAAAGTAATTAATAATAGATACAATTCTTTATTTAAGGTCTCATACTTCATCAAATAATCTACTGGCATACTTTTTAATGTCCCTTTGCTTTCTCCTCTTGAAATCCATTATACTATCCAACTGCAATGGAACTTCTCTCCTCCCTACCCCATCCACTCACCTCCAGTCCATCCCTTTAGTGTATATAGATCAGCTTAGCCTCTCCTCCAGAAAGCAGGGCTCCCTTCTACTTAGAAGAGGGGCAGGAGAGGAAAACTGAGTGATCTAAAACATAACTGTCCTTGGTGATCATGAAGAAGGGGGCAGCAGTGCAGTCATCTAAGTGACTTTTGCCTCTGTCAAACTAAATTTGGCCTGAATTACATAAGGACAGTTGAGTCCTCATGTAATTAATTGCAGTCTAACTTAGCACATAAACTAACTGAAAGCCTAACTTAGGAGTATAGTTTTGTAACAAATAGCTGAGTCTCAGTCAATCACAGGCAGCCAGCTGATCAGACCATATTCAAATAAGGCAAATGCCAAGCTGTAATCAATCAAGTTTCTGTACCTGACTTTTGTCCTGTCCATAAATGCTGCCGCCCATGTAATGGAGCAGAGCTCTCTGAACCGCTTCTGGTTCTGAGAGCTGAGTGATTCCTGAATCATTCTTTGCTCAGTTAAACTCTGTGAAATTTAATTTGTCTAAACTTATTCTTTTAATACCTCTGCACATACAAAATACAAGAATACATTCCTGTACCTTTTTTCTCCCTCATTCTTAATTCATGACTTTATTTTCAAATACAAAGATGCAAAGATAGAAAACCTTACTACCCCAAAGTAGGAAGTATGTTTCCTATCTCTCCTTTGCCTTTTCTTCAAAAACGCAAAAAGTCATTAAGATGTTAATGCTGAGATAAGTCATTGGAAGAAGGATGGAAAAGAAACTACAAGAAATGATAGACATGGTGCTGCCAAGCAGCTACTCTGTTTTTATAAAATACTTCAGACATAAATGGCATTTGTATTCTGTGACGAAAACCCCTCTTCCCCTCCCCTACACAAAAGGAAAGGCAAAGAAATGCAAAGGAAGTGGTAATTGCCAGGTGTCTAGATATGGGACCACTGCCCTCTAGTGTACTTGAAATTTTTCTAAATCCCTTTATCAGAGATCTTTACCTGAAAGATAGTAGGAAACAGAATAAAACATGAACCTCTGTTGAACTATCCAATAGAATCATTTTAAAAAATACTGTCAATTATTAGGAGAGTGATATGACGGCTTCCTACCACCTCACTATCTGTTGGTGCCAACACTTTCTTCAGGTCCTACACATGGACCTGAACAAGGTTTCAGTCCAACAGATTGCCAAAGGGCAGAAGAAATATTAAAAGTATTTCACAACTAGTGTGGCATACGCACTAGCTAACCAGAACAGATGCCCGGAAGATGCCAGCTGGCAGCAATTCTGCCTCTTCCCTTTGCAGGGCCAGCATTAACCCCTTAGATGCTGAACTGTGGAGAGGTTCTGGGTTCCTGGCAGAGGGACTAGGTAGCCAAGAGAGTAGGGGGTCTGGGACAAAAGCATGTCAATATTTCAACGATCTGTACTGTGGTGTTCTGGCTGAACATTCACTCTGCTAAGAGGATTAGAAGACATCAGAAAAATAAGCCAGTACCGCTGAGCAGAGCAGAAGAGTGACTCAGCGTCCACTAGCAAAGATCTGAAGTAGCTCTTCCTCCCAGCAGCTGTTCCTTCTCTTGCCAATAACCAGGGACATCCTCTAGACCAGGACAGGGGTATAGTAGTGTTAGTAGCGGATGTCAGGAAATCTACCCTACAGTCTTGGTTCTACTACTTTTGTGTGTCCTTAGGTGGATATTTTGATCTGGGCCTCCATATCCCTGTTTTTAAAATAAAAAGGTTAGACTGAAGTTTTTCAAGGATCCTTCTCTCTGTAGGTAGAAATTATTATTTTTTTCATGATCTGCTTTTTTGTTTGTTTTGTTTTGTTTTGTTTTGTTTTGTTTTGTTTTTGAGATGGAGTTTCACTCTATTGCCCAGGCTGGAGTACAGTGGTGCCATCTTGGCTCACTGCAACCTCTGCCTCCTGGGTTCAAGCGATTCTCCTTGCCTCAGCTTCCCGAGTAGCTTCGAGTACAGGCACCCGCCACCACAACCCGGCTAATTTTTGTATTATTAGTAGAGACGGGGTTTCACCATGTTAACCAGGCCGGTCTTGAACTCCTGACCTCAGGTGATCCGCCCACCTCGGCCTCCCAAAGTGTGGGATTACAGGTGTGAGCCACTGCCTCTGACTATGATCTGGTATTTCCAAGTGAATTCTACATACAAGATCATTCAGCATAATTTTTAATGACAATACCACCTTGAGAACTCCTGATGACAACAACGTCATCTTGAGACAGCTCTTAGACTATAAAAAAGTGATCAGTAAATATTTCGAAATCTCCTTGAAAGATCTCATTTCTTTAGAATTTTTTTAGTTTCTATTTCCAAATACTACCCCAAATGTAGCCACTTGTAAGTAACTTTCTTTTTTGATGTTTCCTTTATTTTTTGAGACAATGTCTTGCTATGTTGCCCAGGCTAGGGTGCAGGCATGATCATAGCGCACTGCAGCCTCCAACTTCTGGCCTTAAGCAATCCTCCCACCTCAGCCGCCCAAGCAGTTGGAACTAGAGGTGTGTGCCACCATCCCTGGCTATAAATAAGTATTTTCCTAAGATTTACTTAATTCTTTGAGTTAACTGGCAAGATAATAAAGGTGATTTAAAGAAGGATAGAAGAGGCCAGGGACAGTGACTTACGCCTATAATCCCAGCACTTTGGGAGTCTGAGGTGGGAAGACTGCTTGAGCCCAAGAGGTCAAGACTGCAGTAAGCCAGTGCATTCCAGCATGGGTGACAGAATGAGAACCTGTCTCCAAAAAAAAAAAAAAAAAAAGGAATAGAAGAAACTAGTACATATAAATCCAGTAGAAAAAAATAATGCTGGCATAGGACTGCAAAGTTAGTTACAAAATGGTTGCCGTTTTACTAGGGCCAATAAAATATAACATTTGGGGTTACCTTCCATGCTGGGCAAAAGTAGTTTGTATCTCTACCAAACAAAAGTCATCAGTAACTTACCGATCTTCTGCAAATTAACATCCAAATTTTACAGATTCTAGACTTCAATTAATAGCAAATAGCCAAACAAAGCTACACCTCCTGAAATATCAGCTGATTCTTAGAGGATCTAATACGACTTTGAAAGAGCACCCAGTAATCTTTTTGCTTTATTTCAAAATTTCTGAAAACTCTTCTTAAGAATTTTCAAATCCCTTGACCCTGAAACATCAAGGTAGCAGATCTCAATAAGAGGGAGAATAATAAGGACTGTGGGAACTGAAAAGTGTAAAAACAAACAAAAAAACTCCTCGGTATTTTATGGTTGATATGAAAAAAGGGGGAAACAAACCAAAAACTAATGTGAAACACAAGAAGCTGATCAAGTGTTTAAACCAAAAAGAAGACCTCTGTCTCTCTCACCACTACTACACCAACTCTTATTCACACACCTTTTAAAGATGTTTCTGTATTGGATGAAACGTGTGGATGTGCAGTATTCTCCAAAGTAACCAATAATGTTGTATCAAGTTTCAGTTAATAACGACTATATTAATAATTTTGATCATATAGCAAATGAGCATGATAATACACAGTTTTAATTCGATTTTCAATTCACAGGTGTTAAACCAGCCTAAAGTAAAAAGGCTGCTTGGAGTTTTTGACTGTTGGATACACAGAGGAGCAAAACTTGCTATGTCAGTTTTTTAATTCGCATGATTTTATTTGCACAACTCATGACTTTTTTTCTCCTTTAAAAATGTAAATTACTTTTGCAAAAAAGCATTAAACACAAAATTAAGTCTTAAAATGGGCAAAGTTGAAGCCAAGTCATCCAAAGGAAAAGACAGCCTTGAGCAGCAGGGTGCAGAATACAGACATTACCATCTTCATCTGCATAGAAATGAGTCTGACTGTGTTTACAGCTTCATCATTTGAAATGTTACAGAAAAACTCATGAAACAGTGCACTTCCCCACAGATAGCTGGTATGTTAGATAACTAAATGCACAAAAACAAAATGTCTTTGCTTCATATATATTTATATATATATGTATATATGTATATATGTACATATATGTATATATGTATATATGTATATATGTACATATATGTATATATGTATTCACATATACATGTATTTATATATCTATATAAATACATTATAAATTTATATATCTATTTGAGGGAAGACAAGGAGACAAATGATTACTTTTACTTTTCATCAACTTTCTGTTATGCACATGGCTTCTTTTATAGTATAATTAATTTTAGTGTACATCAATTAATACTTTTATTAATAAAAATAAAGCTAATAATACTTTAAAAACCAAGTAGTATAGCTGACAGAATCTATCTAGACATTGCTATTTCATTCAGAAATTTATCTCTGCTGTATATAGAAAGTGAAACTTCTGTTATGTTTTATGTTTTAGAATATTTATATATATTATATATATATTATATACACTTTTTGGGGGGATAGGGTCTAGTTCTGTTGCCCAGGCTGGAATGCAGTGGCGTGATCTTGGCTCACTGTAACTTTCACCTCCCGAGCTCAAGTGATCCTCCCACTTCAGCCTCCCAAGTAGCTGGGACCACAGATATGTGCCACCACGCCCAGCTAATATTTGTATTTTTTGTAGAGACATGGTTTCACCATGTTGCCCAGGATGGTCAGACTCCCGGGTTCACGCGATCTGCCCACCTTGGCCTCCCAAAGTGCTGGGATTACAGGCATAAGCCACCATGCCCGGCTGTATTACATATATATTTACAATACACATTTTTAAAAAATCAGTCTCAATCACTTGGAAGTGACAATTCAAGGTTCTGATTTCTGATTTTTTTTTTTTTTTTTTGAGATGCAGTCTCGCTCTGTCGCCCAGGCTGGAGTGCAGTGGCGTGATCTCAGCTCACTGCAACCTCCGCCTCCCGGGTTCAAGTAATTCTCTGGTCTCATCCTCCTGAGTAGCTGGGATTACAGGCACGCACCACCACACCCGGCTAATTTTTGTATTTTTAGTAGAGATGTGGTTTTACCATGTTGGCCAGGCTGGTCTTGAACTCCTGACCTTAGGTGATCTGCCTGTCTCGGCCTCCCAAAGTGCTGGCATTACAGGCGTGAGCCACCGTGCCCAGCCAATGTTCTGAATTTTAAAAAAATCAACCCTATATTCTAGGCCATTCCTTAGCCCTTTTCTCAAAATTCCAATATTTTATTTGTCCTATCCCAATTCCCTGAAAATCTAAAGGGTGACAAGCATGCTCTATGCTGAAGAATTTTTTGTTCTTTGACTCTGAACAATGCCCAGAAGAGGGTGCTCATAGAACAATCAGCCTTGCTTTAACCGCAAAGCTAGCACACATCCTCTAGATCAAAGTTTGGTAACCCCAAATTTGGCAAGTACCATAATGATTGTAGTGTGTTAAGACTGCAGAAGGAGAAATGAAAAGTTCCCTATATTAAAAGCAATTCAAGAATACATTTTAAAAAGTTGGTGAAGACCTTTTAAATGAGGGAAGACAGAGACAAATGATTACTTTTACTTCTCATCAACTTTCTGTTGTCCACATGGCTTCTCTTCTAGTATAATTAATTTTAATGTACATCAATTAATACTTTTATTAATAAAAAATAAAACCTATAATTAATACTTTAAAAACCAAGTAGTATAGCTCACAGAATTTATCTAGACATTGCTATTTCATTCAGGAATTTATCTCTGCTGTATCTAGAAAATGAAACTTCTGTTACGTTTTATGTTTTAGAATACTTACATATGTTACTACTCAGAATCCATAACATTATAATTTATACTAGCATTATTTCCTGGTAATACAAATCTTTGTAGAAAAAATCTATCAGAAAACAGGCAGTACATCTTTCCCACTGCATACCCTCTTTACCAGACTCTTAAAATATCTCATATTGCTTTACCCATAGTTTTATGAATAGGGCTTAGATTACACTGAGTTTTGCTGCTGCTTTGTGGTGACTTGGTACTAAATTCAGCTAAGCTGGAACCACATTCCCCAGAGTTCTCTTTCTTGTATGGTTCTGTATGGCCATGAGAGACATTCTGTGTGAAATCCAGAAGGAAGAAGTAAAGAAGTCATACTTTTTATGCTCTGAAACTTGGTACAGAGTTACTGTCGTAGTCTGTTTTGTGCTGCTATCACAGAATATCTGAAACCGGGTAATTTATAATGAATAGAAATTTATTGGCTTATAGTTCTGGAGGCTGGGAAGCCCAATATTAAGGTGCTGGCATCTGTCAGGTGACTTCTTACTGTGTTATCACATGGTGAAAGAGTGCAAGGGCAAGGAGAAGGTGAGAGAAAAAGAAAGAGAGAGAGACAGGGAGTGGGAGAGAGAGAGAGGAACCTGTCCTTTTAAAATGGCACCAATCCCACCCATGAGGGTGGAGCCATCATGGCCTAATCACCTCTTAATTGTCCCACCTCTTAATACTGTTATAATGGCAAAAAAATTTCCATATGAATTTTGGAGGGGAAAACAAACCATAGCAGGCACTATGCACCTTGTCCACTTGCACACATTATTGCTAATCTGCTGCTTAACTACTTGGTGTACCAGGCTTGCAGTAATTCTAATTCACTAAATCTCCTCCTTCAGCTTCTCTGAGTCCTGGGCCAAGTGTGTGTGCAGGAGACACACTGCAGGAGATAGTGCCAGTTTCTCCTGCAGGTCACCCGCAGCATCAAGGTTGGACATGGTAAGACACAGAAGAGGGTTCCAGTTTGTCCTCAATGGTCCCATTGGTCCTCATGAGTTCTGGTTTGTCCCTACTCTCCTATACATCTAGCTTTCCCTCTTAACAGCTGATCTGACAAACCTATAGTAACTTCAGGCTCAGCACTAGACACAGAACCAATAGTCTTCATAGATTGCATCACCAGCTCTCACATTTGTGTAAGGTCTAGCCCTTAGGATAATAAATCTCTTATTCTGTATAATGTGTGGCCATTTTGCTACTTCGATAAAACCATGGCTGCTGTAAGTATCTGTGTACAACACTGTCTTGTTGCCTTTGCATTGTGAACGGTATGTTAAGCCTCATGGTATCCACTGTCTTAGGTAGAAGGAGAAGACTGGTGATTGGTGGTAGAAGAAAAGGAAGAGATGCTTAGAAAGGTAAAAAGCTTATGTAGGAATCTCTCAGGAAATCCTCAATGCTAAAAATGTCTGTGCTAGTTATCATTTGTTGCTTCTCATCTCCAAATCCAGCTTTCTTTGTCCTGTTTTGTGGTCTTGGAGCTGGACCATGTAAACATTTCTCCTTTGTCAATAGAGGGTGCTGGAGGGACACTGTAGGAAGAAGGGAACTCAGCTTGACTCTCGTGGCTTGACTGCTGTGCTCTCCCCTGCTAGCTCTTGTGGTGGGTAGGCGCCAGCAGCATAGGACATCTAGTGACTCACCCTATTAAGTTTTAGTGGCAGTATTTGGGGGACTTTTCAGTGGGTTTGCCACCACTCCAGCAGGCAGCTTCCCAGTGAATCCCTCTGGCACCTCGGAGGACACCTCAGTGATACCTGATGAGTCTTGCAGATGCCCCAATGGGTGGTATACCAGGAGGCTGGACGAAGGTTCAGAAGTTTGGTTTCCTGCTTGCCAGCCCTGGCCTGCAACATCTCAGGGAAATTCTCTGCAATTCAGTGGGCTGCAGACTTTCTTTGAAAGGGGTCTGAATCAGCCCTGGGTGAGGGGAGGGCCCTCTTCCAAATTTGTTCCTTCTTTGGTACTCTTTCCTTGGGAACAGCCTTAGGGGTAGTGGCTGTTCTTCGTATGTGCTATTCCTGTGTTCAGTACGGTTTTCTTTACCCTTAGTAGGTAATCCTCTGCTACTAGTTAATAATCATTTATATTAAACTTTCCCTGTGTGAATTACTGTGTGCTTTCTGTCTCCTAACTAGACACTGATAAAATGCCTTTTGCTCTTAGTAGCTATTTAAAAGAAAAATAATAAAACTTAATTTTATTAGTTCAAGATTTTTCCTTAGAAGGGACATAAATTACTTTTAATGTGATTATATAAATAAAGGGATTGCCCAAATGTGCAGTTTCAAGAGACTATTTGCTTTCTTTGGCCACCTGGGAAGGGTATTTCTCAAATCGGGCTCTACAGACCCTTCTGAGTAGACCCTGAGTCACTATGGCTATGAAACAAACTACCGCAAACACAATGGTTAAAACAACCATCATGTATCACTCTCACGTATCTGACAGAAGGACTCTAGAGTTGCATGACAAATGGTGAAGACACAGGACAGGATGAAGAACTGGGGCCCAAAATGTACTCTACCACAGGGTCCAAGGGCATTAAAAATGGGTCTGTGAATTCAAATGGTATTTTTAAAGTTTTACTTTTCCATTTGGTGAGGAAATAAATAGTGTAATCATAGTCATAGGACTTCAGTGCCTGCATTTGCATTCATGGTTCAGTTCTTGCCAAGGGATCGCCTTAAGTGAGTGTGCAGAGGAAATGTTAGGCAGTGTTCCCTCATTTCTAAAGCTTAACCAGTAAAGTAAAAAGAGGGTATGTATATGACTGTGGGGTATGTGAGAGCTCTCTGTGCCTTGACTCCCCTGAAGAGCCAACTTAGAGAACCTGGCTGTGGGAACCCCAAGGGCTGAGCTGGCCTCCAATCAGGAGAGACAGGAGAACAGAAATCAGTCCAGGAGGTTACTGGAGAAGCTGGGAACCACAGAGTCATACAGAGATAGGAAACAGCCAACTCCCACAGTTTTCAATAGCAGATTTGCTGCAGAAAACTGGTCGGCCATGAACCTGGAACCCTCCAGAGAAGGTACCATCAAATTTTGATCTCTGTTTAACACTGATTTCTGCTATAACCCATCCTGTTATGGCAATGTCTGTCTTGAGAAAAGGCTGAGCTGATATAGTACAGAGGAGGGTTCAACTTGCTGCAAATTATTTGAAGCAGGCATAGCCTAAGTCCAGGCCTATGCCAGAGAAAGATGACATATTCACTGATAATCGCCTAATCTCCTGAGCACATAGGAGGGCAAGATTAGGATAGTTAGAGTTCTACTCAAACTGTGCAAGAATGTCCTTGAAGTGTGGCCAAGTGACAAACAGTGCAATAACTATGAATGTTTTTACAGATTTTATGAGACATTATCATACCCTAGCAGTGACTGTGCATGTTTATATGTTTTTAATAAATTTTTTATTTTATAATAGTTTTAGGCTAAGGCGGGTGGATCACTTGAGGTCAGGAGTTCGAGACCAGCCTGGCCAACATGGTGAAAACCCTGTCTCTACTAAAAAAAAAAAATACAAAAATTAGCCAGGTGTGGCAGGTACCTGTAATCCCAGCTACTTGAGAGGCTGAGACAGGAGAATTGCTTGAACCTGGAAGGCGGAGGTTGCAGTGAGCCAAGACTGCGCAATTGCACTCCAGCCTGGGCAACAAGAGCGAAACTCCATCTCAAAAAAAAAAACAAATAGTTTTAGACAAAATTTGCAAAGACAGGAGAGAGAGTAATCATATACCCCACAAATAGTTTTTCCTACTTATTAACATCTTACATTATTTTGGTATACTAGTCATAATAAACTGATGTTGACACACTATTATTAACTAAAGTCCATATTTTATCTAGGCTTCCTTAGTGTGTGTGTGTGTGTGTGTGTGTGTGTGTGCGTGCATGTGTGTTTTACTGTAATGTCCTTTTTTTCTGATCCAGGATCCCATTGAGGATATGCATTCCATTTAGTTGTCGTATTTTCTTAGGCTTCTCTTAGCTGGACAGTTTCTCTTTATTAGACTTTCCTTGTTTTTGATAACCTTGACAGTTTTGAGGAGTTTTGGTTACGTATTTTGTAGACTGTCATTTAATTGGGATTTTTCTGATGATTGTATTTTAATTATTGTTGCCATATTTACAATTGCTAGTTCCTTCAAACATCCCACCAAAAGTGTCAGAATTAGAAAGTGTGCCTCAAACACAGAGTTTGAAAACCACTGGTCTACATCAAAGCAGACTGTAAATATGCATAAGTCAAGGTTATTGAGATGCTTAGTCTACCATTTGAACTTCAGTTTCAAAAAGCCAGGTAGGCTTTTAGACCTTTCCCACAGTGGCTGCATAGCAATCTCAATTTGTACTGTCTGCATGTCACCCAAAATGGCCAGGCCATCGGCCACCCGCCTCATTTGGCAGCCCTGACTTAGAAGAGAAGACAATAGCTCTTTGCCCAAAGGTCGCTTTGTAGTGACTCACCTTGAAGGAAAAAGGAAGGTAAATTACACATAATGGCCTTCTAAGTTGTCCCACAGTTTTCAACAGAAAATACTCTTAAAGTATAACCAGAAACAAGAAACCTTCAATGCAATATTTTCCTTTTTGTTTTCCAAATAAGTAAAGTCCAAATTAGGAAACAGAAGCAAGTATATCCTATTAATTTGTAATGTCTAGAACCATAGAAGTAGTCTAGTTATGGAAGAGCTGTTGTGCATCTTCTAGTAATTAAACCTGTGCAAGTTACAGCCTTAATCAAAACACCTTTTAGGAGTCTACTCTGGTCTCCATGAGAGTGAAGTCCCTAAGTGCTGGCAACTTTGGAACACTAAACATTACTGGCAATGCTGGAAATGGTACAATATTTACCGCAATAAAGAAGACAATACCCGATATGTCCCCTGGAGCACAAAATTAAAATATTTGTATTGGAATACAGACAGGCCGAAATATGTATTCCATGAACCAAAAAGTACTCACTGTGTTGGCCAGCTCTAGATAGCTTCCTCCTACAGAGTTGCCAATGTGCGGGGACTGTGTGAGCAGTTTGTGGAGAGCAGCCTGCTGATGCAAAGAGCTTCCGCCATACTCGAGCAGCTTCTGGAGGGCTGACTGGCTCTGCACATCCGGGCTCTGGAGGTCCCTGGCACCAGAGTCGTATTCCCAGCTCTCCCTGGCTGCTGATAAGGCACCTAAGTCCGAGAGAAGCAGAGAAAATGAAAAGACATTTCCTTCATTAGCCTGTGGGTGGCCAATAGGCAATGATTTGGAACCTCCTAAGCCTTCCATGTGCCAGCATCTCAGAACACATGTGATGCCCAGGCTGCATGCTAAGCGCTTTCTCTTTCAAACTGACACATGGGGAGCCTGGAGATAAAAGCAATTTCAGGCAAAGCATTCAAAAACAACTGTCCCATGAATATGTGCTCCCTAAACAGAAATGCTTAGCAAAAAAAGCACTGGAGAGCCAAGTAAAGGGAATCCAGATCAGAGTCACATCTGTGATTTGCACAGGGCTACTACATTAGCCTTAGCACTGGTCATTCTTTCTCCCAACTGAGGAAAAAGGAAGCAAGAAGAATGACAGGAAGTTAACATATGGCACTTTATCATGACTCTCTTTTTCTCCTTCCTTCCTTCCTTTCCTTCCTTCCTTCCTTCCTCTCTGTCTCTCTTTCTTTCTCTGTTTCTTTCTTTCTTTCTTTTTTTGAGGCAGGGTCTTGTTCTGTCATCCAGGTGGGAGTGCAGTGTTGTGATCACGGCTCATTGTAGCCTCAACCTCCTGGGTCAAGTGATCCTCCTGCCTCATTAAAAAAAATTTTTTTTGTAGACCTCATTTCTATACTATGTTGCCCAGGCTGGTCTTGAACTCCTGGGTTCAAGAAATCCTCCTGCCTTGGCCTCCCAAAATGCTAGGATTACAGGTGTGAGCCACTGCAACCGACAGTATCATGACTTTCTACTGTTGATGTACTCTTACCTGAAGGAAGCTAGACTGTATTTTCCAGTTAGGGATAGCAATGAAGCTGAGTTCTGGGCAATAGAATATGAACAGAAATGATAAGCATCACTGCTGGACCTTGCTTATAAAGCCCCACAGTGTGTGATTCTCCATGCCCTTTGCCTTCTGGCCTGGTTCAGATGGGAATGGTACCCTTGGAAACCATGTGGTACAGATGGTGGAGCCACAAGGTAGATGGAAGATGCCTGGATTCCAGAATCATCACTTGCAGAAGAGGTGTCTGCTCATCCTAAGTACCCTATTTTGCCCTAACATGATTAGAAAAGAAAACTTTTTTTTACATGTTTTTTATTTCATAGGTTTTTGGGGAACAGGTGGTGTTTGGTTACATGAATAAGTTCTTTAGTGGTGATTTCTAAGACTTTGGTGCACCCATCACCCGAACAGTGTACGCTGTGCCCAATGTGTAGTCTTTTATCCCTCACCCCCCCACTCACACTTTCCCCCAAGTCCCCAAAGTCCACTGTGTCACTCTTATGCCTTTGAGTCATCATAGCTTAGCTCCCACTTATGAGTGAGAACATATGATGTTTGGTTTTCCATTCCTGAGTTACTTCACTTAGAATAATGGTCTCCAATTCCATCCAGGTTGCTGTGAATGCCATTATTTTGTTCCTTTTTATGGCTGAATAGTATTTCATGATGTATATATACCACATTTTCTTTATCCAGTTATTGATTGATGGGCATTTGGTCTGGTTCCATATTTTTGCAATAGCGAATTGTGCTGGTATAAACATGTATGTGCAAGTATCTTTTTCATATAATGACACTTCCCTCTGGGTAGATAACCAGGAGTGGGATTGCTGGATCAAGTGGTAGATCTACTTTTAGTTCTTTAAGGAACTTCCATTGTTTTTGATTCACTACATACTTTTGGTTTGTTGATTAGAGCAGCTAGTATTACCTTAATTATTACAGACGATTAGAAGGTAATAAAACATGCTAATAGTTATAATACAAATGGGAAAGTGCAATGAAAAAGTAGAACTAAAGGAAGGATATCTAACTCAGTCCATCTGGAGATGAATGGGGAATGTTCAGGGAAAGCTTCCTGGAGGAGAAAGCCTGATGCTTGAGTTGTCACTCTTTCCAGAAAAAAATAGATTTGAGGTAAACCTGTTTCCTTGTGTTGTTCACTTCAGAATGGAAATGTCTTGTGGGTGCATCTGGTTGGTGAAGCCTAGGCTGCATGCCTCTAGCTGCAAGGAAAGCTGGGTAAATGTGTTTTCTGGTTTTACTTTAGAGAGGTAGTATTGATAAGGTGAGACATTTCCTAAACAGAAGGGTGCTCAAAAGGCCTAGGCAGCCACAACACAAACAACGGTCTATGCACAGGACGTGTACTGGGTCCTGGGGATATAGCAGTAAGCATGAGAAATTATAGTCCCTGCCTGCAAAGATCTCATTCTGGTAGGTCTTTAATACATGGCTTTTAATGACAAAAAAAAGGACACAAAATGATCCAGTTTGTACTATGAAATGAGAACATATACAGATTACTCTATAATTTACTTGAGAATAATTACATACAGCAAACTGCAGTTTGTGTACAGTGAGTTCTGATATGAATGTCCAGTCTCCTCTTATCAGGTATTGATGAATTTAATCAATGTGAATAGGAAAACTGTCTTCAGATGGTTTCCCCTTACTGTTCTGGCTCTACTGATCCTCTCCAGTCGGTCTAACCCAACATTCTTTTTATACAGTGCCTTTATAGCTGGGATGCATCAACTGTTTTGTATCAAAGCAGGCAATTCTGTCACTATATTTGCAATTGCTCCAAGTTTACTTTAATGTTAAAGTCTATTGATTGTATTGCAAGGCAGGTTCTTCTTTCCTTAACATAGACTGCCAAATGCCTGCTCTCCCTCCCCTTGTTCCTCTGAACACTGTCTGTTATCTGCCTAAATGCCTCAGGGCCTCTGTTCTGGCTCCAGCAACATGTGGCAAGAAGACTAACAGAGGTCAGCGTTGAAAAGTGGAGTCCCCACATTGGACTGAGTCACAGACGGACTTATATCTCATACATAAGACAAACAGACAGAGGGCTGGGCCTTGCCTTATATGTTCACCACAGTACTCTCAGCACCGTGCACATGGCCTGTGACATAGATAGCATTTAATAAACATTTATTGAATGGATTGCTGAATTATCCATGGTTGTAGTACCCTACAGTTTCACTTTTTAACCTAGAAATACAACATGGGAATTAAGTCAAAATAAATTATACATTTAAACTTTTTCTTTATGCAAACATGAAGCCTCATTCTCAAACAGGAAAATATAACAGTTCTGAGGTGGAGCAAGATGGCTGAATAGAAGCCTCCACCAATCATGCCCCTGTGCAGGAATACCACATTTTAACAACTACCTACACATAAAAAAGCACCATCATAAGAACTAACCATCAGGTAAGCAATCACAGTACCTGGTTTTGACTTCCTCTCACTGAAAGAGGCACTCAAGAGGTAGGAAAGACCGTCTTGAATCACCAACACCACTCCTCCCGTACTCTCCAGCAGTGGTTATGTACCATGGAGAATCTGTGCTTATGGGAGAGGGAAAGCACAGCAAGTGGGGGACTTGGCATTGAACTCAGTGCTGCCCTGTCACAGCAGGGAGCCAAACTGTGAAGACCTCAGTCATTGCCCACCCATGGAGGGAGCATTTGGATCAGCCCTAGCCAGAGGGGAATTGCCCATCCCAGCAGTCGGAACTTGAGTTTCTCAGCAAGCCTTGCCACCGTGGGCTAAAGTGCTCTGGGGTTCTAGGTAAACTTGAAAGGCAGTCTAGGACACAAAGACTGCAATTCTTCCTAGGCAGATCCTAGTGCTGGGCTGGGCTTAGGTGGACTAGGGCAGCATATGACCTGTGAGACATCACCCGGGTTGGCTAAGAGAGGGCTTGCATTACCCCACCTCAGTAACCCCAGGCATCACAGCTTGCAGCAAAGAAAGTGACTTGTTCCTTCTGCTTGAGGAGAGGAGAGAGAAGAGTAAAGAGGATTTGGTTTTGCATCTTGGAAACCAGCTCAGCCATAACAGGACAGGGCACCAGGCAGAGTCATGAGGCCCCCCATTCTAAGGTCTAGCTTCCAGACATTTGTAGACATACCCTGGGCCAGAAAGGAACCTTCTGCCTTGAAGGAAAAGACCCATTTCTGGCAGGATTCATCACCTGCTGACTAAAGAGTCATTGGGCCCCGAATAATCAGTAGTAGTAGCCAGGCTGTACTTGCCGTGGGCCTTAGGTGAGACTCAGAGCTATGCTGGTTTCAGGTGAGTCCTAGAACATTCCTACCTGTGGTGTCTACAGTGAAAGACTCCTTATATTTGAGAAAAGCAGAGAGGAAAGTAAAGAGGACTCTGTCTTGCACCGCAGGTACCAGCTCAGCCACAGTGGGGTAGAGCAACAAGCAGGCTCTTGGACAGCATTTCTGGACCTGCCCCGGGCCAGAAGGGAGCCCACTGCCCTGAAAGTGAGTCCCAGGCCTCACAGCATTCACCAAAAGCTGACTGAAGAGCCTTTGCACTTTAAGGGAACATTGACAATGGCCTGGCAGAACTCACCATGGGTCAGTGGTGGTGGCCACTGAGAGAGGCTCCTCTGCCTATGGAAAGGGGAAGAAAGAGCAGGAAGAACTTTGTCTTGTGGTTTGAGGGCCAGCATAGCCATATTAGAATAGAGTACCAGGTAGATTTTACGTTTTTTTTTTACTCCAATCCCTGGCTCCCAGACAGCATTTCTGACCTGCCCAGAGCCTGGGGGAGCTCACTGCCCTGCAGGTGAGCACATAATCCTGGCTGGTTTCCCAAACTGCTGACTATAAAGCCCTAGGGCCTTGAGTGAACATAGGCAGTAGCCACATAGTGGTTACAGTGGGCCTTGGGTGAGATCCAGTGCTGTGCAGACTTCAGGTCCGACTCAGTGTAGTCCTAGTGGTGGGAACCACAGGGGTGGTTGCATCACCACACTCCCAGTTCTATGTGTCTCAGCACAGGGAAAGAGAGGCTTCGTATGTTTGGGAGAAAGTAAGGGAAAAGAACAAGAGTCTCTGCCTCGTAATCTGGAGAATTCTTCCAGATCTTATCCAAGACCACAAAGGTGGTACCTCTAAGAGTCTGAAAAATACACAGTATTATTGGGCTTGGTGCCCAAGTCCCTTTGGATACTGGAAGGCCTTCCCAAGAAGGACAGGCACAGACAAGCCCAGACTGTGAAGACTACAATAAATACCTAACTCTTCAATGCCCAGACACTGAATAACATCTACAAGCATTAACACCATCCAGGAAAACATGACTTCACCCAAAGAACTAAATAAGCCATCAGGGACTAATCCTGGAGAAACAGAGATATATGACCTTCCAGACAGAGAATTCAAAATAACTGTTTTGAGGAAACTCAAAGAAATTCAAGGTAACACAGAGAAGGAATTTAGAATTCTATCAGATAAAGTTAACAAAGAGTCTGAAATAATTAAAAGGAATCAAGCAGAAATTCTAGAGTTAAAAAATGCAATTGACCTACTGAAGAATGTATCAAACAGATCTCTCTCCCTGTGCTGAGCCACCTGGAGCTTGGAGAGGGGTGACACAAGCACAGTCAGAGGAGACAAAAGAAAAAAGAATAAAAAAAATGAAGCACGCCTACAAGATCTAGAAAATAGCCTCAAAAGGGTAAATCTAAGAGGTATTGGCCTTAAAGAGGAGATAGAGACAGAGATAGGGGTAGAAAGTTTATTGAAAGGAGGTGGGGCACAGTGGCTTATGCCTGTAATCCCAGCACTTTGGGAGGCCGAGGTAGGTGGATCACCTGAGGTCAGAAGTTCAAGACCAGCCTGGACAACATGGTGAAACCCCATCTCTACTAAAAATACAAAAAAAATTAGCCAGGCGTAGTGGTGGGCACCTGTAATCCCAGCTACTTGGGAGGCTGAGCAGGAGAATTGCTTGAACCTGGGAGGTGGAAGTCGCAGCGAGCCAAGATCATGCCATTGTACTCCAGCCTGGGCAACAAGAGTGAAACTCTGTCTAAAAAAACAAACAAACAACAACAACAACAACAACAAAAAAAACAACAAAAAGTTTATTGAAAGGGATAATATCAGAGAACTTCTCAAACCTAGAGAAAGATATCAACATTCAAGTATAAGAAGGTTATAGAACACCAAGCAGATTTAACCCAAAGAAGACTACCTCAAGGCATCTAATAATCAAACTCCCAAAGGTCAAGGATAAAGAAAGTATCATAAAAGCAGCAAGAGAAAGGAAACAAATAACATACAATGGAGTTCCAATATGTCTGGAAGCAGACTTCTCAGTGTAAACCTTACAGGCCAGGAGAGAGTGGCATGACATATTTAAAGTGCTGAAGGAAAAAAAAAAAAAACCCTTTTACACTAGAATAGTATATCTGGTGAAAATATCCTTCAAACATGAAGGAGAAATAAAGACCTTCACAGACAAACAGAATCTGAGGGATTTCATCAACATCAGACCTGTCCTATAAGAAATGCTAAAGGATATTCTTTAATCTGAAAGAAAAGGATATTAATGAGCAACAAGTGCTCATCTGAAGATATAAAACTCACTTTCAATAGTAAGCACACAGGAAAAGACAGAATATTATAATACTGCAATTGTGATATGTAAACTACTCTTATAAGTAGAAAGACTAAATGATGAACCAATAAAAAATAATGACTACAACAACTTTTTAAGACATAAACAGTAAAATGAGACAGAGAGAAAGAACAAAAAGTTAAAAACTGGGGGGAAGATGTTAAAGTGTGGAATTTTTATTAGTTTTCTTTTCGTGTTTTTTTGTTTGTTTATGCAATCAGTGTTGTTATCAGTTAAAAATAATGGGTTATGTATACATATGTAACAAACCTGCACATTGTGCACATGTACCCTAAAACTTAAAGTATAATAAAACAAAACAAAAGTAATGGGTTGTATTACTTGCAAGCCTTGCGGTAACATCAAATCAAAAAACATACACTGAATACACAAAAAATAAAAAGCAAGAAATTAAACCACACCACCAGAGAAAATTACCTTCACCAAAAGGAAGACAGAAAGGAAGAAAAACAGGAAGAGAAGGCCACAAAATAATCAGAAAACAAATAACAAAATGGCAAGAGTAAGTCCTTACTTACCAATAACAACATTAAATGTAAATGAACTAAACTCTATAATGAAAAGACAGAGTGCCTAAATGGATAAAAAAGCAAGACCAAATGACCAAATGACCTGTTGCCTACAAGAAACACGCTTTACCTATAAAGATACACACAGACTGAATAAAGGGATGAAAGAAGATATTCCATGCCAATGGAAGCCAAATAGTAGCTCTACTTGTATCAGACAAAATAGATTTCAAGAAAAAACTATAAAAAGAGACAAATAAGCTCATTATATAATGATAAAGGGGTCAATTCAGCAAGAGGATATAACAATTGTAATTATGCACCCAACAATGAAGCACCCAGATATATAAATATTATTAGAGCTAAAGAGAGAGAGAGATCTCAATGCCATAATTGCTTGAGACTTTAACACCCCATTTTCAGTGTTGGACAGATCTTCCAGATAGAAAATCAGCAAAGAAACATTGGACTTAATCTGCATAATAGAACAAATGGACCTAACAGATATTTACAGAACATTTCTTCAAGGTCTGTAGGATACACATTCTTCTCCTCAGCACACAGATCATTCTCAAGGATAGAATATATTTTAGGTCACAAAGCAAAAGTATTAAAACATTCAAAAAACTGAAATAATATCAAGCATCTTCTTTGACCACAAAGGAATACAACTGGAAATCAATAACAAGAGGAATTTTGAAAATCGTACAAACACATGGAAATTAAACAATATGCTCCTAAATAACCAGTGGGTCAATGAAGAAAATAAGAAAGAAATGGATAAATTTCTCAAAACAAATGATAATGGACATGCAACATTCCAAAATCTATGGGATACAGTGAAAGCAGTACTGAGGGAAGTTTATACCTACCAATGCTTACATCAAAAAGTAGAAAAACAAATAAACAACCTAATGGTGCATCTAAAGAACTAGAAAAGTAAGAGCAAATCAAACCCAAAATTAGTAGGAAAAAATAATTATAAAGATCAGAGCAGAAATAAATAAAATTGAAATAAACGAAACAATACAAAGGATCAATAAAGCAGAAAGTTGGGTTTTTGAAAAGATAAATAAAATTGACAAACCTTTAGCCAGACTAAGAATAAAAAAAGAGAAGACTCAAAGAAATGATATCAGAGGTGAAAAAGGAAACATTACAACTGATACTGCAGAAATTCAAAGGGTCATTAGGTGGCTACTATGAGCAACTATGCCAATAACTTGGAAAACCTAGAGGAAATGGATAAATTCCTAGACACATACAACTTACCAAGATTGAACCATGAAGCAATCCAGAACCTGAACAGACCAATAAAAAATCATGAGCGTGAAGCCATAATGAAAGTCTTCCAGTAAAGAAATGCTGGGACCCAATGGCTTCACTGCTGAATTCTACCAAACATTTAAAGAACTAATGCCAATCCTACCCAAAGTGTTCAAAAAAATAGAGGAGGATAGAACACTTCCATACTCATTCTATGAGGCCAGTATTATCCCGATACCAAAACCAGAAAAAGACACATCAAAAAAACCTACAGGCCAATATCCCTGATGAACACTGATGCAAAAATCCTCAACAAAATACTAGCAAATTGAATTCAACAACACATGATAAACTTCATTCATCATGACAAAGTGGGATTTATCCTGTGGAAGCAAGGATGGTTCAACATATACAAATCAATCAATGTGATACTCATATCAACTGAATGAAGCACAAAAACCATATGATCACTTCAATTGATGCCAAAAGGTATTTGGTAAAATTCAATATCCCTTCATGATAAAAATCCTCAAAAAACTGAGTATAGAAGGGATATACCTAAACATAATAAAAGCTAAATGTGGCAGACCCACAGCTAGTATCATACTAAATGGGGAAAAATTGAAAGTCTTTTCTCAAAAATCTGGAACATGACAAGGATGCCCAGTTTCACCACTGTTATTCAGCATAGTACTGGAAGTCCTAGCTACAGCAATCAGATAAGAGAAAGATATAAAGGGCATCCAAACTGGAAAAGAAGTCAAATTATCCTAGTTTACATAGGATATTATCTTATATTTGGAAAAAACTAAAGACTCCACCAAAAAGTTATTAGAACTGATAGACAAATTCAGTAAAGTTGCAGGATACAAAATCAACATACAAAAATCAGTAGCATTTCTATATGCCAATAGTGAACAATCTGAATAAAAATTTAAAAAGTAATCCCAAGTATAATAGTTACAAATAAAATTAAATATCTAGAAAGAAATTTAACTGAAGAAGTAAAAGATATCTATAATGAAAACTATAAAACACTGATGAAAGAAATTGAAGAGAACCCCCCCAAAATGGAAAGATAATCCATGTTCATGGACTGGAAGAACCAATATTGTTAAACTGTCCATACTACCCAAAGCAATCTACAGATTCAATGCAATCCCTTTCAAAATACTAATGACATTCCTCACAGAAATAGAAAAAACAATCCTAAAACATACGTGAAACCACAAAAGACCCAGAACAGCCAAAGCTATCCTGAGGAGCAAAGAGAACAAAACTGGAGGAATCACAATACCTGACTTCCAATTACACTACAGAGCTAAGTAGCCAAATGGCATGCTACTGACATAAAAATAGACATATAGGCCAGTGGAACAGAATAGAGAACGCAGAAACAAGTCCACACACTTACAGTGAATTCATTTTTGACAAAGGTGTCAAGAACATACATTAAGGAAGAGAGTCTCTTCAATAAATTGTGTTGGGAAAACTGGTATCTTATTCAGAAGAATAAAACTAGACCCCTATCTCTCACCATATACAAAAATCAAAATAGATTAAAGAGTTAAATCTAAGATTTCAAACTATGAAACTATAACAAGAAAACTTTGAGGAAACTCTCCAGAACATTGGTCTGGGCAAAAATTTCTTGAGTAATACCCCACAAGCACAGGCAACAAAAGCAAAACTGGACAAATGAGGTTACATCAAGTTAAAGAGCTTCTGCACAGCAAAGAAACAATCAACAAAGTGAAGAGACAACCCACAGAATGGAGAAAATATTTGCAAACTACCCATTTGACAAGAGAATAGTAACCAGAATCTATAAGGACCTCAAACAAATCTAAAGGGAAAAAAATCCAATAATCTGATTTTAAAAATGGGCAAAAAATATGAATAGAGATTTCTTAAAAGAAGACATAAATAGCTAACAGGCCTATGAAAAGGTGCTCAACATCATTGATTATCAGAGCAATGCAAATCAAAACTACAATGAGATATCATCTCATCCCAGTTAAAGTGGATTTTATCCAAAAGACAGGCAATAATAAACACTAGTGGGGATATAGAGAAAAGGGAACCCTCATACACTGTTGGTGGGAATGTAAATTTGTACAACCACTATGGAGAACCATTTGGAGGTTTTTCAAAAACCTAAAAATAGAACAATCATAGGATCCTGCAGTCCCACTGCTGGATATATACCCAAAAGAAAGGAAATCAGTATATTGAAAGGATATCTACACTCCCATGTTCATTGCAGCACTATTCACAATAACCAAGGTTTACAAGCAACTTATGTGTTTATCAATAGATGAATGGATGAAGAGAACATGGTACATAAATACAATGTACATTTTTTATTCAGCCATAAAAAAGAATGAGATCCTGTTATTTGCAACAACATGGATGGAACTGGAAGTCATTATGTTAAATGAAATAAGCCAGGCACAGAAAGACAAATTTCACATGTTCTCACTTATTTGTAGGAGCTAAAAATTAAAACAATTGGAACTCATGGAGATAGAGGATAAGGATGGTTACCAGAAGCTGGAAAGGGTAGTGGGGGAAGTAGAGGGGAAGTGGGGATGGTTAATGTGTACAAAAAAATAGTTAGAAAGAATGAATAAGACCTACTGTTTGCTAGCAGAACAGGGGGACTGTACTCAATAATTTAATTGTGCATTTAAAAATGATGAAGAGAGTATAACTGGATTGTTTGCGACACAAAGGATAAATGCTTGAGGGGATGGATACCCCTTTTACCATGATGTGATTATTATGTACTGCATGCCTGTATCAAAGTATCTCATGTACCCCATAAATATATATACCTAAATGTACCCACAATATTTTTTAAAAATACAACTGTTCTGGGGTAAGACAGTCAAAGGAAGCTTCATTTGAAATTTATTATGCCATGTTAACAGACCTAAACCCAGTTTCTGGCAGAATCACTTAATTAGGTTAGCCAAGCTCTATATTAATCAGCAAGATTTAAAGACCTTCATATTATTACCATAACAATTTTTGCTGAAGTGATGCTGAAAATCTCAGATCTTCTGCTATGGAGCCAAAATCAGTCATAATAGCTTCCACATAAATGGACCATATAAAGGGAAGTGGACTTTTAAAAAAACTATAGTAGACTGTTCCCATTACTCTCTTTTAATCTGTCTTCATGTTAAATTTTTTCTCAATAAAAACCAACATTCATGAGACAAAAACTAGTCATTTAATTGTGATGATGTCACTGAAAAACTTTGAAAATGCAGGTCTGGTAACCATCTTCCTTTTGCCCTTTGAAGCATGATGGTACCTGATGGCTCATATGCAGCCTCTTGACAGCCTGTGTTCACCTCCTTGTGAACCTCAAATTGGTTCCTGTGCTCCAGGCAAAAATAAATAAATAAATAAAAGGCTTACTATCTTCCCATATTTTTTCCTCTTCCCTCTCTTTCTCCTGTCTTCCCATCCTTTCTGCTTGCCTGCCCTCCAACAGATTTTGAGAACTCACTAAGTAATAGATTCTACAAGAAATACTAGAAATATTAATTCAAAGCTAAGACAAAAATCTTTGCTGTAAAGAGCTCACCATCTGGTGGAAGGGTAGAAAGTTCTATGACTTTTCTGAAGCATTCAAATTATTTCCTTTTTTTTCCCCCTGCATCAGCACGGGGGGCAGTGGGAGAAAGGGTTCATGAATGCACTCTCTCAAATTTCACTTTTATCAGATCTATAGTAAGAGATGAGGAAGGGGCTCCTTTTTCTTCTCAACATTTGAATCGGTATTTGTGTTAACATGAATGTTCTTTCCTTAATGTTCAAGTGATTCTTCGTCAGAAGAAACTTTGTAAATACATCATCAGGTTACAACCCTCAACTCCTGCTTAATATTGAGTACTGTAAGTGAAAGAAAAATTAAGAATGTAATTTTAATATGATTTGGGTTTTGTCTGACATCTGCACGTTAGGTCAATGGTCTCATGAGCCCTCTTGTAACATGGCTTTTCATATGCCTGTTCCCCACAGGGTTATGGCTCTGCTTTCTTCTCCTTGACATGGACACCACTGTGTCAATGTCTCCTGGCTCACGAGGTTCCAGCCAGGCTGACCTTCTGTATCTTCTGACATGATGGGTGCTTTCAAGGCAGAGGCCTTTCACGTGCTGTTTTTGTGCTGGAAATGCTGCTCCTCACATTCTTTGCTGGGCTCAGGTCTCAGACTTACTGAGTTCTCGAACAAATGACAAGGCCATTGTTAGGAGCACTCCTAGCACTCTCTCCACTCTCAGGCCAGACACAGGAGGGTCTGGGGGTTCATGAGCACTAGCTTTGGCTTTGGGCTTTCTGCATTTGAGTCCCAGCCATGTCCTTAGCAACAGTCATGAGAAGGTAATGAGAAGGATGACAGTGTTTATCACTGTCATTTTATGTCATTTTATTTGTTTATGAAAAAAATAAAGATTATACATTTAAACCTCTCTCTTTATGGTCTCTCAATACTACTTAAATGTCAGTTCCCTTTTTGTTAGCAGGCTTACACACATAAATTGCCTACTAATAAGCAAACATAAGTGGTCCCACAGATATACGTAAACATTTAAACCAATATAGAATTGATAACCTGTGAAAGCCTCCTTAAATATTCAATCTGGTCTAGAGGGTCACCCGTAGGATTCTAAACATTGATCAGTCTACACATGGTTAGGCTCCCTATACCAGTCTATACTGGTCAGTTAGCAAAGTGCATGAGGCACTTTAGACATGTTGTGATATTTTTATTTTTAGCTGACCGTATGAAGATAGATACCTATCAACTGACATAGCCACATGCACAGGACTGTTTTCTACAATAGCTAGAGTGGACAATGGAGAATTCTTTAATCATTTTTCTTTTCAGGAATGGTATGAAGACAACTGACAAAGGTCACTTCTAGGAACTAATTTCTTCAAAAGCTTACCACTGTTCCATTGTCCACTGAGAGTCAATATCAGCAATTTGCCAATATAATTCTATTGATTAGGACAAGCTAGATTATGCTGCAGTAATGAAAAGACCCCTTCCCTCCCCACCAAATCTCAGTGGCTTAAACATAAAAGACTTATTTCTCTGCACACTGCCATCCAAGGGTCAGCAAGGCCTCTGCTCATTGTAATCACTCAGCACTATCTGTCACTGTCTAGCAGACAGAGAGTATTCTAGAGGGTCTGACACTGGCAATTGAATGCTCTGTTGCACAAGTGACTCACATGGCTCATAACCCACTGGCCAGATATAGTCATATAGCCCAACCCTACCCTGAAGGGATCCCAGTCACGTAATCTTACTAAGTGTCCAGAAGGGGCAAAACTGGAAACATCTGGTGAATTACAAGAACAGAGTTTAATATTGATTGGATTTTTATATTATCTCAAATATGATAACATCTGAGGGATTCTTTTCCTTTTTCTTTTTTTTTTTCTGAGACAGAGTCTTGCTCTGTCGGACAGGCTGGAGTGCAGTGGCACGATCTCGGCTCACTGCAATCTCCACCTCCTGGGATCAAGCGATTGTCCTGTTTCAGCCTCCGGAGTACCTGGGATTACAGGCATGCACCACCACACCCAGCTAATTTTTGTATTTTTAGGAGAGACGGGGTTTCACCATGTTGACCAGGCTGGTCTTGAACTCCTGACCTCAGGTGATCTGCCCGCCTCGGCCTCCCAAATGCTGGGATTACAGGCATGAGCCACCGTGCCCGGCCCCTTTTTCTTTTAGACTTTTTATTGTACTATGATCAACCATATACCCTGTATTATTATTATTATTATTATTATTCAACATCCAGAATTAATGGCCTTATTAAGACCTTATTCTTGGCCTGTTAATGCAAGAATGTGGCAATAGCACTTTGTTCTTACGTAGAAAAATATTTAGAAAAAAAGATAGTCTTTTTTTCTGTCTCAATATTCTTATTGAGAAATCTCTGTACATGTATATATGTATGTATACACATATATATGATATAGATATGTGTATGCAGATGCATATATTCCAGCTTTTATATTAATGACTGAAGAAGGAAATACTATGTTAAAAAATAGTGGCATAAGAAAAAAATCCTAATTCGCATTTTGCCTGTATTTTGACAATCAAAAAAGAACTATAAAAATAAATGCTGACCAACCTCACCTTAGTTAAAGCATCCAGAGAAAGATCAGGTGGGTTGGTCAAAGGAAGTGCAAGACATGCCAACCTCAAAGGGCACCAACAAGGACCTTTTACCAAAGCTAGAGGATACTCTTGGGTTTGGGAATTTGCCTTCTTTCAACATTATTTCTATTACCTTTTAAAACTGTAATTTCATCTCACCCCTATTGTGCATTTCATAGGTCATCTCCTAAAGAGCTAAAACAAAGAGTCAAACAGAGTACTAATAGGTAGGCAGGGCTCACTCATACCAGCACTCTCTTCTTATGCTGGTTTTGCTTAAAGGCTCCTCAATGAAGAGATAACCACTATATTAGTCTGCTTGGGCTGTCATAACAAAATACCAAAACTTATGTGGCTGATGCAACAGAAACATATTTTCTTGCAGTTCTGGAGGCTAGAAGTCCAAAATGGGGTGCCAGCATGGTAGGGTTCTGGTGGGGTTCTGGCGAGGGCTGTATTCCTGGCTTGTAAGCAGCTACCTCTTGCTGTGTCCTCACATGGTAAGAAGAGAGGGCAAGGTCAAGCTCTGCAGTGTCTCTACTTATAAGGGCCCTAATCCCATCATAAGGCTCCACCCCACGATCTCATCTAACTTTAATTACCTTCCAAAGGCCCCATCTCCAAATGCCATCACACTGGGGGTTAGGGTTTCCACATACAAATTTGGGCACCGGGACACAAGCATTCAGTTCATAACAGCCACTAAGCAGTTTCTCTCCAGGCCAGTAAGGAAGCTGCATGGCATCTGGCATCCCTGTAAGTAGACATCCAAAGCACTCCCTGTGCCCAGAGGTGGTCTCTGCACAAACAGAAGCAAAGGAGGCCATCATATCTGCCACTACAACAACTATTGGGTCCTTTGAAGTGACAGGCAAGGTGTATTTTTTTTTTTTTTTTAGAGACAGGGTCTTGTTCTGTCACCCAGGCTAGAATGCAGTGGTACAATCATAGCTCACTGTAGCATCCAACTCCTGAGCTCGAGTCCAGGAGTGATCCTCCTGCCTCAGCCTCTCGAGTAGCCTGGCTAAGTTTTTTATAGAGACTGGGTCTCACTATGTTGTCCCAGTTGGTCTTGAACTCCTGGCTTCAGGTGATCCTCGTGCCTCGACCTCCCAAAGTACTAGGAGATATATATAGCATTTATATATGCATTTATATATAATATGCCAGCAAAATATATATTCTAATAGATAATATTATATATTTTATATAAATATATATATCAAGTTTTAAAATATATATATATATAATTTTTAACTGGAATATTTAGTGTTTGAAGGTAGCAGACCACAAATTCTAAATGTTTCTTTCACTTATCTAAATAGCACAGGAAACAAGTGGCAATTTGACATATTTGTAAAACATACCACTGGGAAAATCCTGCTCTCAGAGAGAATGCTAGAACAGAAAAACCTGCCGGACACTGAGACATTTGCCCTGCTGGGTACTTGGCAGCTACAAGTTAGTACTTTAATCCCATCTTCAAAGTGCCACCCAGGTTTGGCTTCAAGGCCTACAATTACAGAGCTTATTTACCAAAGGCACTATGCAACCTTCCCAGCAGGCCAAGACTCCTGTGAGAATGAGACAAGCCAAAGCATCTGGAACACCTAAAATTTACCTTAAGGTTGGTAACAATTCTGACAGCTAACAGCTATTCAAAGTCCACCACACTAAGGACCAGATACTGTACTAAGCATTTCACATATATTATCTTTGGTCCTACCAATAGCCTATGAATTGCCACAACATTTTTCCCATTTTTAGAAGAGGACATTTTCTCTCTTTCAGCTTAATTTCATAGACATTGCTCATTTGCATAGAATAGTGGTTAAGAACTGGGGTTTTGTAGTCATGCTGCTTAGTATCAGGTTTAAAGACACCATAACCAGCTATGTGACATCAAGCAAGTTATTTAGCCTCAGTTTCTTAATGTTTAAAATAGGGATAATAAAGTGTACTTTCATGAGGTTGTTGTGAGAATTAAAGTTAAAATATGTACAGCATTTAAGACAATCCCTGGCATATGGTAAACTGATCAACAAATGTTAGCCATTATCTGATCACACTTCATAATTACTTATTTGGAATCCATTTTAGATAATAGAAAGCAAATATATAGGGAAAATGTACACTCTCAGCTTCTGAAAGGTAACAATTATGATTACCAATTTAAAAATACAAAACAATTGACACCCAACCAGTGCCTAAAATTTTAAACAATAGTTTTGTTACAGTAGGTAGTCAGGCATGAGCAGGGCAGAAGAGGGCCCCCCACCTACCAGGAATGTCCGGTGACCATCAGGTGATGGTCAGGCAGTTGTTAAAACTGTCTCTTTAAAATAATAATTGGTCACAGCAAGTACCAGGGAAAGGCAGTCTCCCAATAGACAGAAAAAACCTGAAACTGCAGATCAGCAGCTTCCCGATAAGATCTCAGGAGTTGGGGCAAGTGGGCTCAACCATGTGCACTAAGGCAAAATGGTGGAGCTTAACTCATATATGACCTTCTAGGAACACTACTGGTAACGGAAGAACGCCTGAAGTGAGCATGTGTACAACGTCAGTAAATACACTATGCTTGCAGCCCCTCCCAAGTGCTAGCAGGCCACTGAGCATGTGGATAGCCCAACCAAAGGGAAGACTCAGGGGAGAAGTAATGCAACCACAGAAGCATGCCATTGTTTAAGACCCAAAGTCAGAGGTCAAACTGCACACTTGAATCTCTCAAGTTGCCCACTGGCCTTCTTCCAAGTGCACTTTACTTCCTTTTGTTCCTGCCCTAAAATTTTTTAAAAACTTTCTAAAAAACTTTCATTCCTGCTCTAAAACTTGCCTCCATTTCTCACTCTGCCTTATGCCCTTTGGTCAAATTCTTTCTTCTTAGGAGGCAAGAACTGACATTGCTGCAGACCCATATAGACTCACCCACTGCTAACAGTTTTATTCCAGCATTATTGTAAAGAAAATGAAAATAGCCAATCATGTCAGAGCCAAAGTTACATTTCTCTGAGTATGGAATATTCCATTAGTAAGTCAGTCTTTGGTTACTGGGTTTGACAGACTTAACTTCCCTATTCTACTTGGCCAGCTCTAATCTTGAGAGGACATTGGCCCTCCCAAAACTTGTGGCCAGCACCATGAGGAAATCTGCACTTCCTGGCAGCAGTAATGACTTAAAAGCAGAGTAGGCATGATTTATTAATTAGATCTGTGCTCTGGCCACCCCTCTGTTTTCTACCTTTAGCTTCTTTTCCATCCTTCATTTGAGCACTGGGCTCTTTCATCACAACAAAGGCAGATGAAAATGCAGAGTGTTTAGGGGATCCTGAGACCTGTATTAACAGTATCTTATGATATTGTCTATGTTTAGTGGCCCTGTATCTTTCAGTTATGTGGGTTCTTTAGAGTACATTGCCTAATTTATTACCCTCCATGTCAAGAAGGAAAATAATCCTTTCAATATACCAGAAGCAGCTACCTTTATGAATTTAAAGCTACCACATTGCCACAAGAAGCATGGGATAATTTTAACAAATTGGCTGCCAGGTGTCAGCTGTCCCTGTCACAGCATATTTACTATTTCTAGATAATACTGACATCAACAGAAGCAGCAGTAAATCGCTTAGTCCACAACAGAATCACCATGAGTCTTTAGTCATTTATTAATGTCAATGCTTGGTATGAAATTCAGGAACCTGATCCCCATGAGGGCCCCTAGCATCGTCCACTACAAATTACATTACTAACACAGGCCAATTGTCTTAAAATCTGTGCCTGTGGTCACAAGGAGAACTGGGTGGGAATGTACAGATAAATAGAGTCTATCTATCCTTCTCCTAAGGAAAAATAAAGAGCAATTCAAAGGACATGTCTACTAAGGGGCGGTAAATAATATTATCTCTCAGGTAGTTCCTTTGCCCTTTGTCTGTCTTCAGGAAGTGAGCTTATTAGTGTCTTATTTAGAACATATATATGTTACACATATCCTATCTAGGGCCAATGCACGGAATTTCAATGTAACATTGGGAATATAGTGGAAGATATATTTTGAAATGCAACTCCCTCTCCCCTTCCCCCACCCCAAGACTGTTGACAGGTGCTAAGAAAGAAAGAAATGAGGAAATTTTTCTTACCGAAGCATGCTTATCAACACCATCACCATTAGTGGATATTTCTAATGTCCCACTGTGCCCAAGTGAGTTCAGCAATCCTTGATGTCTTTAAGCACAGGCCTGAGAACACTTAATGGGAGATATTTTAGAGACAACTAACCCAAGGAGCAGCTGCAATAAACAGACTTTAAAATTCTCCTCCAGCTCTAGCTTCTGTTGTTCTGTTCTTCATCAAGTTTAATATAAAAGGCAAAGTGTCTGCCCTTGGGCAGTTAATAATCTGGTTAAGAAAGCACAGCTGAGGCAAGCCTCTTTAACCTTTTAAAAAAAACAATTAAAAATAATATTTGGCAGCTCATTATCTTGGTTTGTCTAAACTATGTATATTGAAGGAGATAAGCAAGAAGGTTGATTCAGGGCTGAAGAATTCAAAGGAGAGTTTGGGGAAGGAGCATTAAAATGAAGAGGTATTAAAGCAAATAAATTGACTTTCACTTCATAGAAGATAAATAGAATGTTTGGTCCTTTAGCCCCTGAAGCGGGCTGGGGAGTAGGGGTAACATCCATGGTCCATATGAGTTTAAGATTTTTTTCTTTAAGATTTGTCTCTCTTGGTTAGAAGGCAGAGATTGCATTTTGGATCAATTTATCTTTCTCTTACAAGGCATATTAATGGAAGCCATGTATTCAGTAAGCCCTTGCTAGTCACTAATTTTTAAGTGTCATAAATGGGAGACTGTGAATGGGGATGATGCTAATCTGAGCCTGCTCCCTGCCATGAAAAGCATCACATACAACCTCTCGTATGGCATGCCAATGACATTGTCATACCTCTTGGCTGAAAATCAGCCTAATCAAAATGGAAAATGCCAGGGGAAAAAATACACCAAGGGGAATAAAAAAAAAAATGATTTCGATTCCAGCTTCTTCACAAAAAACAAAATATTATCCTTTATTCATGAAAAGTTGACATTTTTCACTTAAGTTTTCTTAATGTGGTGGATTACATTGATTTTCTAATGTTAAACCAAGTTTGCATTCCAGAGACAAACTCTATATACTCTAAATCTTGTTTATATATTACTGATTTTGGTTTGCTAGTATTTTGTTTAGGATTTTTGCATCTCTTTTCCAAAGTAAAATTAGCCCATAATTTTTATTCCTAACATTGTCCTTGTTATGTTTCCATCTTAGGTTATGTGTGAGTCTGTCTGTTTTTGAATGTTAGGTAGACGTCACCAGTGAAGCTGTCTGGGCCTGGAATTTTCTTTGTGGAAAGATTTTTTAAATTACTGCTTTAATTTCACTCATAGTTATGGAACCATTCAGACTTTATACTCCTTAATGAATCAGTTTTAGTAAATTATGTTTTTCTGGAAATTCATCTATTTTATCTAAAATTTTGCAAATATTGACAGAAATCTGTTCATAATCTTTTCTTTTCAAACGTGTCTGCAGCATCTATAGCAGTCTCCTTTTTACTCCTGATATTAGTTATAATAAACCCTGACTTGGCCACCTTGCCTGCCAATGTCATTGTAGAGTTGGCTGGATGACCCAATCTTGACTCAGTTGCTACCTGTGCAAAGCAGAGGCCCCTGGATGTCCTACTCCTGCTATGTATGTATCATACTTACACAGGACATGCCCTTAGCTAGCCCAGTATGTATGGACTCAACAAGCCTAGATACTGCCAGATAATTAACAATGTCTAGGGGCTTTGCATTTCTCATTTGGGACAAGACAATTTGTGGTCCTTTCTTTTCTCCTCCAAACCTCAACCAGCAGAGCCTTCCTAGACTCCATGCTTTATTGGATTGCCTGTTTAGCAGTAAAACTCTTCTACTCAGCAATCAATCCTGGCTTTCTAATCGTCTTTTTTTTTCTTTGACGGTTATTAGTGCCTTATCTTTTTTTTACTTAACATTCTTGCCAGGAAGTTATCAATTTCATAAATCTTTAAAAAAAAAACCCATCTTCAGTCTTTATTGTACCTCTATAGTGCTTTTCTATTTTATTAATTTTTGTTCTCATCTTTATTATATTCTTTTCTGTTTTGTTTTGCTGTTCTCTTTCAAAATTCTTAGAATGGATGCTCAACTCAGCCTTTTTATTTTGTTTTCTAATATATGCATAAAAGCTATCAAATTTCTCTAAGTACTGCTTGAGTTGCATTTCAATTGATATTTACATAATCTTTCAATTCAAATTATTTTTGAATTTTCATAATTTCATCTTTGAGCCATGGGCTCTTTAAGAGTATATTTGTGATGGTTAATTTTAGGTGTCAATTTGACTGGTTAAGGGATACCCAGATAGCTGGTAAAACATTATTTCCAGGTATGCCTGTGAGGGTATTTCCAGAAGAGATTGGCATTTGAATCACTGGACTGAGTAAGGAAGATCTGCCTTCACCCAATGTGTGCAGGCACCATCCAATCAGTTGAGGGACCAGATGGAACAAAGAGAAAAGCTATATTCACTCTCTTCTGGAGCTTGTATATCCATCTTCTCCCCTGCCCTTGCACATCAAAATTCTGGGTTCTTTGGCCTTGGGACTCTTGGACTTCCACCAGCAACCCCTCTGGATCTCAGGCCTTTGGACTTGGACTGAGAGTTACACCATAGGCTCCTCTGGCTCTCAGACCTTTGGAGTCAGACTGAGCCACACCAGCAGTCTTCCTGGTTCCCCAGCTTATAGATGGCATATTGTGGGGCTTCTCAGACTCCATGAACACATGAGCCAATTCTCATATTAAATCCACCCTCATATATCTATGTCTATATATCCTATTATTTCCGTTTCTCTGGAAAGCCCTGACTAATACAATGTTCCTGAATTTCCTATCATATGGGGTTTATATTTTATTTATTTATTTTTGAAATGGAGTCTTGTTCTGTTACCCAGCTGGAGTGCTGTGGTTTCACCATGTTGGCCAGGCTGGTCTCGAACTCCTGACCTCAAGTGATCTGCCTGCCTCAGATTCCCAAAGTGCTGGGATTACAGGCATGAGCCACTGCACCTGGCTGTCTGTGTTACTTTACTTATAAATTTGTCGAGACTTGTTTTATGGCCTATACATGATAAAACTTTATGAATGTTCCATATACATTTGAAAAGAAAGCATATCTTGCAGTTGGGTGGAATGGAATTTATATGTGAATTATCTCAAGCTAATTAATTGAGTTGTTCAACTCTTGCAGATCCTTACTTTCTTTCTTTCTTTTTTTCTTTTTTTTGGGCCACCTTGTTCTAGTAGTTAACAAGAAACATGCTAATATCTCTCATAATGATTGTGGATTGGTGTATTTTTTTATAGGTGTCAATTTTTTGCTTTTGTATTTTGAGGCTATATAATTAGGTTGAGACAAATTTTAAATTGTTACATCTTTCTAACAAATTTAATACTTCACCATTTAAAAATTAGCCTATTTCTAATAATGCTTTTGTGGTATAGTAAAATATATATATTTAGATTTTGGTCCTGGTTACTGGCACAGAGCTTCAAAAATCTTTGAAATTTCCTGAAACATAATTGTCTTTTTTTACACTAATGGGATGACTCCAGGGTGGAGGGAGGGAGCTTCTGCTTCATTCTTTCCTCTGCTTCTGGAAATATAATTTTATGTTATGTTAAAAACTTCCTGACTATAGCCTCTTGTGTTAGTCCATTCTTGCACTGCTATTAAAAAAAAACCTGGCCAGGTGCAGTGGCTCATGCCTGTAATCCCAGCACTTTGGGAGACAGAGGCGGGCGGATCACAAGGTCAGGAGATCAAGGCCAGCCTGGCCAACACGGCAAAACCCTATCTCTACTAAAAATACAAAAATTAGCTGGTGTGGTGGCACGTGCCTGTAATCCCAGCTATTCAGGAGGCTGAGGCAGGAGAATTGCTTGAACCAGGGAGTTGGAAGTTGCAGTGAGCCGAGATCACGCCACAGCATTCTAGCCTGGCGACAGAGCGAGACTCCGTCTCAAAAAACAAAAACAAAAAAACAAACAAAAAAAACCCTGGGAGCAGGTAATTTATAAAGAAGAAATTTAATTGGCTCACAGTTCCACCGGCTGTACAGGAAGCATGATGCCAGTATCCACTTGGCTTCTGGGGAGGCCTCAGTAAACTTACAATTATGGCAGAAGGCAAAGGGGGAGCCAGCACTTCACACAGCCTCAGCAAAAGGAAGAGAGAGAAGGGGGAGGTTCTACACACTTTGAACCAAATCTCATGAGAACTCACTCACTAAATAGTACCAAAGGGGGATGGTGCTAGACCATTCATAAGAACTCTGCCCCATGATCCAGTCATCTCCCACCAGGCCCCAACTCCAACACTTGGGATTACAATTTGACATGAGATTTGGTGGGGATACAGATCCAAACCCTATCGTTCCACCTCTGGACCCTCCAAATCTCATGTCCTTCTCACATTGCAAAATACAATCATGCCTTCCCAATAGTCCCCGAAAGTCTTATTTCAGCATTAACTCAAAAGTCCAAAGTCCAAAATCTCATCTGTGACAAGACTAGGCCTTATGCCTATAATCCCGTAGAATCAAAACAAGTTAGTTACATCCAAGATACAATGGTAGTACAAGCACTAGGTAAATAGTCCCCTTCCAAAACGAAGAAATAGGCCAAAAGAAAGAAACTATAGCCAGACACAGTGGCTCAAGCCTGTAATCTCAGCACTTTGGGAGACCAAGGCAGGCAGATCACAAGGTCAGGAATTCAAGACCAGCCTGGCCAATATGGTGAAACCTCGTCTGTACTAAAATGCAAAAATTAGCTGGGCATGGTGGTGGGTGCCTGTAATCCCAGCTACTCAGGAGGCTGAAGCAGGAGAACTGCTTGAACCTGGGAGGCAGAGATTGCAGTGAGCTGAGATTGCGTCACTGCACTCCAGCCTGGGTGACAGAGTGAGACTCTTTCTCAAAAACAGAAAAAAAAAAAAAAAAAAAAAACCAGAAAAAAAAAAAAAAGGAACTCTAGGCCCCATGCAAGTCCAAAACCCAGCAGGGCAGTTATTAAATCTTAAAGCTCCAAAATAATCTCCTTTGACTTAATTTCTCACATCCAGGGTACACAAATGCAAGTGGTGGGCTCCCAAGGCCTTGGGCAGCTCTGCCCCTACAGCTTTGCAGGGTTCAGCCCCTGTGGCTACTTTCATGGGCTGGCACTAAGTGCCGATGGCTTTTCCAACTACAGGGTGCAAACTGCCAGTGGCTCTACCATTCCAGGGTCTGGAGGATGATGGCCCTCTTCTCCCAGCTCCACTAGACAGTGCCCCAGTGGGGACTTGTGTGGGGGCTCCAATCCCACATTTCCCCTTCATATTGTCCTAGTACAGGTTCTCCATGAGGGCTCTGCCTCAGCAGCAGTCTTCTGCCTGGACATCCAGGCTTTTCCATACATCCTTTGAAATCTAGGTGGAGGCTCACATGCTTCAGCTCTTGCATTCTGCACACCTGCAGGCTTAACACCATGTAGAAGCCACCAAGGCATATGGCTTGCACCTTCTGGAGCAGTGGGCTGAGCTCTATCTGAGGCCCTTTGAGCCAAGTCTGGAGCTGGAGTAGTTTGGATGCAGGGAGCAGTGTCCCAAGCCCACACAGGGTGGCAGGTCTCTGGGCATGGCCATGAAACCCTCCTATGTCTCCAGACCTGTGATGAGAGGGGCTGCTGTGCAGGTTTCTGAAATGCCTTTGAGGTCTTTTCCCTATTGTCTTGGCTATTTGCACTTGGCTCTTCTACTTACACAAATTTATGTGGCCTAACTGAATTCTTCCCCTGAAAACAGGCTTTTCTTTTCTACCACATGGCCAGGCTGCAAATTTTCCAAACTTTTACACCCTCCTTCCTTTTTAAATTCCAGTTTTATGTCACTTTTCTGCTCACACATATGAGCATAGGCTGTTAGAAGCAACCAGGCCACATCTTGAATGCCTTGTTGCTTAGAAATTTCTTCTACCAGATATCCTAAATCATCACTCTCAAGTTCAAAGTTCCACAGATCCCTAGAGCAGAAGCACAATGCAGCCAGGGTCTCTGCTAAACCGTAGCACAAGTGACCTTTACTCTAGTTCCAAAAGTTCTTTATTTCTGTCTGAGACCTTATTACCCTGGACTTGATTATCAACATCACTGTCAGCACTGTCATAACCATTCAACAAGTCTCTAGGAAGTTCCAAACTTTCTCTTAACTTCCTATCTTCTTCTAAGCCCTCCACACTCTTCCAACCTCTGCCCATTACCCAGTTCCAAAGCTACTTCCACATTTTCAGGTATCTTTATAGCAACACCCCACTACTTGGTACCAATTTTCTGTATTAGTTCATTCTTGCATTGCTATAAAGAAATACCTGAGACTGGGTAATTTATAAAGAAAAGAGGTTTAACTGGCTCATGGTTCCACAAGCTGTAGAGGAAACATGATGCTGGCATCTGCTCAGCTTCTGGGGAGGCCTCAGGAAACTTAGAATCATGGCAGAAGGCAAAGGAGGAGCCAGCACTTCATATCCAGAAGGAAGAGAGAGAGCAGGGAGGTGTTACATGCTTTTAAACAACCATATCTTGTGAGAACTCACTCACTATACAGTACCAAGTTGGGGATGGTGCTAAATCACTCATGAGAACTTGACCCTGTGATCTAATCACTTCCCACCAGGCCCCACCTCCAACACTTGGGATTACAATTCAACATGAGATTTGATGGTGACATAGATCCAAACCATATCACCTCTCTTTCATATTTTACATCTCTTTCTTCTTTTGTGCTTTCGAAACTAATGTCCTCAAACCCCTCTTTCAGTTCACGAATTCTCTCTTCATTTCTAATTAGTTAATTTTAATCAGATTTTAATTTCAATTATAACATTTCTCATTCCTAGATGTTCATTTGGTTCCTTTTTTGAATCTGCTTTGTCTTTTTGGTTTTCTTTTTTTCTAGCTTAGATTTTCTTTCTGGACACAGTAAGTGTAATTATATTCTGAATTTGATAATTTCAATAAATGAAATCTTAGTAGGTTTTTTTTTATGTTAATTCTTGCTCATGTGTGTAGTCTCTTTATATACTAAGTAATTGTAGAAACTGAATTGCCCATATTCTCTGGAGAATTATTTGTGGATATTCTTTTAGAACTGCTTTAATCACCTCCAAGGCAATTTTCCTTTTAATATTTCGAGGGTAATATATGGGTAGAATACTTCTGTTCAACCTAAGCCAGAATATATAGCCCTCTAGGCTTCTAGATTTTTTAAAAAACGATTTGTCTTATTTGATTTCCTACCTGAGAAGACGCTGAAATTTGTCTTCTGTTCCCAGAGTCCATAAGGTCATGTAATTTTTATGAGGTTCAGACAATAAGTAAGAGTGGCTTGGTGTGCAAGGTTTCCTCATTTACTTAGATTTTAGACTCATACATCTTTACTCTTTTGCTGGATATTCAGCATGTTTAAAGGAGAAGGTTAAAAATATAGTTATTTCAGCTTTTTAAAATTATTTATTTATTTACTTATTTTTTGAGACAGGATCTTACTCTATCACCCAGGCTGGAGTGCAGTGGTGCGATCATACTCATTGCAGTCTTGACCTCCTGGGCTCAAGTGATCCTACCACCCCAGCTTCCCAAGTAGCTGGGACCACAGCTGTGCACCACCATGTCTGGCTAATTTTTAAAATTTTTTGTAGATACAGGGTCTCCCTATGTTGCCCAGACTGGTCTCGAAATCATGGGCTCAAGATCCTCACTCCTCAACCTCCCAAAGTGTTGGGATTACAGGTGTGAGCTGCTGTACCTAGCTTTATTTCAGCTTTTAAAGTTATTTTCAGCTGAACAATATATTCTGATATTTAATCATGTTAATTGATATGGAAATCAATATTCATTATGTAAATAATGAATATGCAAATTATTATAATGAAAATACATATTTACAGATAAGCCGAGTTTTTTTTCTTGAACAATTTTTTTATTTCCTTGGGACTAATTTTTTTGTATTTTCATTTGTTTAGTTTTCTAAGCATCATGAGTTCAGCCTCAAATTCTTAGCCAATTATCTAAGTCTTTTCTCAATAATTTAAGATGTACATATATTCCATCAAATTTAGTGTGAAGGCTTTCTCCTGGAGCTTTTTTTACCTACTCTTCTGGACTTGCTCCAATGTCCATTATGTTTCACTTCTCATCTGTTTTCATTCTCTTTCATGTTTCTGTTACTGACTAGAGGTTCTTGATTTCTCATTGCAATAGAAATTGACATGAGGCCAAAAGAATTTTCCCAGACAAGCCTTCATTAAAACTTATGCTTGGGCATAAGGAAGGCAGAGGGTGGGGGGGGGGAAGAGAGAGAGAAAGAGAGAGAGAGAGAGCGAGAGAGAGAATCCCCTGACTGACTCTGAAAAGAGCCAGTAGGGCTTTTTTATTAGACTAAGCAAAGGAAATGACATCAGGGTAGGGTATGCTGGCTGAGGGGTAGGGCATATAGGTCAGCATTATCTGGTCATTAGAGTTATCTTGAGTAATGGGCCACCTGGTGGTCTGGCCAGTGGCAACAAGACTATAAATCAATTGTCCAACATTCCTTACTGAGGGGGGACACTGCAACCTTGCTTATCTCCTAAGGCCAGTTCCTAGAATTATTTAAGTAAAAGGACTATAGCAGTGAGGTAGTAGTGTGGGTTTTATGATCAGTGGGAATACATGAAAGAATGCTCTAGTAGGGGTAAGCTGAAGCCAAGCCCCATCTCTACTCAGTCTCATTTCCAAATACAGAAAATATTTATATTCTATTCTAACATTTCATTAATAATTTGATTGGTAAGGGATTCTAGGTTGGAAATAATTTTTCTTCACAATTTTGCGTTGGTCACTTAACATCCAGCATTTGTGAGATGTCTGAAGCTATTCTGATACTGAATATTTTGAATTTGTCCTGTTTTGATTTCCTCTCTGAAAATTTGAAGAATCTTTTCTTTGTCCCTAGTGTTATAAAATTTCATAATTGGTCAGAGTTTATCTTTTATGCTAGGATACTTCCCAGGCACTTTTATCAATAAACACATACTTCTCTTTGAAGGAAAATTTCATAGACTATTTTGTTGATGATGTTTTTCCCTTTGTTTTCTTTGTTTACTCTTTCTAGAATGCCTATTATCTGAACGGTGAACATCCTGCATCAGCACTCTAACTTTCTTACCTTTTCTTTCCTATGTTCTATTTCCTTGTCTTTTCCCTCCTTTCTCTGGAAGATATTCTAATCTTTATTTCTTATTTTTTCCCACTGAATTTATCATTATGATATTCTCCGTATAGGAGAAAAAGTGTTTTTTTTTTTCCTATTCTTTCACTCAACAACAAGCAACATGGAAGATTTCTGTGACCAAATATGTGGGGATGTTTCCCCACCAACAAGCAAGGAATCAGTTCTGCAGTGGATGCTAACTGAGTGTCCTCTAATTCAATTCAATTCTTATACTATCTACCTAGAGAGAGCATCAGCTCCCACAGGCTGAGGGTTCAGTCCCTCAAGATGCCCACCCTGCCACCCTGCCTTAGATGCCAACCACAAGCTCCAGGTTGTTTTACCTGTACTTCTAATCAACTGGGTATAAAAGTGGGTTCCCACAATCTTTTCCTTGGATTTGATTAATTTGCTAGAGTGGCTCACAGAACTCAGGGAAACATGTTTACCAGTTTATTACAAAGGATATTGTAAGGGAAACAGATGAAGAGATGCATGGGTAAGGCATGTGGGAGGGGACGTAGAGCTTCCATGCCCTGTGTTCAGCTATCCAGAAACTCTCTGAATCCAGTCCTTTTTTTTTTAATGGACACTTCATTACATAGGCATGATTGATTATCACTGACCATTGGTGATCAACTTAACCTTGAGCCCCTCTTCCCTCCCCAGAGGTTGGGGGCTGGGGCTTAAAGTCCCAACTCCATAATCCTGCCTTGGTCTTTTCAGTGACCAGCCTCATCCTGAAGCTACCTAGGGGCTGCCAACCATCAGTCAACTCATTAGCACATAAAAATACCTCACATTTGGAGATTTTAAGGATATGAAGTGTTGTATGCCAGAAAATAAGGACAAAGACCAAATATATATTTTATAATATCACAAATATATTTTTCCAGAGTTTAAAAAATGCCTCTTTTACCCCATTCTTTTTCATGGATACAACATTTTCTTCTCTTTTTCAGAGTATATTAATGGTAGATTTTTTGAGTGTTCTCTCTGCAGAGTCTCTGTTCCCTTTAAGTTACTTTTTCTATTGATTTGGTCTCTATCTTTTATTTTAGAGGAATTCTTCAGATGTTTGTTGCTCTTTGGTTGTTTCCACCTTTGGGCTACATAACCTATTTAAGCTCTGAGATCTCAGCTCACCATTCTTAAAACTATGGTAGTCTGTTGGGCCCAATTTAGGAAACGCTGATCTATGTCATACTAAATGAACTTTATCAGACCAGGCATAGACAAAAGTGAAACAGACAAAATGTGCTTTTCATAAGCCCTACCTCCCTCTCCCTTCCTTAGGTTTCTTCCATAACTCTAATCCTCCCTCACCCTACTTCTTTCCTTCAAAATCTCTCTCTTGTCTGTTTCCCTCATTAAAACTGATTCAAGTAAAAAATCTATCATTTTATTCATACACAGTATGAATGACTGATAAGACTAAACATATTCTCTGGTATTTGGTTGTTAAAACAAGAACAAAAGTATTTCTTGGGGATAAACCAAAGGAATAAACTCTGAGGATATAACTTAGTCAACATCAATGCAAATCAGCAGAAAGGTGTAAGAAACAGACAACTCCCTAAATAAAAGCAAACCTCTTATTCTACACAGTTGGCAATGGAGGGAGAATCTCCACAATGGATGACGTAGCAGAACCCTCATAATCCCAACTGTTGCCTTCTATGATTCACCTTCCCCTTAAGGATTTTCCTCTAATTATCCCTGTAACCATTCCTAGGCCATGAAGAGGCGAAGGTTTTTCCCTTTGGACACTGAGGCCCAAAAATGGAAGCCTGTTCTTCTTTGACATCCCAAACAGGGCAAAGTGACACCATTATAGAAGATTTTATTAATGTCTAAAGAGAAATTAACAGAAACGTCACAAAACTAGATAATAAGGAGTATCAGAAGTGACCGTGGGTACTAGCCCAATCCTATCCTCATTTCTGTTCCCAGCATTCAGAAACATAGACTAGATAGTCTGATTCCTCTTTTTCTAAAAGCAAGAGATGAAGGCTCAGAAAGAAGCCATCTCCTCCTCTACTGAGTTAAGGTCTTTCTTCTAACAGAAGCTGCAGACTGGTAGAATATGGACTGATCCATAGATATATTTTGTTAGTTCTGTTCTACTTAAAAATCACTTAAAATTTAGTCATCAGCACTGAAATTTTTGAGATTGTATTTCAAAAAAGCAAAACCATTTTCCAGCATTGAACATATATGCATACACAGACACCCCCTCCCCTTCAACACACAGTCTGCAGATTCTAAACATCTATACAGAAATTTCTAACAAGAAAAACCATCTTAGAGACCTAAATTCTAAGATTTTATTAATATAGCACAAGAAAACGGGAGAAATAATACAGCAGTGTGAATTAGCTGAAAGACAGTTGAGGCTGGGCATGGTGGCTCACGCTTGCATATCCCAGCACTTTGGGAGGCAGAGGCAGGTGGATCACTTGAGGTCAGGAGTTCGAGACCAGCCTGGCCAACATGATGAAACCCCATCTCTACTAAAAAGACAAAAAAAATTAGCCGGGTGTGGTGGCGCATGCCTGGAATCCCAGCTACTTGGGTGGCTGAGACAGGAGAATCACTTGAACCTGGTAGGCGGAGGTTGCAGTGAGCCAAGGTTGTGCCACTGCACTCCAGCCTGGGTGACAGACTAAGACTCCGTCTCAAAAAACAGAAAGTAAAAAAAGACAGTTGAATCAGAAGCCAGGAGAGTTCCATTCTAGTCCCAGCCATGACACAATTAGTTTTGTGACCTCAGCAATATCATTTAGTCCTCTAGGTCTCCATTTCCTTATCTATCCTATACAGAGAATGAAATTAAATTATATTTAACAGACCTTCTTGGCTATAATCTTGTAATTCAAGGGCAAAATTTTATCAAAGTACTCAAGTCAGATAAATCAAAGAAAACACTATAATTATACAAAGAAATAAATCTGACACGGTAATATTTTTGTGTTAAAATTTATCTAGAACTGACAAATATGCATGCATAAAATGAGAGCCAAACAAATATATGAAGTACCAGATTAAATTCTGCTTCAACTAGGAGAAAAATGTTTTTCTTGTAGATAGCAAACTTAAATGGATCAACTGGAAACCATACACAATTCTTCCAAAACAACCATATAAATTTAACGGATTTAAACTTATACACAAAACATTAGTTAAAACATTAATCATTTACTAATGCCCTCTCATTTATGTTCTCCAATGAATTTGCATTAGTCTTACAAGAGATAAAACAGGAAGCAAAATAAGCCTTCCTGAGCTTTCTGTGATTATAATGTTGAGTGACAGATTCTGTAGAATGAACAATGGACAATGGAATAGTCTGGCCAAATTAAACACTTTCTGTAAGCAGACTGAGCCTTTATCTCAGCCAAGTAATCATTTTTCTTCCATGAAAAATAACTAAAATCACGCCAAGTTGTATCACTGCCACAGAAATTGGAATGGCTTCAACATCCCATAAAAACAATGACACTTAATGAATTGCTTCAGTTAAATCATGCCGGAGAGAGAAAATAGATGAACAATTTCATTGTGTTATGTGTGGTCCAAAAGATATGATCAACACAGGTAATCACTGACTCCCTTCATGCCAGAATTACCACCTGAGATAAACACACCTGGATTCCCACGAACTTTCTTGGTTTATGCTGACTAAAATGAAGTGATTAATGCCATTAAGAAGCAAGCTAAAATAATAGGTTCAAAAAGAGCAGCACCAAATAGTGTGAAACACACAGACAAAAGACAAAATCAGCAAGTAAGACTGAACCAGTTTGTACTACTTGAGACATCATTTTAAAAGAATTTAGACCACCACAAAACAACATACTGAATTACACAAGGTACTGATCTACAAAAGAAATCTAAAATATTTAATACCTCAGAAATATTTGTGAATCCAGTGACCTTGTACATGTTTTCTTAGAAGTTTAAAAAATATATATATTGTATTTTTTCTTTGTATTGCTCTTTAGTTTTTCCTTCTGTCTGCAGTGAATACAGAATTAAGAGATAATGTCCAATGTACCACAAATAGAATATAACATCATAAGTACAGAATTTCAAGTTTACACTAAGAATGAATGTATGAATGTGATCACTATATTGTTCTGCATGTAAAACACTGTTAATCTTTTTCAGAGACTGGGTCTCGCTTTGTCACCCAGGCTGGAGCGCAGTGGTGCAATCACAGCTCACTGTGGCCTTTAACTCCCCGGGCTCAAGCAGTCACCTACCCTGGCCTCCCAAAGTGATGGGATTATAAGCATGAGCCACTGAGCCCAGCCTAAAACACTGTTTAAAGACACATGTATAAAAGATGTTTCTGTCCGGGCGTGGTGGCTCAAGCCTGTAATCCCAGCACTTTGGGAGGCCGAGGCGGGCGGTTCACGTGGTCAGGAGATCGAGACCATCCTGGCTAACACCATGAAACCCCGTCTTTACTAAAAATACAAAAAAATTAGCCGGGCATGGTGGCGAGCACCTGTAGTCTCAGCTACTCGGGAGGCTGAGGCAGGAGAATGGCGTGAACCCGAGAGGCGGAGCTTGCAGTGAGCCGAGATCGCGCCACTGCACTCCAGCCTGGGGGACAGAGCGAGACTCCCTCTCAAAAAAAAATAAAATAAAATAAATAAAAGATGTTTCTAAGAGTGCAACTTGGGTGTCTGATTGAGAAGAGAGTTGTTTCAATGAATGAAGGTGTCCACAACACAATTCTGCATGTGACATACTCTGAAAAGACACACATATAAAATATGTTTCTAAAATATTCTAAAAAATAATAAAGTTTGCACTAAAAAAAAATTAAATACAAAGAACTGAAGTTCAAATATACCTAATACAGAAATATTTTCATTCTGATAGATAAATAACATACATCTGACTATTGATTACTCTGTCTTAGATGTCAAAGTCATTTATTATCTTTGGTTTCATCAGCTGTTTTGTACTTACATTTTAATATATGGGTTCAGTTGTCTGAGAATGGGGTGGGGGAAGGTTTACAGTTTCCTCTTTCATTCCCTTGTTCAGAAGAACTCTTGTTCGCTCCTCATGGCAGATGACGTGACCTCTCAAGATAAATTTAAACAGATTCTTCCTCTATTTCTTTGTTTCATATTTTCCATGGGTTGGAAAAAAATGGTTAGTTTTAAAGCTGTGAAATATATAAAGGATACTGTCATGTAATATCCTTAATTATGTTCATAATTTTAAAACAAGATTTGCCACATAAAAGCTACCCGTGCATAATCAAGATTTTCCTGTGTTAACACATTTTCACTGCAGGATTGCTTCCCTATACATGCTAAGTTGAGAAGCTGAGGTTTTTTGTTTTTGTTTTTTTTTTTTGAGACAGGGTCTCACTCTGTCACCCAAGCTGGAATGCAGTGGTGTGATCTCAGCTCAACCTCCACCTCCCAGGTTCAAGCAATCCTTCCACTTCAGCCTCCTGGGTAGCTGGGACCACAGGCCCACAGGCGCATGCCACCACGCCTGGCTAATTTTAGAGATGGGGTTTCACCATGTTGCCCAGGCTGGTCTTGAACCCCTGAGCTCAAGTAATCTGACCACCTCGGCCTCCCAAAGGCTGCGGTTACAGGCGTGAGCCACGGTGCCCAGCCTGGGGCTTCTACTTTTTTTTTTTTTGTTTTTTTTTTTAATAGCAAAGCCATTGCAATAGTCGCTCCAGAAAATGTCTTTGCTATGATCTTAACAGTGTTTGACAGCCTTAAACCTTCTTTGTTCCTTGATCCTGATGGACTCTGTAAATCATTGTCTGGTACTAAAACAATTGTCAGCTCAAACGTCAGGAGCCCTAAACAACCCAAAGAGACAAACTAAAAGAGAAGTAAGTTCTGAGGTTTATATTTTTAAAGGAAACCTTCAATGAAGCATTTCTCAGTCTCTTCCACCAGAGTATGCTGAAGGCAGAGGATAGTCAAAAGAGTCTAGGGGACAGACCGACTTACGCCCGAGCCAGAGATTTCTTTGAAGTCACATGTTTCATCTTAAAAATTCATTTGAATGGTTAATTCTACGCCATATTTGTATTAATACAAATTTTAAGCAATTTACCAAGTTATATAACTTTTCCTCCAAATAGTCAACTAAATTGATGCTTGAGAAGATGCACCATGTTTGCTGGGCACAATGGCTCAGCTGTAAATCCCAGCACTTTGGGAGGCTGAGGCAGGTGGATCATTTGAGCCCAGAAGTTCAAGACTAGCCTGGGCAACATGGTGAAATCCCATCTCTACAAAAAATACAAAAATTAGCTGGGGCATGGTGGTGCACGCCTGTGGTCTCAGCTACTCAGGAGGCTGAGGTGGGAGGATGGCTTGAGTCCAGGAGGTCAAGGCTGCAGTGAGCCGTGACTGTGCTACAGCACTCCAGCCTGGGTGACAGAGTGAGACCCTGTCTCAAAAAAAAAAAAAAAAAAAAAGATGCACCATGTTTGTCTTGGAGCTTTTAGTACTTCCCACACCCAACCACAGCTATGTACTCCCTGGATGTTCATATAACTCGGTATGATGCACAGGGACATTGAATTTAATTACAGGTTGAATACTTTCTATTGAGCTCTTCTCCAACTTATCATGACCTGGGTGTGTTTCCTTATTTCAACATTGTTCCATTTTTTTTTTCCAGTTTTCCAAGATCAGCTTGGACTTAATTTCTTCCAAGAGTCTTCTCTGGTTTCTGACAATGATTCTCCTTTCTCATCTCCTATAGCACAACTTGTTTGCTTCACACATTTTTCACTTGATCATATATGATCCTGTACTAGTTCTATTTATATGTTTTGTCTTGATTCACAATAATTTCACAAATTTCTTAAGGATAATTCTCTATGTGTTTCATGTTTACTGCTACATAAAAAACCACCACAAAACTTAGTGACTTAAAACAGCAACAATTTACTGTTTCTCGTGATTCTGGGGGTCAACAATTCTCAGCTGGGCTGGGCTTAGCTGAGCAGTACTTTGGCTTGTCCCATCTGGGGTCACTGATGTGACTATAGTCATCTGGTAGCTTGACAGGGGCTGGAGGGACTAAGATATCCACACTTAGTCCATGTCTGGGGCTTGGTGCTGGCTGTTGGCTGGGCCTCCCTGTGTGGTCTTTCAACTTTTGTTAGTCTAGTCCAGATGTTCTTTCATGGTGGCAGGGGTGTTCCAAGACATGAATGAAGAAGCTGCAAGGGATTTGAGGCCTTGGCTCCAGAACTTGCACAATTTCATTCCTGTGACATTTTATTTTCAAAGCAAACCACAAGGCCACCCTAGATTTAAGGGGTGGGGAAAAAATACTCCACCTCTTGATGGGAAAAGCTGCAAAATATTGTGGCCATGTTTTTCAATCAGCCACATCACACATTCTCTTTCTTCTGTCAATTTAGCAGCAAGTGTCATAGCGAAGGCACGTACTAGATATTAGCTGATGTGAACTCAGTGTTCTGGTGTTTTCATTTCATCCAGCTTGAGACTATATCCTCAGGATAAGAGTAGATTTAAAATAAAAAAATTAACCTTGGTAATATTGATCTTTAACTCATTACTTGGACTGATTTTCTCTTTAAAAGTTGCTCAGATCCAAGCACACATTTCTTATTTCAAAGGAATAACTGTACCTTGAACAAACAGGTTCATGCTTTGAAGACTGACAATAAATTGAAAATAGTTGTTGTCCATGGGATTAGGTGCTATGGGTATCAGAGAGCTTTGTTCACTGGTATATTTGTTTATTGGCCAAATACTCACCCAATGCATGCCCTGTGTCAGTCTCTGTACTATTTGCCCAACATGCATAATTGAGTAGAGAAGATGGATATACAGTGGATGATTATAACACAATGTGGCTGATAATTGCAATGACAGTTAAATGCACAAGATATAATGAAAACACATTAAGAGACATAAAATAAAATGTTTACCAATTCAGTTAGAAACTTACAATTGGGTTGTGTATAAGACACACATGAATCTCCTAGTTGCCATATTTTATACACACACACACACACACACACACACACACACATATCAGTATTATGTAGCATTATTAAAGCCTTTTGAGGATGGTGAAAATACACATAAAAAGAAAACTTCCATTAAAACCATGGAATGGGCATCTGTTATTTTTCCCTGCCCGGCACTCATTCGCCTTTCTGGTAGTGACAGCACCTTGATTCCCTACCTGCTCTTTCCTCAGCTCTTAGTCCACAAGATGGGGATAGAGCCAACTCTACCCTAATTTCTCAAGCTGAGCATGTAATCCAGGCCTGGCCAATCAGATCACTGCATTCTTATAGTCTGAGTGACTTGTTCAGGAATAGATATATGACCCAAGAAGAGCTAGTGAGACCAATTCCCAGGACTTCTGTGAAGCCACCATTAGAGAAGAATCCCTCTTTTCTCTGTGGCTACCCGACAGAATGGCTGTAAGACTTGGGCTGCTGGAAGCCATGACCAGGAGCCTGAGAATAAAGCCAATTCTAAAGGAAAGGGCTGAGACACAGCAGAAGGAAGGCTGATGACATTTGATCCTTTGAATCCATCCATGCTGGACCTAACTGCCTAGGCTTCTCCAATATGGTCACATTTGCATTCTCTCTCACCACCTCCCACTTCTTCTTCAAAGTATTAGAGTTGGGTGTTTGCTGCTTGTCACCAAAAAGCCCTAATATATAGTACAGAAGGAACAAAACTCAAGAAGTAGGTTTGAGGGGTTGTATAGGGGTCATAAGAAGGCCAGCATTACTGAAGCTAAGGGCCCATGTGGGAAGCAGTGGGAAACATGATGTGATATAGTAGAATGAGCCCACTAGATGGTTAGGAGTCTTGACATCCAAAAGCATCCAGAGGTGACAGCATAGTCAATTAAGTAGATAAAAGAGAGCTGTATCATGAGTACCTAGCAAAAATATTAGGAAGCCATAGCAGCACTGACTGAAATCAACAGCTTGCAGGCAGAAAGAACAACTAGGAGGAAACTCCAGTAATCAAGAGATGAGGGAGGATCCATACCTAGACCATGGTACTGCCAATCTGAGAAGTATGAAGAGAAGAATCAATAGGAATTAGGGACTCCTCAAGGACAGGAAGGACAATGATTAATAAAAAGAGACAAAAATTAACTGCTAATCAAAGACTTGGCTAAATTTGCCCAAACTTAATCTATAGATAGTTGCTTCACAGCATTCTCAGTATGCAACAATAGAATGTAAAATGGTACCCATTACTTAAAGACTTTAAAGGCCTTTATAACTCCCAATTAAATATTGGAATAAATTAAATTGTTTACCCTTTGACAGAGGGCTTAGAGTATGTAAAATAAAACAAAACTACAACAAAAATGAAAAAAAAACCCTTTTACCTTCAAATGGGGCTGAAGGCTATCGTGTGTGACTTGAGTCTGGTTTTATGCTCACTGGGCAGTATTTTTAACAATGAAATCTAATAGTAGCATTCATTCTGGAAAACTGGGATATGTCAGGGCTGAATAGATTTTGTATATATTAATTAAAACTGTAGTTTTAACTTTTTTAAACAAGATATCAAACCCAAATTCAGGAGGCTGCTTATTGTTTCTTTAAATCTGCCAAGGAATCAGGATATCTCCTCATACTTCCTCCCTTGGGCTTGTGGGTTTGAGGTCCTTCCTGTCTCAACCACATATTCTTTCATCTAACTTTTTGAGTTCCTATTAGAGAAAACTTTTTTTTACTGTTAGTTTTTCTGAGAAACTTCAGTACTTTATTTTTTCCTTAGACCATGGGGCACCATCAGAGCAGCAATGAAGGCTGACACATCAGGTGAGAATCTACCTCAAGGAAAGGGCAATAAAGAGTCTTTGGAGATATAGGTTATTGGAAATTGTGCCTGGTGTTCTAATCTTAGTATAAATTAAAGGTAATTGTACTAATTAGCAGGTTGTTATGTCTACTATCTTAAACAATGTTTTACAACTACGGAATTTGATTGAAATAAGTTTTGGGGCTCTCTGAGACCTGACCAAAGGAAGAAAAACAAGTGCCCCCAAAGCTCTGAGAAGCACAGACAGGTGACAGCCTCATTAGGTCAGCTCAAAGGGATGCATCAGCTCTCCTCAGGCAATCCCTGCCCCTTCAGTGGCCATCAGCCTGAAGCACTGCCCCTTTCACATAATTCACATGTTTGACACAAGTACATGGAATCCATGTGTAAGGTTTACAGCTTGGCTGAAGTAAAAAAGAAAAACTATTTATTCAAAAGGGCATGTTTAAACAAAGGCTCCGTTGGAATTGCTAACATATGTAAATATCTAATGCTAGAATTTCTTTTTTAACTCCAGTCTTTCCCAATCACAAAGAAAAGCACACTTTTCAAAATGAAATCTACAAGTAATTATAATGAACCTAGATTATTTGTTTTTCATGGGAAAATTAGGTAGCATACAGAATACCTCACAACTGTTCTGGTATAATGTATGCATCACTTTGCTGCCAACAAGATGGGCTTTCACTAACACGAATTGCCCTCAGACCCTGCCTCAAGTCCCTGAGGACCATATGTCTGTCATTTCTGGGAGTGGCCTCTGGGTGGCAGTGTTATTTTCAGTTTGCACTTTGCTCATCACGTCAGTTTTCTAAGTTAAAGTTGCAAGAGACTCAATCATCTCTTTCAACAGACTGAGTGTTCTCTATTCCTTACTTGCTCTGTGGCTTACAGCCTCAGTTTCCTCCTGTATAGAAGGAGCATTCTATTCTAGATGAGGAAAGTAGTTGCAAGGATTAGAGATGATAATGATAACAACACGATTATATACTGAAAACCTGTGATATTTTAAGCTCTATGTAGGAACTTTACATGTAATATCTCACTAAATCTTTCCAACTTCCCTATAATGTTTGTGTTACCGCTTTATCTTGAGACATAAAAAACTTAAAGCTCAGAACAATCAGGAACTTAGCCTAAGTTCCATGGCAACTCAGTGGTGAAATTGGGATCTATCTTTCTAGCATTATAATACAAGTAAAGTGCCTAGCAAATTGTCTCATGCTAATAAATACTAGTAATTTTAAAACATTTGTATTATTGCTACAAGTATTAAATTGTATAGCTGATGTCTAAAACACATAAAAATTTAAAAATATTGTTTCTGGGATGGCTTAAACCGATATAAAAATCTGTTATGACGTGTTTGTTCAGGTGCCTTAATTTTCACCCAAAGAACTTTTGAGCAGAGAATGCATGGCCTAAGAGAAGCTTTGTGAGTAAAAGTTTATAGTCAATTAAGTGTGGAAAATGCTTATATTTTATTCTTCTTCTGGAGACTTTCAAGAAACAATAGCATATTAAAGGCTCCGAGATGTCTTGCCATAAAGAAAACTATAATCTAGTTTAACCCAAAGTTTTCACATGTACTTAACAAAGAAATTCCTTCCTCACATAATATTTATAACCATCTCTTTAAATCAGTGTTCTGCAGAAAACACTTAGGAGGAATGAATCTATGGAAATTCCTCTTCCGAGCTGAGCATGTAATGTTTTGACTAGTCTTTTTCTGCCAACCCAGCTCCCTGCTGTAGATGTGCTGTGAAATGTCGAGGCTGACAATAAACTTCTTCTGGCACTTAACTATTAAACCGAAGTTTTTCTTAGGCTTTTCTCACAACAGCACAACATTCTTTCTACTTCTCTCCATCCTACAGTCACAGGTAACCATTTCCTGAAACTCCTGTTCACAGTATTTCTTAGCTCCTCTTACAGAGCAGACCATAACTTCTGTACCATTCGATGGCTTCCAAACTTTTGTTAACTCTACTTTAAAGCTTATTGTCACTTAATTTGTCATGTGCTTATGCATCCACAATCACATTATAAGTTATTTAGTGTCTGGAACTGTGCACTGCACTTCCCTGTGTCCCTAAAGTAGCATGACAGTGCATTGCTCATTCATTCATTCATTCATTCATTCAACAAACATGCACCAAGCATCTTCCCTGTGCCAGGCACTATTCTAAGTGCTGGAGTATAGCAGTAAACATGACAATCAACGTCATTAGTAATCCGGTGGAAATTTATTTGTATGGGGAAAGATAGATAAGTAAATATTCAAGGAGGTACATAACTCATGTCAGATAAGGGTGAGTGGTATGAAGCAGTTAAGGGCATGTGAATGAGGAAAGGAGGAGAGGCTGCTTGAGCTTGGAAAGGCCTCTCTGAAGAGGAAATATTTAAGCCCGGTTAAGTGCCTAGTAAAGGCTCAGAGACAGGCTGAGTTTGCTAAATTAGAGGAAAAGCAGGAAGGCCAGTGTGACTGTGGCAAACATGGTAAGTCAGGGGAGCAAGATGAGATCAACTCAGAGTGGGTGGTGTGCACCACATTGTGGTAAGGAATTTGGACTTTATTTTAAGATGATACAGAAGCCACAGAATGTTTTAGACATGGGATTGAACTAAGCATGATTTTATAACTTTAAAAGACAATTCTGACTACAGGGTAGAAAATAAAATGTCAGGAGCCAAGGAAGGGGCCAGGGAGGCCAGTTAAAGGTTATTTTAGTAGGCAAGGCAAGATATGATGGTGATTTGGACACGGTGATGGCAGGAGAGCAAAGGAAGTGGGCAGATTCTGGCTATACTTTTGCACGCGAGACAGTGGGACTTGCCAGCTTGAGCAAACAGATGAACAGAAATATTTCCAAGATGCAGATATTTACTAAATGCAGATATTTCCTAGGTAAAGGTTATCTGGGAGACTAGTAAGCCTGGGAGAAAAAGTAGGGGACAGAATCAAAAGTTCTTTTTCACTGCATTAAGGTTGGAAGTCTGTAAGATATCTAGGAATACATGTCAATTTAACCTGATTCTGGAGATCACAGGAAAGGGCAGGGATATATATAATTATATTTGGGAGTTACTGGTACAAAACTAGTATTTAAAACCATACGACCAAGCTCGGCATGGTGGTGCTTGCCTGTAATCTCAGCACTCTGGGAGGCTGAGGCAGGAAGATGGCTTGAGTCCAAGAGTTGAGACTATCCTGGACAACATAGTGAAACCCATCTCCACAAAAAAATACAAAATATTAGCTGGGCCTGGTGGTGCATGCCTGTAGTTCCAGCTACTTGGGAAGCTGAGACAGGAGGATCACTTGAGTCCAGGAGGTTGAGGCTGTAGTGAGCCATGATTGCACCACTGCACTCCAGCCTGGGTGACAGAGTGAGATCCTGACTCAAATAAATAAATAAATAAACCCATGGGACCACAAGAAATCATCTAAGGAGAGAATGTAACCCCAAGGCACCTCCAAATTTGGAAGTAGTATAGGCTGAGAAAGGGAAGCTAAAATGGTAAACAGGAGAACATGGTGTCAAGAAGTCCAAGAGAATAAAGTATAGCTAGCATGAAGGAGTGGTCAGCTGGGTCAAAATCCAAAGATTTAGATGTGGGCAGAAAAGGAATCTTTGGATTGCCAACATGGAGGCAGCAAGAGCAGGGCCAGCAGAGTGGTGAGGACTGAAGATGGTAAGAGTTCACTGAAGAAAGGGTCAGAGAAATAAGGCAGTACTAATGGGGACACAAAGTCAAGAGAGGGTTTCCCTCCACCCCCAGAAGGGAGATCCTGGAGTTTACCTAAATAGAGTCAGAAGGAGAGGTTAATAGTATAGAAAAGAGAAGGACTAATTGAACATGTATATCTTTATCTAATTATTGTCCTTTTTTTTTTTTTTTTTGGATACAGGGTCTTACTCTATCACCCCGGCTGGAGTGCAGTGGTGTAATCATAGCTCACTGCAACCTCTAACTCTTGGGCTCAAGTAACTCCTCCATATCAGCCTCCTGAGTAGCTAGGACAACAGGCATGCACCACTGCACCTGGCTAACTTTTAAATTTTTTGTACGTTGCCCAGGCTAGTTTCAAACTTGTGACCTCAAGTGATCCTCCCGCCTCGGCCTCCTAAAGTGCTGGGATTACAGGTGTGAGCCATGGTGCCCAGCCTAATTAGTGTCAATTTTTGGATGTATTTGATTTACGTTAGGCTGAATAGGGAGTTGTTTTCCCAATCCCCAGGACTTAAAACCGGGTGGTAATAATAATAAGAATATTAGTTTAACACGTATTTAGTGATTATGTGTGGGGCATTGCTTTATGGACTTTACATATATATTAGCTCCTTTATTCCCCCAAATAACAACTGCCCCCATTCTACATTTGAGGAAAATGAGACACAGAGAGGTTAAATAATTTGTCTAGTGTCATGTAGACAGTAAGCATCAGAAACAGGATTCTCACTCAAATAGTCTGACTCTGAACTCTTAACTACCAGGAGAAAGTGGTAGGAGGTTTCACAGCCGCTGGCACTTCCTCAGTTCAGGACATGTTTTATGAATCACCTCCTGTCAGTTACCACCTCTTTTCCCAAGGGTATAAGGTTATATAAAAGGATGAAAGGGTATTGTTTTTCAATCCTTTCTCTGGTCAGGACAGTCTTCCAAGCTGGTCAAACCAATTAGATGTGTGCAGCAATTCTTTCAAACCAGTTCCTTTTAGGATTTTTATAAATATCTACTACACATAAACAATTTTTTTTCACAAAAAATTTCCTTCTGTGTACATATTTTGATACACATTTACACATTATTTTAATGCTATATAGTATGCAATTATTGGTTGGGGTGTTCCACAATGTACTTAACACTTCAACTATGTATGTGTGTACACTTATGTGTTTATAGAAGAAATCCATGTTCTTGGCAGAAAAATCTGAAAATACAGCTTAGCAGAAAAAATTCCTTCATTTCATCATTTAATAAATATTTACTGAGTGTCTATTTTGTGTCATGCAAACTTACGAATCATGCTTTCAAATACCATTAAAAGCATGAAGAAAATGCAAAAGAAAAACTGCAAGATACAAAATATGCAGAAGATATGTGGAAAAATTAGTAAAACACAAATCACACACATGACGAGAGAGACAGAGGGAGAGGAAAAGATTCCAGAAGTAAGTATATCAAACGTAGGCAGTAGTTATTATTTCCAGGTGGTAGGATTAGTATGATTTTTATTTTCTTCTGCTTGCCTTTTTTTCCCCGTGTTTTTTTATAATGAACATATATTACTTGAATACTCAGAAAGTTTGTATTTCAATATTAAGTATTTCTACATATTATGTTAAGAGCACATGCATTACCAGACATCTGATTTGCTGCTAAAGTAGAATATATGAAGGTAGTAACGCATGGAGTGTATGTGGACATTTTTATTGTTTCCATTACTCAATAATAAGAAGCATTGTTTAAAGATGTGTGTGTATGTGGCACTACACAATTATCTATGCTCATTTGGACAGGGACAACCAACATGACCCTTTACTTCTTGCCAATAGATCTACCTAGCAGAGAAACAATGAGATCAAAGACACATTTTCAAGGAAAAACAAACCCTGAAAATTCAGATACTTTCTTCCGTCTCTTTGTCAAGGCTACCCTTTAAGATGTCTCCTTTCTTTCCTTTTTAACTTTTTATTATGTAAAATCTCAAACATACTAAAAAATATGTATAACTGAGTATTCAAAAATATATACAAGAAACCCCATGTTCCCATCACCCAATTTCAATAATTATCAACAGTATTAAGAACTTTCTTTCCAACTGCTTATCTTGCACCAGTAAGAAATATAAACTTATGAACAGAAAAACCATCTTTATAGAAAACGATTTTAATCTTAAATTTAAAAAATTGCTTTTAGGCCAGGCGCAGCGGCTCACACCTGTAATCCCAGCACTTTGGGAGGCCAAGGCAGGTGGATCACGAGGTCAGGAGATCAAGACCATCCTGGCTAATACGGTGAAACCCCGTCTCTACTAAAAATACAAAAAATTAGCTGGGCGTGGTAGCAGGTGCCTGTAGTCCCAGCTACTCAGGAGACTGAGGCAGGAGAAAGGCGGGAACCCGGGAGGCAGAGGTTGCAGTGAGCCGAGATCCCGCCACTGCACGCCAGCCTGGGCAACAGAGCAAGACTCCGTCCCCCGCCCCCCAAAAAAATTGCTTTTAAAAGCCTCTGCATGTAACCTTGAAACTTCCTCCCCAAAGAGCTTCTGAGGCCTGCTGATGCAGTTACTACCTTTCTTATGCATTTGCCCTTCTTCCATAATAGCTACTTGAATGCATTATTATACTTAGAAAATGGAAGAAGCAAAATAAAGAAAGCAGCAAGCTGGGAAGTGTGAAGCCATCAGACAGAACTGGGGGAAACAGTGAGCACTCCCCCAGGGAAAGTGTGGCCAGGAGGGCAGCCTCAGTATGAGCTGAGGCTGTGGCCTCATGATGGGGAGGCTACTCTCATTTAATGAGAGATCACAGGCAAGGCCAGTGGAGTGCCATAAAACTGCCACCTGGTTATACCTACCCAAACTGTTGTCACTGCTCGTGGGCCAGGAAGCAATTCTATCCCTCAGCTTCTTTGTACAGGAGTTGTCTGACTTTGCAGAAAGATCTACTTCCTCCTTCCTAATTTCTCGAACAAGCTGCATGCGGCATCTTGTGAAATCCTGAAAGGAAATCTTCCCATTTTCATCTGCTCCCAACTGGTTCATGATCTCAGCCACAGACTCTTCCATATTCAGCTGGCGACAGACCATTAGCAAGTCATTTCTGCAGAAGGGGTTGAACAGAAGAAAATGTGTTATGAGTGACATTTAAGCTAGAGAAACTGGTTAATGAAAAAAAAAAGGTATTTCTTAAATATATTCACATACTAGACCTATTTTCAACTTTCTCATTGTTTCTAGAAAAGTGATAAGTGTATGAAAAAAACGTGTTCCATTTGGGTTATTCTAAACAAAAACTCTATTATTTGGAATGGTGAGGCAACTTTTAATCTTTTGTTCTCTTTTTCTTCCTGTTTCCACACCCTTCTCTCCCTTTCTTTGTTTTGAAATTGAGGATTATAAAGTTCTTTCTTTACACCTGAAGAGCATAGCACTGTAATCTCACTGTAAGATAAAGTTTCAGAACATAGAACAGACATTATTTCTACTCTTGGCAGAGTCCAAAACCTAGTCAAGTTATAAAAGAACCAACAGAGATTTTAACAAGCTTGATTTTCAGCTTTCTGGACCAATCAGCTAACTTTAGTACTTGTTTAAAACATCATTTAATCTTGACTTTCGTGGTTCAATGCTTAGCTACCTTTGGTTTTTCCTGCTTTTGAGTATTTTCCACCTTCCCACAAGCAATCAGTGAGCCCTAAGACTAAGAGCAGGGATCAAAATCTCAATGTCTTCCAGGACTAGATTTAATGTAAATGTGTGCAGTGGATAGATCTAAGATAAGAGGGCTTGGTGGGGTCTGTGGCTGGACTAGAGAAGTGTATCCAGCCTATAGAGTCTCAAATTTAAAAAAAGAAAAATAAAAAAGAATTTCAAAAAGAATAACAAGAACAATAACCCTATGCTGACCAAGAACATTTATGTGGAGGACATCGGTTTGATCCCTGACATACAAGTCTTGTTCTTTTCTCTCTACCTAACCTCCTTTAGCAAATATTTTGCTCATATTCCTCCAACTGCAGGTTTCAACAAAGGTCAAAGGACTGTAGAATTTAAGTGCTGGAAGAGACATTAGAAATTTGTTCATTGTCACAAACAAAGCTAATTAGTGTGCCTGTCTCAACATACTACCAAAGTTCAGTTATCTGGAGAATATAACCAGTTTGATGTTTGCTGATACCTGAAACCTAATCATGCTAAGACCACTCTTCAAGTCACCCTTCACAAATTCTATCTCCTGGTCAATGTCACTATGGTCTCTCTCAAATTCCCTAGGCTCACAAAATTGTGGGCATTTTTAATATCTTCTCATTCACTCCTCCTTATCCCTAATTCTGTGCCCTGCACTCCCCTCCCCCACCTCTGCCCTTGTCCCCTTCCCCAAGTTTCCAGGGTCTGAGTTATCATCAAATTTAGGTTAGTCTTCTCCCCGAAATGCTTTTATACTTGCTCTTTATGGTGTTTCTAAATAAATGTAAAAGACTCCAAGACCTTTCAATTTATGCCAGGCCTATGCCACCAGCCTTTTTAGCTCATCACCCTGCTTCCATATGCTATCCCATTTTCATGTTTTATAAAGAATTTTTACACATAGCTACATGTTTTATCTTCTGTGTACATGTGTGTCTGTGTCCATATGTATATCATATATATATATATATATATGCCTCTGCATCTGTGTATACACACATACACATATACACATACACATATATTTGTAAAGTAGATGCATGAGGATAGGAATAAATATATACATGGAAGTGGGTATGGCAGGTTAAATTATTAATATTAGTCCTAATTTTTCATTATCCCACAGTAGTGTTATAAAAGTATACCCTTGCCTTGGTCTCAGGGCCAAGGACATTCATGGTAGGTGTGTCCTTTCCCATCCCTTAACTTCAGGCTTCACATCTAACTTGCTTTGGCCCCTCGGATATTACTGGACAAGTGCCTATACTGTTGAGCTTGTCCCCTTTTGCTTCAGTCATCATTAGGAGAAAAACATACCATGGTAGCCATTATCCCTGTATCTAGCCTGGGTCTCAAAACAAGCCACCCCAATCTATCTGAAGACTCATAGCTTAAGAAAAGTCATTCCAGCTGACCCCAAAATGTGTGATCAAAAGTAAGTTCTTATTGTTCATGCAAATTAAAGTTCATTCTTAAGCTCAGATTTTGTGATTTTTCTTCCATCAGTAGCTAATCGATAAACTGGAAAAATGTTTGTTTGGTTTTTAAAGTAATATTTTCATATAATATTTTCATATAAGACCTACCTGATATTCAGCCAGATTCATCCAAGAGTTAGGGATGATTAGGATTGCTAAAGCAGGAATACCAACAGAAAGAAAGGATCCTGCTTTTACTCTGAGTTCAGGGTTCAGATTATACTTTCTAAAATAAGGATTTCTTTTTTAGATATTTAGAGAATAGTCTTAAATTTAGGCTTAGCAAAAAATAAAGAGGTTTTCCAAATTCTAGAAGTTCATGTAATGTTAACATTAATATTCTCTGATTGGTAAAAATATGGTGTATTCATTTTTCCTGTCTGTGTATTTTCACTTTTCACAGTGTATTATACTACTTTCATAAATTGATATGTCATTGTAGGTTTAAAATGGGGATAGTAGTAGTACCTACCTCATAGGGCTGCTCTGAAAAGAAATGAAATAATACATAGAAAGCACTTAACATAGTTCCTGGCACATATTAAGTACTCAATAAACAGTAGCCATTATTATGGTTGTTTTATAATTGTTGATCATAGATCTTTCATAATACCCCAGTTTCATGATTAGGGCTTTAAAAATGAATTGTGATCTGCTCAGGGGAAAAGAATACTGAACGGAACTGACTACCTCACTAAGTGGTACAATCTGTCCACAGAGGCCCACCCTTCCTCCCTGCTGGCAGCCCACTTACATATATTGGGCACCCTGGTGAGAAACTCAGCTCTATCCAGGCTTGAGAAGCCCCATTCTACAAGAAACAGCTGCAAAGAAGTAACTGTGGTCTAGAAATACCAACTCAGAGTAGAATGTGTAACACTGAATTTTAATTTTAAACGTGTAGGCTGTTGAGAGGCTGATATAAAAGATCAAAGCCAAAATACATTCATTGCACTCTACCAAATTAAGTCAAATTGTAAGTTTTAAATAGAAGTACTAGTTTTTAAAAACTAAATTCAAGCTAAATTCTTTCAGTATAGAAATACAAAATTAACAATAATAACTAACAAGCCTGCAGGGGAATTACAATTATCCCCTGATATGGTTTGGATGTTCACCCTCTCCAAATTCCATGTTGAAATGTAATCTACAATGTTGGAGGTGGGGCCTGGTAGGAAGTGTTTGGGTCATGGGGGTTAATCCCTCATGAATGGTTGAGCACCATCCCCTTGGTGATGAGTGAGTTCTCTCCCTGTTAGTTCACACAAGAGCTGGTTGTTTAAAGAGGCCTGACACCTCCTCCCCCACCTTGCTCCCTCTCTTGCTATGTGACATGCTGGTTCCCCTTTGCCTTCCGCCATGATTGGAAGTGTCCTGAGGCCTTCACCAGAAGCAGATGCCAACATCATACTTCCTATACAGCTTGCAGAACAGTGAGCCAAAATAAACCTTTTTTCCTTATAAATTACCCAGCCTCAGGTGTTTCTTTACAGCCACGCAAGAATAGACTAACATGTCCCCATTTTACAGATTATGATATGACAGTTGAAAGAGTCAGAGACAGTATGAGGCACAGCCTGGAAATCTAAACCAAATCGGTCTGATTCTAGAGCTCTTGCCCTTTCCATGCTATCATCTAGCATCTCGGACATTAATAACAGGTACATTTTGGCATGAGAAAACAATTAGGGACAGCACTAACATGAGCAGCTTGATTATCAAAGGTCATGAATTAACAACGCTTTTATATCAAACCAGAAAATTACAATCATCTATACATGTGTTATCCTTCTATGTTACACATGAATGAGAATATAAAGTTACATTTTGTTACCAACAAGATGAGAAAACAAAGTTACAGGAGAGGAAGAAAATTATAAAAGCTCTCCTTTATATCAAGAGCTAAGTCTGGAGAACTTGAATCGCAGGGTATTTCCATACGCCACCTTGCCAGGTTGTTACAAATGGCCTTCAATGACGTACAGTCCCCTGTGACTATGCCTCTTTACAGCATGCCTTTGCCATTCCTCCCATCAATAGGTGGAGGCTATTTCCCTGCCCTTGAATCTGGGCTGGCCTTGAGACTGGCTTTGACCAACAAAATGTGGCGGAAATAAAATTCTAGGATTCTGAACACACAGGCCTAAAGACACCTTCTAGCTTCCAATTTCAACTCAATGCCTTCCACTTCCATGCAGTCCTGGCAGCCTGCTCAGCCCCATGGTGGTCTTTTCCTTCTGATAACATTTAGTACCTGCACCAGTCATTTGGTGATTATTTACAGTTTTGTGACAGCTTTTGGACTGTACTTAACTTTGATTTCTTTCTCTCTTTCTCTTTTTAAAAATTGTTTTCACATATTCAATCCTTATCTTCCCAATATGACCATGAGCTCCTGGCAGCCAGTGTTGATGCTACGTCAATTCCCTTTGAGATGTGTGCAGCACCCAGCACACCACCACATGCACAGCAGACCCCATCACATTTGTTTTGATGGAATGATACTTAAACTCTCAGAAGTTGAAAATGATCTTTCTTTTAAAGAGGGTCCCCACTTTGGATATTTTCCACCATATACCTGTCTTTGTATTTTCCCACATAATGCAGCACATGGGATGCTCAGTAAGTATGAAGGACCAATGGCCTCCATAAAACACTAATAACCCTGTAGCCTTAGTGACAGAACAGCAGGACATTTCTCTGCCCTAGGCAAGGAAAGTTTTTCAGAGGAAGAGATACTAAATTGAGACTGTCCAAAACTAAGATAGTCCAGCAGAGAACTATATCAGTAGCAATAACAACATCATGTAAGTGTTCTGCCTTGAAAAAAAATAAAACTTTTGTATATTATTTCAGAAAACACATATTCATTGTAGAAAATGTAGACAAGCAGAAAGAAAATACAGCTTACATGCAATCCCTTTACCTAGCAATAACCACAGTGAATATCTGGTGAATTACACAAAATTGTACTGAACATTTTTTCCTCTAAGTCGTTATTGTTACAAATGCTTTAAAAGGTGTTTCATACTCATATTCATGCACATATATCTTATCTTCAGATGATATCATCATAACATGAGAAAGAAAAAGACCTCAGTTTGTATCAGAGGAGCTGGCCAAGTCAGGCAATATTTAGCTCTTAGAGAACACCAATCACCAGACAGCAGAACTAAAATGACTTCAGTCATTTCAAGATTGATGCTTCTCACTCAAAACTGCATGGTTTCACAATGAACAGCTATTATTTTCTATATATAAAAGTCTTCTTTTTCTCTTGGCTATTCTTCCTTTAACTTATAAAGAAATTGAGTATGAAGTGAAAATTCAGTAAAACTATTTGTCATTCAAGTAAATTCGCAGCCTAACCTTGGGGATGTATAATGGGAAAGATGGGCTTTGGTCTCTCAGGCTCAGGGGCAGAGAAAAACACTATTCTTCCCCACAATGATAATAAATCCCAAACCCAGTTGGAATGAGGGCTATACAGAGGCAATTTAAGTAGTAGGTTGCATGCTTTTGTTCGAAATTCTCAACTAACAGAGACCCCTGGACCTAGTAGGTAGTCCAGAAATAGTTGCTCATGAAAGACTACAAAAAACATCTAAAAACTTATTTTGCCCCAAATCTTCAATTTGAGTCACACAAAAAATGTAATTTAGAAGTCTCTAATTTCAGTTCTACAAATATTGAAAGTATGAAAATTATAATTAGGTCATAAAAAGTAACAGGTTTCCGGGCTATAGTTGGTAATTTCTGTGTACAGCTGTTGAACGGAATAAATGCATTTGCCTTTCTTTCATCATTGCTTCTTACGAAATAAGTAGAGTGAAGTACAAAACAATAAGCAAATAAGCAAACAAAACCATATTTAAGAAAAAAGGAGAAGAAGTTATTAAATATAGGAAATTTCAACAAATTTCAGAGAGACACAAAAGAGATGGGAGCATGATGATGGATGATACAGGCGCTAGAAATCCTTGCCTAGAATATGCAGCAGGGGAGCTGCTGGGTGGTACTAAAACGCTGAAGGTTCTGGGTTTATAGCCAGCCAGTGTGATGAATTGTGAGAATGAGAAGTGGGGCTGAAAACAGTGGCTGTACTTCCTTTTCCTAGCATGGAATAAGGAGATATTGTCTAAAGTTGGTAATCAGGGTTGGGCATAGTGGTTCATGCCTGTAATCCCAGCACTTTTAAAGGCCAAGGCAGGAGGATCACTTGAAGCCAGGAGTTCGAAACTAGCCCGGGCAACAAAGTGAGACATTGATCTTCACACAAAAAATTGAAAAAATTAGCCAGGCATGGTGGTGCACACTGTAGTCTCAGCTACTTGGAAGGCTAAGGCAGGAAGGTCACTTGAGTCCAGGAGTTTGGAGGCTGCAGCGAGCTATGATTGTACTACTGCACTCCAGCCTGGGTAACACAGCGAGACCTTGTCTCTGGGGAAAAAAAAAAAAGCTGGTCATCAGGATACAGAAGTATTAGCATATTTTTCCGTGTTACGGAAGAAATGATCAGGAGAACTAGAAGCACAAATGGTACCAAGACTTTGCCTCTGGGGACTGGGCATGGGTGTGGAGAGGGAGGTAGGGTAGGAGGGTTGTGTTTTGTCACAAACTCTTCTGTACAATTTTATTTTGTTGTTTCCCATATGCATGAATAGTTTTTATTAAAGTAATGTTTTCAAATTTTAAAAAACCAAATAGATTATTAATGTAATTTGAGATATGACAAAGATTGTATTTAGATAAAGAATTCCACAATGCAATAAGGAAAATATAACAACCCAGTAGAAAAATGGGTAAGGCTAGGCGTGGTGGCATGTGCCTGTAATCCCAGCTACTTGGGAGGACGAGAAGGGAGGATGCCTTGAGGCCAGGAGTTCAAGGCCATAGTGAGCTACGATTGCCTATGAATAGCAACTGCACTCCAGCCTGGGCAACAAAGTGAGACCCCGTCTTTAAAAATAAAGAAAAAGTAAGAAAAATGGGCAAATGACGTGAACAGTCAACAGAAAAGAAAACCCCAATGGCCAATGAAGATATAAAAAGATTCCTAACCTCACTAAGTATAAGGAAAACGTAATTTTAGAAACTGGATGCCATTTTAGTATCTAATGGATTGCCAAAAACATTAGTCTTACAATACCAAGTGCTGACAAGGAAACAGAAACTTTCACATGGTATTGGTGGAAGAAAAGCTGGTACCACCTCTTGAGAGGACTTTGGCAACATCTAAAAAAAAAAAAATAGACTCAAGCATACCCTTCAACCAGAAATTCAACTTTTAGTTACATGTGCTCAAGAAATTTATGCATAAATGGAGGAGACATGAACAATATCTGTAACAGCAAAGAATTGAGAAGAGGTTAACAATAATATTAATAGTCATATTTATAATAATAGCTAATACACACTGGATGTTTATTGTATGCCAGGGCTTGAGCTACTCCTTTATATATATTAATTAATTTAATGCTCAGAACCACTCCATGAGGTTGGTACCATTATTATCTCCATATATAAGTGAGGAAATTGAGGAACAGAGATGTTAAATAACTAGTCCAGATGCCTATCAACAGAAAATACGTATATATACAAATTGATGTGGCATCACATAATGAAATACAATAGAATGTAGGTTTGAAAGAAATGCATCTACAATGTATCATCATAAAAAATCTCAAAAACAGTAGTGAGTAAAGACATCAAGTTGAAGAATGACATAAACAATATGACAGTATTAATCAAAGGTTTAAAAATATACAAACAATGCTATAAACTGTGTATAGATTTACACATAGGCAAGTAATAAAAACAAGGTCAAGAAGCATAAATCTCAACTGTAAAGAGGTGAGAGAGGGAGAAGAACAGGATTAGGGAAAGGCACAAAGGGGGCTTGACATGCATTTGTAATGTTGTTTTTAAGAGCTGTGGACAAATATAATAACTTCTCTGCAATCTGGGTATGGTACATATGTGTTAATTACATACTCTGTAACTTTCAATATTTAAAATGTCTCTTAATTTAAAAATCTAACATATATATAAAGCCGATTCAAAATAAGTTTGGTCTGAGGCTATAGTTGGAGGGGAAAATGTTTAAAATAATGTCATTCATATCAATAAGTGTTTACAGGAGATGACCCTTGGAGTTAATCAAATTAGATGAATGATCCAAAATGTCATTTTGGAACTTTTGTTCATCCTTACAGACTAGAGAGCATCTGGTTATTTTCCTGGTATGACTTTTTAGGAGTGGAATTACTCATTGTTAAAAGGTTCAATCTCTCAATATAGTTTTCTCAACATCCTTCGAGAAACATCAGATTTATAGTCCCACTAGCAGTGTCTGAGCTGCTCACGCTTTGGCTATGTTTCTAGAGACAGTAGTCTAATTCCCTACATAGAGAGTATTCCCTATGTCCTCATTTTCTTTTCTGCAAAGGCATTCATAACATATAATCCCAGAGACACATTTCTTTCTTTCTCTTCAGTGCTTAATGCCGACTGCTACCTTCTTGAAACTCTTCCTTCAGTCTGTTAAACTCTGTCTTCTGGTTTCTCCCATCTCTGTATGAAAGGTCCATATCAGAATTCTTGTCCTTAAATACATGCTATCTTAGAGTCATATCCTTGGCCCCCTGTTTTTTCACTCTAAAACTCTCTACAGATAATCTAATCTAAATCTGTGGCTTTCATCTACCACTATGTATGGCTGACTACCAAATTTCTATCTTCAATTAAGTAGCAATCCATTTTCTACTGGGTAGATACAATTGACTGTCATATATTTATCTTGAACTCAAAGTCCTGTGCTTAATTCATCATCTCGTACCCTTTCCCAAATTTTCTCCTTCAACCTACATAAATTATACCATCCAGTCACCCATGCTGGAAATCTAGAAGTTATCTAGGATGTTTCTTTCTTGGTTATCCCCATACTCAATTACCAAGGACTGGAGCTTTTATTGTCTAAATAGCTCTCACATCCATTCCGTCCTGATCATCCCTACCTCTCAACATTTTCCACCTGGTTTACTGCATTGGTCTCCTAATTGGTCTCACTCTTTCCAACAGGCAGCCAACAAATTCTGTTACTCTTTCCTGCTTAAAATCCTTTATTTGCTCCCCACAAGACTTTTAGCTTCATACCCAAGTTTCTCACTTCATAGCCAAGGCCCATCAGAGCATAGCTGGGCCTACCTCTCTAGTCTCATCTTCTTGCTGAAGTAGGTAGCCTTCATTCCAGCCACCAAATTTCTTTTAGCTTCTATAAACGGTCACTGTTATTTTACATGCTCCTGCTTTGCACATGTTTGTCCCTCTGCTCAGAACATCCTTTTCTTTCCCTTTCTTCAAACTCCAGCGCATGTTTCATAAGTCACTTGAACAGCGTCTCCTTCAGAAATCTTCTGTATCTCACATAACTCCCAGTCTAATTTGATAGCTCTTCAGTATCTTATCAAAGTAATTGCTCAAGCTTCGATCACTTACCCCACTCTATAGTAATGACTGATTTATTTTATCTCACTTCTAGTAAACCAGAGGTTGGCAAGTAAGACCTGCAGCCAAATCTAGATCATTTCCTGTTTCTGTAAATCTAGTTTATTGGAACAGAGCATGCCCATTTATCTATGTAATGTCTATGACTACTTTTTTGCTATAATAGCAGAGTTGAATCATTGTGACAGAGACCATATGGCCCACAAAACCAAAAATATATACTATATGACCCTTTACAGAAAAAGTTTGCAAATCTGTACTAGGCTGTAAATTCCTAGAGGACAAAGTTCATTCCTTGTTCATTATCTTTGAGTCTGTAACACCTGGTATACAGTAAGTGCTAAATAAATGCATAACAAATAAATGAATACGTGGGTAAATATAATGTTAGACTTGAGGTAAAAGAGGTGAAAAGAGAACCTAAAACATGAAAACTTTAATGCCATTTCTCCTGTACTTTTTGCACACTTCATTTTGCAATCACAAATTAAAACAAAACAAGTTGATATCATTAGGTTTTTAAATATCTTCTAGTATATATGTATGAAAGGAAAATAAAAACTTGGGACCCTAAATTCACTATGCCAAAAGAAAAAAAAATTAAGCTGAAAGCTGAGTCATGCAAGAAGCTGCCTTTCCTTTTGTTCCAAAGAAGATAGCTACAGATAAAAAGTTAAATATCTCCACAGGTAGCTACTCTATGTTCACCTTATCTTATTTAAAGTGCCAATTTACTGAGCACCAGGCGTATATGTAATTGACTATTCCCCTACCTGCTCCTTTTCTCTTGCAATATATGAATTCAGTAAGGTGACCATACCCTCCCTCTTTCCCCCCAGGCTGCTGTTTCCCTTTAAATACTGAAGGCTTCAAAATCCATGCACGCTTAACCTTGGCAAAATAAACTTCTAAATTGATTGAGACCTGTCTCAGATACTTTTTGGTTTATATATGCTGAGCTCCATACCATTCAAGTCAGTAATCTAAACTTTCTATATAAATAGATATTAATTATGATGCTCAACTCTTCATAATTGCCTGGGGTGATTAATTAAAATATTTTGATGCTTATGCTCCATGGCCCATGCAACTACATCAGAATGGTGGGGGTGGGGGACTGGGAAATGGGAGAGGGGAAGGCAGCATCAGTATTTGTTAAAAGGCTTCCTAAGTAGTTCAGAGAACTTCTGTCCTATATCAACAGTCCTAAGGAATGAGGGTTTTCAGGACACTCAGGAGTCTTAGTGATCAAAAACAAACAAGGCTGGGTGCAGTGGCTCATGCCTGTTATTCCAGCATTTTGGGAGGCCGAGGCAGGAGGATTGCTTGAGCTCAGGAGTTTGAGACCAGCCTGGGCAACATGGCAAGACCCCATCTCCACAAAAAATACAAACATTAGCTGGGTATGGTGGCATATGCCTGTAGTCCCGGCTACTTGGGAGGCTGAGGTGAGAGGATCATTTGAGCCCAGGAGGTGGAAGCTGCAGTGAGCCCTCATTGTGCCATTGCACTCCAACCTGGGCGAAAGAATGAGACTGTCTCAAAAACCAACAAACAAAAAAACCGAGCCATGCACAGTGGCTCATGCCTATAATCACAGCAGTTTGGGAGCCCAAGGCGGGCAGATCATTTGAGGCCAAAATTCAAGACCAGCCTGGCCAACACGGTGAAACCCCATCTCTACTAACAATACAAAAAAAAAAAATAGCCAGATGTGGTGGCACACACCTGCAACCCCAGCTACTCAGGAGGCTGAGGCAGTGGATTGCTTGAACCTAAGATGCAGAGGCTGCAGTGAGTTGAGATCGCGCCTCTGCACTCCAGCCTGGGTGACAAACCATATTGTGGTCATTTAGGTACTTGCAAGATAAAATAAAATAGATTATTTTGAAAAAAATCCTCTATAGAAGTAGGAAAACAAAAGGATTCCTCTGGAATTTAAGCTCCCCAAGGATGGAGAATTTTGTCTATTTTCTTCACTGTTGTATTCCCAATACCAAGAATGATACCTGGCATATAATAGGTACTTGGTAAATAAATAATAAATGAATAGCAATTTCTTCTTTTGCTTTTGATCAACCAGAAGCCCATGATTCCAAATATTCCACTTAACTGAAATTTTACAAAAGAAGAAGGCAACCTGGCAGATACAGTATTCAGTGAATCAACAGATAACTTTCTTTAGGGGCATAAAAATTATATTCTACAATTGAAAATGGAGTTTTAATGTTAAAAAGGGAAACCAGAGAGACACTGCTATGGATAAATGCACCTCAGCCCCTTTTTAAAATTCAGCTTTTAATTTAAAAAAGGTCAGCTGTAGTCTGGAAACACATGTGATAATAACATGAAGAGTTATGAAGGAAAGGGAAAATCAATTCCAACATTACCTAAACAAACAAACAAAATGCCATATGACATGCATCTGAAGGAATTAACTGAATTCATCTTGGCTCCTCCCACTGTCTTAAAGCACTCACCAAGTCTGCCAAAGTAATTAACATCCTACACTGGCATGACGTTGAGCCCATGCATTCGTTCTCTCTCTTACTCTGTCACTCTGCATTTCTAATAAAACATTCTGCTAGAAATGATGAAACTATTGGTCTAATTCTCATATCTGAAAAAACGCTTTTGGTTGTGGTTACCAACTTGAAAAAAATACAGAAAAATAGGAAAGACAAAACAAAAATCAAGATTGAAAGAAAGAATAAACATTTTAAGTCACCTAATTTATATTATAAAGATTATTTTTGAAATGTCAAGCCTAATGGAATATTGAAATATAAGCTTTTTCAATGGGGAAAAGACTCCCTGGTCAATAAATGATGCTGAGATAAGTGGCTAGCTATAAGTAGAAGAATGAAACTGTCCCCTTACTTATCACCATATACAAAAATTAACTCAAGATGGATTGAAGCCTTAAGTAGAAGACCCACAGCTATAAAAATCCTAGTAGAAAACCTAGGAAATACTCTTCTGAACATTGGCCTTGGAAAAGAATACATGACTAAGTCCTCAAAAGCAATTGCAACAAAAATAAAAATTGACAAGTGGGACCTAATTAAACAAAAGAGCTGCTGCACAGCAAAAGAAACTATCAACTGAGTAAACAGACAGCCTACAGAATGGGAGAAAATATTCACAAACTATGCATCCAACAATGGTGTAATATCCACAATCTATAAGGAGCTTAAATCAGTGAGCAAAAAACAAATAACTTCATTAAATAATGGGCAAAGGACATGAACAGACACTTCTCAAAAGAAGACACGCAAGTGGCCAACAAACATGAAAAAATGCTCAACATCACTAATCATCAGAGAAATGCAAATCAAAACCACAGTGAGGTACCATCTCACACTAGTCAGAATGGTTATTGTTAAAACGTCAAAAAATAACATTTGTCAGTGAGGCTGTGGAGAAAGGGGAATGCTTGTGCACTGTTGGTGGGAATGTAAATTAGTTCAGCCACTGTGGAAAGCAGTTTGGAGATTTCTCAAAGAACTAAACATGGAACTATTCGACCCAGCAATCCTATTACTGGGTATATACCCAAAGGAATATAAATCATTCTACCAAAAAGACACGTGCACTTGTATGCTAATCACAGCACTATTCACAATAGCAAAGACATGGAATCAACCTAGGTACTCATCAGTGATGGATTGGATAAAGAAAATGCACATATATACCATGGAATACCATGCAGCCATAAAACAGAATGAAATCATGTCCTTTGCAGCAACATGAATGTAGCCAGAGGCCATTAACCCAAGTGAATTAACACAAGAACAGAAAACCAAATACCACATGTTCTCACTTATAAGTAGGAGCTAAACAATGGGTACACATGCACATAAAGATGGCAACGATAGACACTTGGGAGCTACTACATGGGAGAGGGAGGAAGGAGATCAAAGGTTGAAAAATTATTGGGTACTATGTTCACTATCTGGGTCATGGGTTCAATTGTATCCCAAAACTCAGCATCACGCAATATACCCATGTAAGCTTTTTTGTAAAACTAGGATTTCCAATAAGCAACTTTCTCAATATTCTTTATTTTGAAACCTATTTCAATTTATTTTGAAGTCTATTTTAACCCTGGGAATTAGTATTTGTAGTCTTGAACTGTACTGTTCAATATGGCAGCCACTAGTCACAGGTGGCTGTTTAAGTTTACATTTAAATTAATTAAAATGAAATATAATTAAAAATTCAGTTCCTCAGTTGTACTAGATCAACAGCCACATTTCAGATGCTCAGGAGCCACACTGGACAGCACAAGTATAGAATATGTTTTGTTCATCACAGAAAGTTCTAACACTGGAAAAAATAAAATAGTCTACAATATCTTCAAATAGCTTCAGGCAATAGTATCAGTTAAGGAAGGAGATTATTTAAAATGTCAGTTATTGGCCAGGTGCGGTGGCTCACGCCTGTAATCCCAGCACTTTGGGAGGCCGAGGCAGGCGGATCACGAGATCAGGAGATTGAGACCATCCTGGCTAACAAGGTGAAACCCTGTCTCTACTAAAAATACAAAAAATTAGCCGGGCGTGGTGGCAGGCACCTGTAGTCCCAGCTACTTGGGAGGCTGAGGCAGAAGAATGGAGTGAACCCGGGAGGTGGAGCTTGCAGTGAGCAGAGATTGTGCCACTGCACTCCAGCCTGGCCGACAGAGCAAGACTCTGTCTCAAAAAAATAAATAAATAAATAAAAGTCAGTTATTATTAAGGTTATTTACTAAGTTATTATTCTAAGTAAATAAGGAAAATAGAAGCTTTTTTCCCCTCAGAACATAAAAACACTATTATAAATTTGTTAGTATTTTGCAGCTGATTTTCTAATTTTGGATTCATTTCTACTTATGGAACATATAAAAACTACTCACTTTTTGATTAAGGAAATCAGATTCAAATTCATGTCCAAATCACCATCCCCTTATGAAAACATTTTGGTTGAAAGATTTATAGGACTTCTGGGGCAAGCAGAAGGGTAAGGATGTTTCCTAGAGAAAGCACCAGCTTTGCCTTCTTAGATTTGAGTTACTGCAATACTAATTCCTTCTGATGTTTGGCCTGAACTTTCTAAGAGGTCACAGAAATAATGAATAGCTAAGATCATTCACTGGCATGATAGTTTCCCCTTTCCAGGTGAAACGTCAAGAATGACTAAAAGCCAACATTCAAGAAGACAGCATCTGCAAACAAGTGAAGTATTATGTTTACATGTTTTTTTAACAGCTTTTTATTCTATAGTTCTTTTACATGTGACTGTTTCCTAATATTCTTACTCTTTATTGTTTTGGCCCTCTCCTTTTTTACTTTTTTTTTTTTTTTTTTTTTTTTTTTGAGATGGAGTCTTACTGTGTCGCCCAGGCTGGAGTGCAGTGGTGCGATCTTGGCTCACTGAAACCTTCCCCTCCCGGGTTCAAGTGATTCTCCCGCCTCAGCCTCCCGAGTAGCTGGAATTGCAGGCGCCCGCCACTATGCCCAGCTAATTTTTGTACTTTTAGTAGAGACAGGGTTTCACCATAATGGCCAGGCTGGTCTCAAACTTCTGACCTCAGGTCATCTGCCTTCCTCGGCCTCCCAAAGTGCTGGGATTACAAGCGTGAGTCACCGCGCATGGCCTGTTTTGGCTCTCTCTTAATTTGATGTTTCCTATTGACACTGTAGTGAAAGAAAATACTTTAATGTATTTCCCCCTTGGATTATTTCTTTAAATCAGTAAATTAACATTTGGTATTAAGCAAGACTCAGCCTATCTTCACAATGATTTGTAAAAACTTCTCAAAAGCAGTCTCTGCCATTCTTGGGGAAAAATACTCATTCAGAGGCTATACAAAGTATTTTAGATATATTTTTTCATTTAATTCTCACAATAGCAGATCTTATTTTCATTTTACAGGGTCTATCAGTGCCTTGTAAAAGGAAATCTGTCCCAAATTCCTGGCACCATACTTGGTACACAGCAGGTACTTAAACAGCTTGGTGGATGAATGAATGAACAAAGAGCACCTTTTTGTTAATCTCAGTGACAGATGTAGAATCTTACAGTGAGCACTCAGTAAATCCTCACTAATTGAATATTCTAGCAATAATGGTCAGTATGACAAATGAGTAAGTAGCTCTTAATATATCAGTGTCCTTCCAAAAATCCCACTAAAGCTAAGCAATGGACCCCAGATCCAAACATTATGTAAGGCAGTCATGTCTGAAAGATATAGAAAGAGGGAATACTTGGAAGAGACCTAATACATAGGTTTTGGGGCAATAAAATTATTTGGGAAATGAACCACTTTTTAAAAATTTATTTCTAAGTGTATTTTAATAATACTTCCAGAATAGTTATTCCTTCAGATCATTTCAGGTCACACTTTTTATGGGAAAATTACACACTTAACACCATTATTATAAAAAGACAATTGCACCCAATTTCTTTCACCAGGGTAAAAAGATGTATATTACAACATGTATTTAATATATAAAAGATTCACAGTGTACTGTGAATGATAAACTTACAATTATGTTTATTTTTTCCATTGTAAAAAAGGAGTAAAGGTAGAAGATAAAGCAAAATTTTTCACTAAGTGCTACTCAATAGAATAACCAAGTCTAAGCAATGTTTTAGGCTAGGATCCAAAGGTGTACTTGACCCCTGGCTCTTTAAATTGAAGTGGCCCATCCACAGAGCCTGCTACCAGCCTTCTCAATCCTCTGTCCCTTGGTCCCATTGTCTTTCTCATTTAGCAGCCTTCTCAGTATTTCTTGCTTCCCACATCATTTGAACCTGTATGTCTGACCTCCGAACCTCCAGACTCTGCTCACACAGTTAGGGACTGTTGCATTCATACTGAGAATAGATGTTCCCAATGTTTATTTTGGCTCCTTGGGTCTTACCTTGGCCTGGACAGAAACCTAAACCTTTCCCTGAGGCTGAGACTGTGACATGTGCAAATTTCCCCAGGTTTTCTTATTTATATATATATATATATATTCTCCTCTAGAAGTTAAAAACTTTATTTTTGTATTTTTAAAATTTTACATATTTTTAAAATTATTATTACTATTTTTTTGAGACAGGGTCTTCCTCTGTCACCCAGGTTGGAATGCAGTGGTGTGATCATAGTTCACTGTAACCTCAAACTCCTGGGCTCAAGCGATCCTCCTGCCTCAGCCTCCCAAGTAGGTAGGACTATGGGGGCACAAAAACACACTCAGGGCCGGGCGCGGTGGCTCACGCCTGTAATCCCAGCACTTTGGGAGGCCGAGGCGGGTGGATCACGAGGTCCGGAGATCAAGACCACCCTGGCTAACACGGTGGAATCCCGTCTCTACTAAAAATACAAAAAATTAGCCCGACGTAGTGGCAGGCGCCTGTAGTCCCAGCTACTCCGGAGGCTGAGGCAGGAGAATGGCGTGAACCCGGGAGGCGGAGCTTGCAGTGAGCTGAGATTGCGCCACTGCACTCCAGCCTGGGCAACAGAGCCAGACTCCGTCTCAAAAAAAAAAAAAAAAAACACACTCAGCTAATTTTTTTAATTCTGTGTAAAGATGGGGTCTTGCTATGATGGCCAGGCTGGTCTTGAACTCCTGGCCTCAAGTGATCCTCTCAGCCTCCCAAAGAGGTGGGAATACAGGTGTGAGCCACTGCACCTGGCCTACCAAAAAATTTTTAAAACACTCAGCACATGGAGGATTTTTTTTAATTTCAAAGTGACCACAATAAAGTTCTCCTAAATATCTTCCAAACTACTTTAGTTTTAGAAAATGGCATTAACGCAAAAATAATATGGGTGAAATGCTACTTTACACTTTTTTAAGGGTTAAAAAATGCAAATTGTTTTCATGTATAATATTCTGTCTTATTCTACTCACTCTCTCAGATTATAATCAAAATATTATAGCACAAGAAGCAAATGAGGGCTTGTAGTCTGATTACAGAAAGGAGAAGGAGGAGATTTAATGCAGCATAGGCAGCAGCCTCAGGCAAGAAATGTTGTCATTGTGTCTCACATCCTCAAGTATTACATGAAGATATCGTCCAGGCTGGAGGGCAGTGGTGCGATCATAGTTCACTGCAGCCTTGAACTCCAGGGTTCAAGTGATCCTTCTGCCTCAGCCTTCACACCCAGATAATTTGTTTAAAAATTTATTGTAGAGACAGGTCAATTTTTAATATTAGATTCAATGCTGCCAAATTGCTATAAAAGATTTGAACACTTTTATGCTTTCAGTGTTCAAAGACTTTCATAGCAATTTGGCAGCATCTTGTACTTACCTTGCTGCAGATTGGCAAGAAAAGACTAGTCTGTGGCCCACTCTGAGTAGCACTGTTCTAGATGTCATGAATATGGCTAAAACTATCCCTTACCTTATAGATTAGAGACCAGTGTGGGAAGGAATGGCACAGAACAGCAACAATGCCAGTATTAGCCATGGTAGCTTGCCATCATTGTTTACTTTGACGTACCATTCTAAGGAAAGTAAGTGCACACTGTAAGAACATTTAAGTCTATTTCAGTATTCGTAAACACTGTACTGGGGAAACAACTCATAGTAATGCCATCAACGTTTTATATTTAAAATATACCTAAGTTAAAGTTAAATCCCAGAAATAAAAAATCCTTCAACTAACCACGATCACATATTTAAATGAGTACTGTGAACTAGGTGTTCTACGTAATTAAACAAAAGGGGCTCTTCATGTTTCAGAAATTTGTAGTACAAATCATATCACAGATTATAAAGCATTCATCACAAGGAAGGAGCTTCTTCTGGTTTGGCCTGGATCTGTAGTGTTACAATAGTGGCTGAGAGAGAGGTGGTAAAGTTCCAGCCGGAGTAATAACAAGCTGTTTGGACAAGAAGGAGAGAAGAGGAAGGTGGGAAATGAAGGAGGAAAGGAAGCAGCAGAGGGAGCGAGCTGTAAGCCCCCAGCGGGATTGCCATCAGGGAGCCAGACCCAGGGGTGAGAATGTGAGGTCCAGTTAGTGGAGCGGCTCAATGGTAAAGTGATAGCTACATGACACCACCAACACTTTGGTTTTAAAAATGTCAAAACTTCAGTTTGTTTCTTTTTTTCTTTTTTTGAGACAGAGTTTCACTGTTGTCACCCAGGCTGGAGTGCACTGGTGTGATCTCAGCATACTGCAACCTCCGCCTCCCGGGTTCAAGCGATTCTCCTGCCTCAGCCTCCTGAGTAGCTGGGATTACAGGCACGGGTCATCATGCCCAGCTAATTTTTGTATTTTTAGTAGAGATGGCATTTCACCACATTGGCCAGGCTAGTCTTGAACTCCTGACCTCAGGTGATCTGCCCGCCTCAGACTCCCAAAGTGCTGGGATTACAATTGTGAGCCACCACACCCGGCCCAGTTTGTTTCTTTATTTGAGGGTGAGAAGATCCCCTCCTATAATTTTGAAGTCAAGGAAACCTCTCTAATGTTTCTTTGCACTGCCAAAATTCACAGCTCTGAAACATCAACACTTCCCTTATTTCCCTCATCTATGAGGAAACACATAGAGAAATAAGTCTGTTTTCTTAAAAGCAATGCCCTCAAATGGCTGTAAAAGAATACAGTGGCCAGGATTGTGGGAAAATGAGTCCTGGTCACAGACAGAAAGTCACCAATGTAACACTGTGGCCAAGTTCAGAAAAAACGCCCACCAGTGACAAAGGCCAGATCTAGGATATAAAAGCAAAGGTCACTCTCACAGCCTGCTGCAACATTCACTGCAGTTTGGCAGTCTTTGTCAAAATCAAAATTGTACTTGCTTTTCTTTTGGTTCAGCGATTCCATTTCTAGAAATGTATCCTAGGGATATGTTGATGACTGAACAGAGTTATTCAATGCAGCACTATTTATATTAGCAGAAGACTGGAAATCATCTAAATATCCACTGATGGAGGCCTGGTAAATAAATTATGCTCCATCTATACAATGCCATGAATACTAAACAGTCTTCCAAAATAACAAAGCAGCTCTGTATAATGGTGGCACAACATCCAAAATCAATCAAGTTAAAAAAAAAGGCAGGTGCAGATCAGTGCGTGTCATACAATGATACATACAAAAGTAGTAGTAAAATATGTATCTGCAGGACTTGATGTGCACAGACTACATCTGGAAGGAGACCTACGGAGCTGTTACCAGTGACTGACTGTAAAAAGAGGACCATGTCTGGAGGACAGAGATGGGACAGAAGCCTACTCTGCCACTAACCTTTTTGAACACATTTGAATTTTTATTCATATGTATGTTTAAGGCATTTTTTAAAAAGCTACATACCAGCTCTATAGTGGCAGTCAGCATCCTGATATCTAAAAAGCAATGTTAGAGAAAAATAAGCCAAGGAACTTAGCTTTGGCATCCAGTGCCCTGCCAAGAAGAAAACCAAATGCCTCCTTACAGTAGATCAGCTTACAGGTTATTCCAGTTATTATCCTGTCAAGATATTTTAGTAGCTTGCAATTTACACTTGGCCTTGACAGTAGTTCCCTTCAGTTGTCCAAAGTGTATCAGTTAATCTTCTGCAGGTGACTTATGTAATAAGAGCATCAGTATATAAGATATTTAAGCAGGATTTAATTACCTGGTAGTTGGAGAGAATTTGAATTCTTTTCACTCTCCAAATTTTGTAAAGATAAAAAAGGTATTAAAATCTGCCAGGCAAGGTGGTTTGGTAGGAAAAAACAGATGAAATATGCTGTGGGCCAGGTGTGGTGGCTTATGCCTGTAATCCCAGCACTTTGGGAGGCAGAGGCAGGAGGATTTCTTGATGCCAGGAGTTCAAGACTAGCCTGGGCAACATAGGGAGACATCCGCCCCCCAACCCCGATCTCTACAATTTTCTTTTTAAAAATTAGCCAGGCGTGGTGGCATGTGCCTGTAGTCCTAGCTACTTAGAAAGCTAAGGTGGGAAGATCCTTTGAGCTCAGGAATGCGAGCCTGCAGTGAGCCATGATGGCACCACTCCACTCCAGCCTAGGTGATGAGCGAGACCCTATCTCAAAAAAAAAAGAAAAAAGAAAAAAAAGTTGTAGTTTTGTACCGTAAAAATACTTATTAATATTATTTCAAGTATTTAGCATATGTTTACATGACTACATTTTCCTTTTGAGCATCACTCTAAGATTTTCAATGCAAAGCATTATTTTCCTCCTGATGATCAGAAAATCAAAATGCTCTCTCTACTCCATCCCCCTTCTAAATAATTATGTCTCAAAAGCGGCACAATTCAAGGGCTAATTACTTCCAACCAATATATAAATTAAAAGTTCACAGGTTCATCTTAGAAATAACAACCGAGAAAGAACATTCAAACTTGTTAAAAGCCTTACTTCTTGCCTGCACTATTGAATGTGCAATTTGTTCATCCTGAGAAATTATGATGAAGTTAAACACAAACAGCACTAAGTTAATTACAAACAAATCTTCTTCTCTGTAATTTACATTCTAGAATCCAGCTTTACACCATTTTATTTCCTTCCAGCTGAAGGAAAGACATTGCTAGCTTAAGATTGTCTTGGATGAGATCTCTGATTTTAATAAAAAATTAAGGCAGTCACAAATTCACTTATGCCATCGAATAATAATTCTAGTCCCATTGGAGAGTTATCTAAAATGACCCAAATCAGCCACATTTCTGTTGGCATATAATTAACTCCTGCCCGTATAAACGTAACGCAGATTCTCCTCCAGGTGAAACTGTCCTGGTCCTCTGCCCTCTCCACTGAACCAGCAATAAAAAGAGTTCTCTATAATCCTATTTGTAGTCTACATCTATACTCACTAGTGAAAGTATAATTAAACCATCTTTTTTTTCAAATCGATCTAAATATAGCTGGCTATTCATTCAGAATAATATTTGAAAAACACTTTTCACTTATAGAAAAGCAAATGAGGAACAAACTAAGAAGTAAAAGATAATGTTTACATTTGAGACTTTAAAGTTACACGCACCTTACAAAGAGAATTTAGAGTCACTGATATCCTACCAGCAGGTTCAACCAGAAGTCCTGCATGCAGAGAACCTCAGTGAGGTTTGCGTGGATCTCCAAGAAGAGATTTCAAAGGTGGGAGCAAGTGCCATCCTTAGGCCTGCCTTAAAGGTTCTACACCCCTTGAGCCTGGCCCATCTGGCTCAATATCAATTGTAGCAGAATAGATAAGTAAATAACTATTTATATACTTAGTGAGAACAGATGCAGCCCCTAAATATAAATTTGGAAATCCTGGGCAACATAAGAAGTGCTTATAATAAACTGCTTAAGATAAAAAGGCAGAAAAAAAATTGTTATCTACAGTGCTTATAACTCTAGAGTAAGTTAAAATAATTATTATTTATTGGACACATACTTTGTGCTCAGCAATTGACATAATCCTCTTAATAAACATGCAAAGAGGTTAAGTAACTTGCCAGCTATAAAGCAGTTGAGCTGAGACTGAGTTCAAAATCTAGCTGATCTCAAAGGACCGACAGGAAATGTTAAAAAATGAAAACACTTTAAGGAGAAACTGGGTGGTAAGTGTATTATGGCATTAGGCAGAGTGGAAAGCATTCTTTATGCTCAGATAGGGTGAAATCCTACCTTTGCTATTTTCTAGATGTATGACTGAACCTCTCTCAGTCTCTACAACTGCATCTGCAAAAACTGCAAAAACTGGGACCATTTCCTATTCAGGATAATATCTGAGCAAGTGGTGAGCCAGTGTCTCCCCTACAGCAGGCTCCACAGTACTGCTCCTGTACTCACTCCACCAAGCATCACCTGGTTAAATAATTTTAGACTTGCAAGTTATCTCTGCATTCATTTGGTTAAACTCCCTCATTTTTAAAAATTTTTATTTTGCTTTGAGTCCTGGAATACATGTGCAGAATGTGCAGGTTTGTTACATAGGTATACGTGTGCCATGGGGGTTTGCTGCACCTATCAACCTGTCACCTATATTTTAAGCCCCGCATACATTAGCTATTTGTCCTGATGCTCTCCCTTCCCTCGCACCTCTCCCATCCCAGGAGCCCCTGTGTGTGTTGTTCCCCTCTCTGTGTCCACGTGTTTGCATTGTTCAACTCCCACTTACGTAAACTCCCTCATTTTTAAGAGTAGGAATCTTGAAATGAAAACTTAGCCCAGACACTGAGTTACTGGCTAGTTAGTGCCAAAACTAGGACTAGAATTTAGGTCTCCTAACTTCTTTCCACCTCATTAAGAGGCCTAGTTAGAAGAAGGGAACAGAGGAAAAGCAAAGGGAGATACATTAACACAATCTCCTGATATAACCCCAGCAAACAACCTCAAATCATCTGAAAGGTAGATATCTTTCATACAACCTGGACAGATAAGGTTCCTCATCTCACTTCAAACACTTTAATTAGTTGGTTTCTCAAAGTACAAGTTGTACCCCTTAGGTCTAAGATAGAGGAAGGCAAACTTCTGGAGCAACAAAAATAAACTTAACATATATAGTTTTGCCCTGTGTCTCAGTTTTCCTGAATTCTATCTCTGGCATACACATGACACTAATTTCCATGTTTGTTCTATTTTCAAAAGAAAAAAGAGGGAAGGGAAAGATGTTCTGGGATCAAATACGAGATCTTTTTCTTGGAGATACAACATGTACTGTATTATATTAAACACTACAAACTTTAAAGGAAACTTGTTAAATTCTTTTCAGCCCAATCTTTACCTGACAATGAATTATCCTCACTGGCCTGTTGAGTGTGAAACAAATGCTCCACAGAATATACCTAGCGCTGAGGTTCTTAAAATGTAGTCGTGAGACCAGCAGCATCAGCATGACCTGGGAACTGGTTAGAAATATGAGCTCTCAGGTCCAAACCCAGACCTACTGAATGAGACTCCTGAAGTGTTTCCCAAGTTCTCCAGGGTTTCGATTAGAGCTAAAGGTTGATAACCACAAATGTAGACAAATCATCAAGGTGGTTTTATCATGAATATTGGTTGTTTTGGGGGTTCTCCTAGGGGTAGTGCTTTCAAACTGCTCCTTAGGACTGAGTAGAGCAAGGGAGCAGGAGATGGATGAACATGTACCAGGCTTCAGGGCAGATGGCCTAGCCTGTCCCTACCATGTTTGTCTGTTTCATATATAAGGCTACAGACTAAGTAAGGCTTTATTTGAATGAAGTTTTCACAGCTTAAACAAAAGTTTGAAACTCACTGTTTAGAGATTTTAAGCAGCTTAGGACGTGGATCAATTTTAGTGCCTGCTAAAGAGTAATAAATGCCAATTTATCAGTCAGAGGATCCTTTGGTGCCTTTAGGCTGGAATAGAAGGACCAGGGGCCCTGAAGCAACACAGAGATCGAGATTCCCACTGCATTACCCTATATTTGTCTTTCTCCTCTGCACTTAAAAATGTAAAATGCATATTAGCACTTGTCTGGAATGTGGCTAACTATAAAAGACATTTCGGGAAATGTACTCTGATTTTCATTTCCAGACCTTCTTAACATAAATTGAAGTCTTATCACAAAAGCCCCATTCTCATAAACAACAAAAACGCAACATCCACAGATTCTATTAATAACACTGTTAAATACTTTTTTTTTTTAGACAGGGTCTTGCTCTGTTGTCCAGCCTGGAGTGCAGTGGTGTGATCACGGCTCACTGCAGCCTTGATCTCCTTGGATCAAGAAATCCTCCTGCCTTAGCCTCCCAATTAGCTGGAACCACACGTGTGCACCAACACACCTGGCTAATTTTTAAATTTCTTGTAAAGATGGGGTCTCACTATGTAGCCCAGGCTGCTCTTGAACTCCTGAGCTCAAGCAAACCTCCTGCCTTGGCCTCCCAAAGTGGTGGGATTACAGGCATGAGCCAGTGTGCCTGCCTTAAATATTTGAATGTTACACATAAACCATTAGGATAATTCTTACCAATTAAGATTTAGTAATTTTAAAGAAAAATAAGAATCATGTACTCTCTCATTCCCACCCCACTCCAATACTAAGGGCAATTTATGCATCAGATAGTGAGGACAAGGATATTTAGTCTCTGTCCCTTCCTAGACTCGAGACTACGGTCTCACATTTTGTGGTCAAAAATAAAACATATGCTCACTATAAAATTTTATTTTAATAAGGAAAATAGGAAAAGCAAAGAAAAATTATTTATAATCATATTTTCCATTAAAAACTTGTATATTCTTAAAGACACTGTTCCAGGGAAATATCTATATATTGATAGATACAGAAATATAGTTCTACACTTATGTGTGTGGATCTGTCTATGTAACGGAATTTATTTCTCAAATGACATACCTATGTCTCTGTCTCCGTATAACTTCCCCCAACGGGATCTTGCTGAACATACTGTTTTATAACTAGTGTACTCCATGTAGCAAAAAATCATAAAAACCTTTCCGTGTTAAGAAATATGGTTCTGCGTATGGATATGCTATACCTATACAAGGGATACCTTGTGGATATCCATTATGGATTTTTATATCCATTTAACATCATATTATGTTGTATCTATACAATGGATACAATGGATATCCACAAGGTATCCACTATATAGATATAACATAATATGATTTTAAAATTTATTTAATTGGTAACTTCCATCATGTATTTCTTATAAAAGTGCTGTGATAAACATTGTTGAACACTTGTCTGATCAATTCGGTAGGTTAAATTCTTAGAGTTCACGAGTCAAAAAAATTATTCTTGGCTGGGCGTGGTGGGTCATGTCTGTGATTCCAGGGCTTTGGAAGGCTGAGGTTTAAATATCTGACACTGCGGGATAGTAAAATGAATTGTGCTACATCTGCATAATGAATTATTATGCAACTCTTATTTTTAAATTATACTTTAAGTTATGAGGTACATGTGCACAACGTGCAGGTTACATAGGTATACATGTGCCATGTCGGATTGCTGCACCCATTGAGACGTCATTTACATTAGGTGTTTCTCCCAGTGCTATCCCTCCCCCAACGCTCCACCCTACAACAGGCCCTGGTGTGCGATGTTCCCTGCCCTGTGTCCATGTGTTCTCGTTGTTCAATTCCCACCTATGAGTGAGAACACATGGTGTTTGGTTTTCTGTCCGTGTGATAGTTTGCTCAGAATGATGGTTTCCAGCTTCATCCATGTCCCTGCATAGGACATGAACTCATCCTTTTTTATGGCTGCATAGTATTCCATGGTGTATATGTGCCACATTTTCTTAATCCAGTCTATCATTGATGGACATATAGGTTGGTTCCAAGTCTTTGCTATTGTGAATAGTGCCACAATAAACATACATGTGCATGTGTCTTCATAGCAGCATGATTTATCATCCTTTCGGTATATAACCAGTAATGGGATTGCTGGGTCAAATGGTATTTCTAGCTCTAGATCCTTGAGGAATTGCCACACTGTCTTCCACAATGGTTGAACTATTTTACACTCCCACCAACAGAGTAAAAATGTTTCAATTTCTCCATATCCTCTCCAGCATCTGTTGTTTCCTGCCTTTTTAATGATTGCCATTCTAACTGGTGTGAGATGGTATCTCACTGTGGTTTTGATTTGCATTTCTCTGATGACCAGTGATGATGAGCATTTTTTCATGTGTCTGTTGGCTGCATACATGTCTTCTTTTGAGAAGTGTCTGTTCATATCCTTTGCCCACTTGTTGATGGGGTTATCTGCTTTTTTCTTGTAAATTTGTGTAAGTTCTTTGTAGATTCTGGATATTAGACATTTGTCAGATAAGGTAAAAAGCATGCATTCTCTCTAAGTTTCAGGAGCGATTTTTTTTTTCAGGAGTAATTCTTAACTCCAACCACCTACAATGTCACCCACAATCTATAATCAGAGATTTTTACACTTTAATTAAAAGATTCATAAAAACAGCTAACCTTTAAAAAGAAAAAAGCAAAATAAAAAAAAATTTTCTCCCATTCTGTAGGTTGCCTGTTCACTCTGATGGTAGTTTCTTTTGCTGTGCAGAAGCTCTTTAGTTTAATTAGATCCCATTTGTCTATTTTGGCTTTTGTTGCCATTGCTTTCGGTGTTTTAGTCATGAAGTCCTTGCCTATGCCTATGTCCTGAATGGTATTCCCTGGGTTTTCTTCTAGGGTTTTTATAGTTTTTGGTCTAACATTTAAGTCTTTAATCCATCTTGAATTAATTTTTGTAAAAGGTGTAAGGAAGGGATCCAGTTTCAGCTTTCTACATATGGCTAGCCAGTTTTCCCAGCACCATTCATTAAATACAAAATCCTTTCCCCATTTCTTGTTTTTGTCAGGTTTATCAAAGATCAGATAGTTGTAGATGTGTGGTGTTATTTCTGAGGCCTCTGGTCTGTTCCATTGATCTATATCTCTGTTTTGGTAGCAGTACCATGCTATTTTGGTTACTGTAGCCTTATAGTATAGTTTGAAGTCAGGTAGCGTGATGCCTCTAGCTTTGTTCTTTTTGCTTAGGATTGTCCTGACAATGCAGGCTCTTTTTTGGTTCCATATGAACTTTAAAGTAGTTTTTTCCAGTTCTGTGAAGAAAGTCATTGGTAGCTTGATGGGGATGGCATTGAATCTATAAATTACCTTGGGCAGTATGGTCATTTTCACAATATTGATTCTTCCTATCCATGAGCATGGAATGTTTTTCCATTTGTTTGTGTCCTCCTTTATTTCGTTGAGCATGGTTTGTAGTTCTCCTTGAAGAGGTCCTTCACATCCCTTGTAAGTTGGATTCCTAGGTATTTTATTCCCTTTGTAGCAATTGTGAATGGGAGTTCACTCATAATTTGGCTCTCTGTTTGTCTGTTATTGGTGTATAGGAATGCTTGTGATTTTTGCACACTGATTTTGTATACTGAGACGTTGCTGAAGTTGCTTATCAGCTAAAGGAGATTTTGGGCTGAGATGATGGGGTTTTCTAAATATGCAATCATGTCATCTGTAAACAGGGACAATTTGACTTCCTCTTTTCCTAATTGAATACCATTTATTTCTTTCTCTTGCCTGACTGCCCTGGCCAGAATTTCAAACACTATGTTGAATAGGAGTGGTGAGAGAGGACAACACAGTGTTGTGCCAGTTTTCAAAGGGAATGCTTCCAGGTTTGTCCATTCAGTATGATATTGGCTGTGGGTTTGTCATAAATAGCTCTTATTATTTTGAGATACGTCCCATCAATACCTAGCTTATTGAGAGTTTTTAGCATGAAGAGTTGTTGAATTTTGTCAAAGGCCTTTTCTGCATCTATTGAGATAAGCATGTGGTTTTTGTCGTTGGTTCTGTTCATGTGATGGATTACGTTGATTGATTTGCGTACGTTGAACCAGCCTTGCATCCCAGGGATGAAGCCCACTTGATCATGGTGGATAAGCTTTTTGATGTGCTGCTGGATTCGGTTTGCCAGTATTTTATTGAGGATTTTTGCATCGATGTTCATCAAGGATATTGGTCTAAAATTCTCTTTTTTGGTTGTGTCTCTGCCAGCCTTTGATATCAGAATGATGCTGTCCTCATAAAATGAGTTAGGCAGGATTCCCTCTTTTTCTATTGATTGGAATAGTTTCAGAAGGAATGGTACCAGCTCCTCTTTGTACCTCTGGTAGAATTTGGCTGTGAATCCATCTGGTCCTGGACTTTTTTTGGTTGGTAGGCTATTGATTATTGCCTCAATTTCAGAGCCTGTTATTGGTCTCTTCAGAGATTCAACTTCTTCCTGGTTTAGTCTTGGGAAGGTGTATGTGTCCAGGAATTTATCTATTTGTTCTAGCTTTTCTAGTTTATTTGCATAGAGGTGTTTATAGTATTCTCTGATGGTAGTTTGTATTTCTGTGGGATCGGTAGTGATATCCCCTTTATCATTTTTTATTGCATCTATTTGAATCTTCTCTCTTTTCTTCTTTATTAGTCTTGCTAGCAGCCTATCAATTTTGTTGATCTTTTCAAAAAACCAGCTCTTGGATTCACTGATTTTTGAAGGGTTTTTTTGTGTCTCTATCTCCTTCAGTTCTGCTCTGATCTTAGTTATTTCTTGGCTTCTGCTAGCTTTTGAATTTGTTTGTTCTTACTTCTCTAGTTCTTTTAATTGTGATGGTAGGGTGTCAATTTTAGATCTTTCCTGCTTTCTCTTGTAGGCATTTAGTGCTATAAATTTCCCTCTACACACTGCTTTAAATGTGTCCCAGAGATTCTTGTATGTTGTGTCTTTGTTCTCATTGGTTTCAAAGAACATCTTTATTTCTGCCTTCATTTTGTTATTTACCTAGTAGTCATTCAGGAGCAGGTTGTTCAGTTTCCATGTAGTTGTGCGGTTTTGAGTGTGTTTCTTAATCCTGAGTTCTAATTTGATTGCACTGTGGTCTGAGAGACAGTTTGTTGTGATTTCTGTTCTTTTACATTTACATATGCTTTACTTCCAACTATGTGGTCAATTTTGGAATAAGTGCGATTTGGTGCTGAGAAGGATGTATATTCTGTTGATTCGGGGTGGAGAGTTCTGTAGATGTCTATTAGGTCCACTTGGTGCAGAGCTGAGTTCAAGTCCTGAATATCCTTGTTAACCTTCTGTCTCATTGATCTGTCTAACATTGACAGTGGGGTGTCAAAGTCTCCCATTATTATTGTGTGAGAGTCTAAGTCTCTTTGTAGGTCTCTAAGGACTTGCTTTATGAATCTGGGTGTTCCTGTATTGAGTGCATATATATTTAGGACAGTTAGCTCTTCTTGTTGAATTGATCCCTTTACCATTATGTAATGGCCTTTGTCTCTTTTAATCTTTGTTGGTTTAAAGTCCGTTTTATCAGAGACTAGAATTGCAACCCCTGCTTTTTTTTTGCTTCCATTTGCTTGGTAGATCTTCCTCCATCCCTTTATTTTGAGCCTATGTGTGTCTCCGCACATGAGATGGGTCTCCTGAATATAGGACACTGATGGGTCTTGACTCTTTATCCAATTTGCCAGTCTGTGTCTTTTAATTGGGGCATTTTAGCCCACTTACATTTAAGGTTAATATTGTTATGTGTGAATGTGATCCTCACATTATGATGTCAGTTGCTTATTTTGCCCGTTAGTTGATGCAGTTTCTTCCTAGCATAGTTGGTCTTTACAGTTTGTCATGTTTTTGCAGTGGCTGGTACCAGTTGTTCCTTTCTTTCTTTAGTGCTTCCTTCAGGAGCTCTTGTAAGGCAGGCCTGGTGGTGACAAAATCTATCAGCATTTGCTTGTCTGTAAAGGATTTTATTTCTCCTTCACTTATGAAGCTTAGTTTGGCTGGATATAAAATTCTGGGTTGAAAATTCTTTTCTTTAAGAATGTTGAATATTGGCCCCCACTCTCTTCTGGCTTGTAGAGTTTCTGCCGAGAGATCTGCTGTTAGTCTGATGGGCTTCCCTTTGTGGGTAACCCGACCCTTCTCTCTGGCTGCCCTTAACATTTTTTCCTTCATTTCAACTTTGGTGAATCTGACAATTATGTGTCTTGGGGTTGCTTTTCTCGAGGAGTATCTTTGTGGTGTTCTCTGTATTTCCTGAATTTGAATGTTGGCCTGCCTTGCTAGGTTGGGGAAGCTCTCCTGGATAATATCCTGAAGAATGTTTTCCAACTTGGTTCCATTCTCCTCGTCACTTTCAGGTACACCAATCAAATGTAGATTTGGTCTTTTCACATAGTCCCGTATTTCTTGGAGGCTTTGTTCGTTTCTTTTTATGCTTTTTTCTCTAACCTTCTCTTCTTGCTTTATTTCATTAATTTGATCTTCAATCACTGATACCCTTTCTTCCACTTGATCGAATTGGCTATTAAATCTTGTGCATGCGTCACGTAGTTCTCGTGCCATGGTTTTCAGCTCCATCAGGTCATTTAAGGTCTCCTCTACACTGTTTATTCTATTTAGCCATTGGTCTAATCTTTTTTCAAGGCTTTTAGCTTCCTTGTGATGGGTTCGAACATCCTCCTTTAGCTTGGAGAAGTTTGTTATTACCGACCTTCTGAAGCCTACTTCTGTCAGCTTGTCAAAGTCATTCTCCGTCCAGCTTTGTTCCATTGCTGGCGAGGAGCTGTGATCCTTTGGAGGAGAAAAGGCGCTCTGGTTTTTAGAATTTTCACCTTTTCTGCTCTGGTTTCTCCCCATCTTTGTGGTTTTATCTACCTTTGGTCTTTGATGTTGGTGACCTACAGATGGGGTTTTGGTGAGGCTGTCCTTTTTGTTGATGTTGATGCTATTCCCTGTTGTTTGTTAGTTTCCTTCTAACAGTCAGGTCCCTAAGCTGCAGGTCTGTTGGTGTTTGCTGGAGGTCTACTCCAGACCCTGTTTGCCTGGATATCACCAGCAGAGGCTCAGTTGGAAATGCAGAAATCACCCGTCTTCTGCATTGATCACGCTGGGAGGTGCAGACCAGAGCTGTTCCTATTCGGCCATCTTGGAATGGACCTATGCAACTCTTAAAAAGAATAAGGTCCCGACTTTTCTGTATGCTTAAAAATGTTCATTTAAACAATGTTGGAGAGCTGGGTGTGCTGGCACACACCTGTAGTCTCATCTACTCAGGAGACTGAAACAGGAGGATTGCTTGAGCACAGGAGTTTGAGGTTGTAGTGTGCTATGATCACACCTGTGAATAGCCCCTGCACTCCAGCCTGGGCAACAAGAGATCCCATCTCTTAAAAAAAAAAGTGGCAGGGGGAGCAGGTGGCTAAATAACATGGCAGCTATATATGTATTGATATGGAAAAGTTTCTAATAATAATTGTTATGTAAAAATGCAAGGTACAGAGTGTTTACAGTATATTCTACATACATATATATCTATACATAAATGCATGTATATGTATACACATACGCATGTTCATGGACAACCATTAAAAGGGTTCATAAGAAACAGGTAATGGTAGATGCCCTTGGACAGTTAGATGAAGTGGCTAGAAAACAAAATAGCATGAGAGGAGAGAAATATACTTTCCATTTTAAATAATTTTTCATTCTGGAATTTTGTACCACATACATATATTACTTCTTCAATAATAAACAGATAAAATTGATATCTCATTTTATTTTACATTTTTGACAATTAAAATAAATCGTCAAATATAATGACAATTATTTTTGTCAACAATTTGCAAATTATTGACAAAATTGGTCAATAATTTTATTTACGTATTGGATTTACATATTGGTCATTGCTGTTTCTTACCATGTGAATTGCCTTTTTTTTTTTTTTTTTTTGAGACGGAGTCTTGCTCTGTTGCCAGGCTGGAGTGCAGTGGCACGATCTCGGCTCACTGCAACCTATTTCTCCCAGGTTCAAGTGATTCCCCTGCCTCAGCCTCCCAAGTAGCTGGGACTACAGACGCATGCCACCACGCCTGGCTAATCTTTCGTATTTTAGGAGAGACTGGGTTTCACCATGTTGGCCAGGATAGTCTCAATCTCCTGACCTCATGATCCGCCCACCTAGGCCTCCCAAAGTGCTGGGATTACAGGCGTGAGCCACCGCACCCAGCAGTGAATTGCTTTTTTATGCTCCTGCCTAATATATACCTTTCCAAAATGCCTACAATTGTTTTAAAATCTACAGGCATTTTAGGAAAAGTCCCATACTTCATAAAGCAGAGCTGCTTGTTACTAAGCTACCAGTGGCCATGCTTTCATTTCGGGAAATGCTGTTATGGCTTTAACCATTGTTGCCTAAGAGGTCAGTGATTTCCCTGTGCACCAGTGCAGCAAAGGAGGTCCACTGAGGCACCAAATAGTTTCCCATTTGAAAAGCCACAACCATGACAAACTTGGAAAGAACTTTTCATCTTGGAGTTCTAAAAGCCAATGACATTAAAGTGCATTTTTCTAGATTTCTTATGCACAGGTGTAAGGGACAACATTAAAATATCATACAAGGCCAGGCACGCCTGTAATTCTAGCACTTTGGGAGGCCGAGGCAGGGGGATTGCTTGATGTCAGGAGTTTGAGACCAGCCTGGGCAACATGGTGAAACCCTGTCTCTACAAAAAATACAAAAATAAGCCAGGTATAGTGGTACACGCCTGTAGTCCTAGCTACTCAGGAGGCTGAGGTAGGAGGATCACTCACTTGAGTCCGGGAGATCAAGGCTACAGTGAGCTGAGATAGTGCTACTGCACTCCAGCCTGGGTGACAGAGTGAGACACTATTTCCAAAAAAAAAAAAAAGTCATACAAAAGTGAAAATAAGAAATAATTTTCCTAGTGTCACTTATAAAGGATATGAGACTTAAATACTACAGAATTTAGAAGGTGACTGCATACTGTTTGCAGTCATTTCCTCCCTCATGTCTTTTTTGGAGATACAGCATCTAAAGCTACATGTTGGATTTGTCTAAGGCCTACTTCTTTTTTCCCTTCTATTTGATAGAGGCTTCAGGTATGATCTCAATTTTCAAATTCAGCAGCACAAACTCAAATCTAATGAACCCCGTTTAAATAGGGGTACACGTTGTGCACATGTACCCTAAAACTTAAAAGTATAATAATAAAATAAAACAAAAATAAAAATAAAAAAGAAAGAAAAGAAAAAAAGGTGAAATATGTTATATGAATTATATCTCAATTGAAATAAAAAATGAATTCATTCATTGTGCCAAAGTTTACCTAAATCTTATATTTAAGATTAAATATAAGATTAAATATACATATGTTTAAATAGACATATGTTCATCTTTCCAAGCAGTGGGAGACCCCAGCTTAGCACACCTTCCTTCTTTTCTGCCAACCTCCAGCCATGTGAAATTTCTTTACCCAGTTAAGCCTTGGTTTGGGCAAGTGAAAAAGGGATTAAAAATATCCACCTCAGAAGTGTATTGTGAAGATTAAAGAAATACTGTATGTAAAGCTTTTAGTGCAGTGCCTGGAACCTAGAAAGCACCTAACAAGTGGCAAAATCTTCATCATTATTATCATCATCATCATCATCATCATCAAGATGAGTACAAGAAAGTAGCCATTTAGCAAAGTGAAAGCAGAACAGACAGAAAACGTATATGAATCTATTACCACAATTAGGGGTAAAAAGGGCCTTTAATTATTTCCTGACAAGTTGCAGACAAAACCAATCAAAAAGCAATGAGTTTCCATGCTGCATCAAGCAGCACCGCATCACAGAGCTCCTCTTCGTGTCTCTCCCAGAACATCACAAAAGGCACAACCAACCAAAGAGGGATGCGTACTTGCAGGAGAACTGAACAATTAAGGGTATGCAACTAACAGAAATGAATTCATTGGGAAAAAGTTTGGCAATTCCTAAGAACGTTAAACACAGAATTACCATGTGACCCAGCAATGACACTCCTAGGTATACATATATCCAAGAACACGTATCTGCTAATAGGTATGAGGTTTCTTTTGAAGGTGATAGGAATATTCTTTTTTTTCTTTCTTTTTTTTTTTTTTGACACAGTCTTGCTCTGCCACTCAGGCTGGAGTGTGGAGTGCAGCGGCGCTATCATAGCTCACTTCAGCCTTCAACTCCTGGGCTCAAGGGATCCTCCCACCTTGGCCTCCCAAGTAGCTGGGACCATAGGTGCATGCCACAACACCTAGCTAATTTTTTACTTATTCTTCTTCTTTTTTTCTTTTTTTTTTCTTGGTAGAGATGGGTCTCGTTATGTGCCCAGGCTGGTCTCAAACTCCTGGACTCAAGCAATCCTCCCACCTCAAGCTCCCAAAGTGCTGGGATTACGGGTGTAAGCCACCATACCCCGTTGTGATAGGAACAGTCTGAAATTTGATAATGGTGGTGACTGCATAACACAGTAAATATATTAAAAACCACTGAATTGTGTACTTTAAAAATGGTGAAATACAATAGCAAAGACTTGGAACCAACCCAAATGTCCAACAATGATAGACTGGATTAAGAAAATGTGGCACATATACACCATGGAATACTATGCAGCCATAAAAAATGATGAGTTCATGTCCTTTGTAGGGACATGGATGAAACTGGAAACCATCATTCTCAGCAAACTATCTCAGGGACAAAAAACCAAACACCGCATGTTCTCACTCATAGGTGGGAATTGAACAATGAGAACACATGGACACAACAAGGGGAACATCACACACCGGGGACTGTTGTGGGGTGGGGGGAGGGGGGAGGGATAGCATTAGGAGATATACCTAATGCTAAATGACGAGTTAATGGGTGCAGCACACCAACATGGCACATGTATACATATGTAACAAACCTGCACGTTGTGCACATGTACCCTAAAACTTAAAAGTATAATAATAAAATAAAATAAAAATAAAAATAAAAAAGAAAAGAAAAAAAGGTGAAATATGTTATATGAATTATATCTCAATTGAAATAAAAAAAGAATTCATTCATTGTGCCAAAGTTTACTTAAATCTTATACTTAAGATTAAATATAAGATTAAATATAAAAATCTTATATTAAGATTAAATCTTAAATATAAGATTAGGCAAAGTAATTTAGAAAAATTATTTTATGCTATCCATAGAAGAAAAAAAGCAAGTGCAACAACAACAGCACCAAAAACAAGTTAGACGCAAAGAATAACAATTAAAAGGAAAAAAGAAATCTGACAGCATTTGCCACTTGTAAAAATTTCTGTTATATGAAGATTATATCAAACAACTCAGGACAAACATTTTTGCCTTATCCCTTGAGCAACTTTATAAGGTTTTTTAGTTTACTTCAAGGGATAACACTTCATTCAAGCAGGGATCATCTCTATGAAATAAATTTTAATATACAAACCTGACAGTAATTCTTCTTCTCTGAAAGACACACTACAGATTCCCAAAACTGAAGTTTGGAACCAAAACTAAGAATCCACGTGACAGCAGGCCCAGAGGTGGACCTTCCACTGCACACCAGTGTGCTTATAAATAGGAAGAAGTATTATTCTATTTTATAAATATAAAGGACATGCTAGTCTATTTTCCCAAGGGTCTCTCAAATCGGGCCTGCCATTAAGCCTATTAACCCAGTTTTTTCATACCAATGATAGTAGGCAGGGAGGACGGCAGCACAACTATTTTCTGTTTTTCCTCCTACACTGACTTTTTTCCTGCTTAACTGCCTTTCCGGGGATATATCAGGCAGTTAGCTCTTTTTGCTATTTGGAATCAAAGGATTCTAAGCACTAATGTTAAATATAATATATTCAAGCTTCTAAAATACTCACTGACTTTACATTATAAATCAGTAATTTGAACTTTATAAAAGTTTACAATTAGTGGAAATTCCGCAAAAGAATTTTATTTATTTATTTTTTTTTTGAGATGGAGTCTCACTCTGTTGCCTAGGCTGGAGTACAGTGGCACGATATCAGCTCACTGCAACCTCTGTCTCCCAGGTTCAAGCGAGTCTCCTGCCTCAGCCTCCTCAAGTAGCTGAGACTACAGGCACGCGCCACCATGCCCAGCTAATTTTTGTATTTTTTAGTAGAAACGGGGTTTCTCCAGGTTGTTCAGGCTGGTCCTGAACTCCTGACCTCATGTGATCTGCCCGCCTGGACTCCCAAAGTGCTGGGATTACAGGTGTGAGCCACTGCACCCGGCCTCTGCAAAAGAATTTTAAATATGACCTTTACCCCCACTGGATTTTCCTGGAATAATTATTTCAGCAAACTTCCCTAGACTTACTGCTCAGAGAAAATAAAACTCTTTAATTTCATAACATTTCTAACTGGTCAGAGAAATAACATATTAATGGTCCATCCTCTGTTATTCACACATATTAAGACTTTCCTAGGCAGTACGATTCTAATAAGGCATCAATACTTTTTGTATCCCCATCTGTTAACTATAAAAACTTCACTTTTCCAAGCTCACATTTACAAGACCCTTTCGCTCATCTGGGTCAGACTGTCTGCAACAGTAGGAAGGACCCAGACTCTCTTCCTGTGACTCTGTTCTACCAGTTTTCACTTCATTTTCCCCACTATTTCTGCTAAATAAACATCCACGGAGCTAATGTATATCCTTGGATCTAGCTGCTGACTCCTTCCCCATTGCCTTTGTCAGTTAATTTCTATTTTCACTCAATTCCACGCTCCATGAGGCTCTGGAGTCCTTGAAATAGTCAATTTCCTAGGATCCAGGGGTGATTTGCTATTTTCTTCACCACTTCCCAGTTCCCTGGGGTCCTTCCATTGCTAATGCTAGTGACAGTATAAATAAGACTATGATAGTAAGATTGCTTCATATAAATGTTTTTGCCACTTTTTCAGCTTTTACTGAGGTATTTGAAGGCCAGAGAAGACAGAATATAAATTAGTGAATCCCTAACAGCAGCAATAAAATTATAGTTAATTCAGTCAGTGCTGTGTTGGTGAAGGTTTAACAATAGGCTCTCTGGGGAGAAAAAGCCTTGATTTGGAGCATTTGCTGATTTCCATGGTAAATACACTCCGGCCATGGTTGATTTGAAGCTATCATTGTCACATCACTGAAAATCACATCTAGTGAGGAGACTGATTAGAGATGTGCTGTACCACACCATGATACAGTATTCCACCATACAGATACAAGAGATATAAACAGCCCCAAGAGCATGGATAACTGTAAATATAGTAAAATAAATAGTAAGTGATGAGTTTGAGCATTTATTATATTTGTTGTTCATGTAATTTATTTGTTTACAAGCTTCTATGATTTAATTTTAAGTTATTTTTGTCTTTTTAATTGACTTTATGATTTAGTTTTTAACAATGGTTATGTTTAATAATGGCTCACAAAATTCCTGAAAATTTAGCAATTTGCTTTTGCAAGCAAGTACGAGCCAGCTCCAGTGCATCATTGATTATAGGATATAGGAAAGACCTACACATAACCTTCAGGATGTTGTGGCATTATCAGGTATGGCCCAGCTTGTTGCAGCAGGCCTGGGTGACTTGAAGAGCCGTGGAATCTGGACCTGGATGAGCCCAGTGGAGATGCAAAAGGATGTAAGAGGCAGAGTGAGCTGGAGGAGCTAGAAGAAATCTGACATGGCATCGGAGATAAATAGGAATTAGTGGATCCTCTAAAAAATGACTGGGATGACAGAGACTTCTAGTTATACTTGGTAGATTTAATATACTTAGTTACTTTCCTTGTTCCCTTTCAATGCCTCCTGAAACCATCCTAAAAGGATAAAAGAATAAAAAAGCACAAAACTACAGGAGATCCCCATGACTCATGGATTCTGTGTTTGCAAACTTGCCTACTCAGTAAAACTTATTTGTAGCCCCAAATCAATACTCATCGTGTTTTCCACAATTATTTGTGAATGTGGTCAGAGTGGTGAAAAATTTGAGTCGTCCAACACACAAGTTCCCAGCAGAGGCTGAACAAAGCAACACTCTGCCTTTGTTCTGGATCTCATACTGTAAACATCATCCTTTTCATGGTCTATTTAGTGTCACGTTTTTCATACCTTCGTGCTTTTTGTTGATAACTTTGCTGTCTAAAGTGGCCCCCAAGCACAGTGCTGAAGGGCTGTCTGGTTTCCTAAGTGCCTTGCAAAGAATATACATGTTAGATAAGCTTTGTTCAGGCATGAGTGACAGTGCTGTTGGCCATGAGCTCAATGTTAATGAATCAACAATCTATATTAAACAGGGTGTCTTTAAAAAGAACCTATACATAACACAAAGCTATGTGTTGATCCTGGGCTCACAAGAATCTAACCCTGTGTTTCCCCTAGAAGCAACAATTCAATATTTACGAATTCAGTGTTTGCTGCAACTTTCTAGAACATAATTACTGTGAATAATGAGAATTAACTGGTATAATAACGAGGAGAACAGAAGTGATGATTAGAACAACTAAATTTCAAAAGTTACAAGGCATATAGATGAGTGGAATCAGCTCACCAGAGAAAGCCAGACTGAAGCAAGTATTGGCCAGGCTCAGAAATAGGAGAGCCAGTGAATGCAGGTGACGTTCATAACAGGAGAATGAGTTGAAGGTGTGTGTAAGAAGCCATTAGATCTCTATTTCCCACCCCCAACCCGGCACAGTCAAGTTTTCTCAACCCGGGCAGAAAACTAATTTATTTTCTATAGTGGCTGATCCCCACTTGCTTCTGGACTCAGGGTTACCACTCGTAGGATAAGGTTATCATCCTGAAATTGGGGAATTCAGGCGAAGTCCTCACGGAGAATGGTAAAACTGTTTTTCCCTTTTCCTCCACTCAGCTCTGACAACCCTGGCTACTAGCTTTATACCAACCAGATGGCAGACTGAAGGACATCCCTCTGGGGATACTGCCTGGGCCAAAAGAAAATATCTGTGTGTATTAGGAAGGGGAGGGAAGAATCTCTCAGTGAAACAGCCCTCTTAGATCATCCTACGGTTAATCCCACTGGTCAAAAAGTCATCCTCTACACACACACACACACACACACACACACACACACACACACACACACACACACATTCTAATCAGCTTTGTTATGCCTCGCCCTTAAATATCAGGAACAACTGAAGACTAATAGGTATTTGAAGAGGGCATCTAATATAAAAGAGACAAAAAAAATTAAAAATATAAAAAAGAACTCATAGGAAACAGAAATAATGCTGGAAGATTAGATAACTTCCAAAAACCTATCATGGACATCAGTATATAGTTAAACAATGACATAATTTTCACAGAACAATAATAAGTTTTAAAAAAGAACACTCAGTCCAGGTGTGATGGCTCACACCTGTAATCCCAGCACTTTGGGAGGCCAAGGCGGGTGGATCACTTGAGGTTAGGAGTTTGAGACCAGCCTCACCATCATGGTGAAACACCATCTCTACTAAAAATACAAAAATTAGCTGGGTGTGGTGGCAGGTGTCTGTAATGCCAGCTACTTGGAGGCTAGGCAGGAGAATTCCTTGAACCTGGGAGGCAAAGGTGACAGTGAGCTGAGATTGTGCCATTGTACTCCAGCCTGGGTAATAGAGTGAGACTCCATCTCAAAAAAATTTTTTTTAAATTAAAAAATTAGAAAGCACACCCAGAGAATAACATTAACAAAAAACTCTTAAAAATTAAAAGCAGAAACTGAAATTTTAATATACAAATTGAAAAGTAAAATTGAGAAAATCTCCCAGAAAATAGAACAGCAATGCTAGGAGTGAAAAAAAAAGAACTAGAAAATATGAAAGAAAGGGTCAAAAAATAAGCTCACTTTGCAATATCTGACATCCAAATTACATTGGATGAATTACAGAAAGAATGACAAAGAAGACCGAGGGGAGGAAACTATCACACATATAATTAAGAAATTTCCTAGAACTTAAGAATATCAGTTTCCATGAGATAGGGTCCACAAAGGACCACAGAAACAATTTTTTTTAAAGACATGAAATATCAGAACATTGGGCAAAGAGAGAATCCCAAAAGCTTTCAGAAGAGAAAAAGAGAAACAACAACAGGTCTTATAAAAGGATTGGGAATCACAGCACCTACTTTTCATAGCAATACTGAGTGCTAGGATAAACAATCACTTCAAAATTCCAAGAGAAAACAATTTCTAATCTCAAATTCTATGCCCAGTAAAACAATCAATCAAATGAAAGGGCAGAATCAAGACATTTCTCAAAACATTAGCTGTCACATATGCTTCTCAGGAAGCTACTGGGAGAGGGACACCACCAAAAGGAGGATGTTCACAAGAAAGAGAAACACAGTATATTGGGCTTGGGTGCATATAACCAATTACCAAGTAAAAGTGGCATAAACAAGAAACAATTCTATTTCTCTCCTATGTGACAAGAAGTGAGACTATTGATCTAATCAAACATTATGATTAGGAGAATAGGTAAAGGGGAAGTGGGTGCATATTTGGAGGGAGGCCTTAAATCCACATATTCCTTGGTGTAAAATCAATACACAATATCTACAATTGAAGAAAACTTGAAGAAACAGTAATATAAGCAAATTATTATAAATTATAGAAGCAAACGTGAGAAGAATCAGCTAAAAGCGTCATCAGTGTTACAAAGAATTGGCCTAGGGTAGGTGGACAGACGAGTGTTGTTTTTCATTAGGGATTTTGAATATCTAGTATCTATCTGACTTCTTAAGCCATGTATAACCTCGTTCACCATGCTGGGGGTGGTGGAAGTGGATGGAGGGAAGATGGGTGGGGAGAGGCCAAGGATCTATGTCATGGGAGTTGGCAATACTCTGAAGCCATGGCAATAAGACATCATCAAGTGAGTCTGGCAGCCGAGGGCGGAACCCAGGCAGAAGCTCAAAGAGAATTTCCCTTCCTGGAGGGAGCAGACAAGAACCAGGCAGGCCAGGTCCTCAAGGGACTGAGGGCTGGTAGGTTTCCAAGGCAGGCAGCCAGGCCCAGGAAATAAGGCAAAGTGGGGACATGGGTTTCAGAACTGAGACACCAGGCCAGAACCTGTCTGGATGCCAATGCAAGCAGATGCTGGGCCCCAGGGTGCTTGGAACTCACTCCTTATCTCCCTCTGGCCTGAGATAAGGATCACGCTCAGGTTGAGGCTGGCAGATGAGGGCCACAAGGGAAGCAAAACTAGAAACATGGGAGGCTTGACAAACAGTAAGTCAACACTGGATCTGAGAGCTATAGGTCGTTGTCATCCTTCAAAATGTCTGTTAGTCCAAGACTGGGTGCCATAAACAGCCCCTCAAAATCTATCCCCAGGACTAGTTAGTTATGCTGTATCCACACAATGTAATAGTATGCAGCCAACGAAACAAACCCTGAAGGTTCTGGGAAAGTTTTTCTTTTTTGAATTAGGTGTCATCATTTCCTACTTTCTCTTTCTATGTTCTTCATGCCCGAAACATGGTACCTGGCAATGCAGCAACACCTGCGTGGGTAGAATCATCTTGTGACCCTGGGGCAATATGCATGTGAACATGCCTATATTCTAAGAATGGCAAAATGTGAAGATGAACAAAGAAAAGGAAAAGGTTCACTGAAGACATCATTAAGCCACCCACCCCAGAATTCGTGATGTCTCAAATAAAATAACTAAACACATGCCTAACCAATGGGCCTTCCTAATGTGATGGGGATGGATTTAATTGGAAACTAAAACTTCTAGTCTTTCTAATATTTCAGAAACTTAAAATTCACTCCTCTATAATGCGATGGGAGTGCAAAATGAGTTCAAAACTCTCCCTCAGTACTCCTGTTTGGAGTAACTACCTCTCCACAAACAAAATCCACAAAACTCATCCTCAAAATAGCCTTTGAGGACTCTGGAGAACTCAAGGTATATGAATTTAATCATGTCTTGTCTTATCACATCCTAATTGATATATTTTTTCTATCCCTATGTTGCAGGTGGGGACTCTGAGGGACACATCTTCTTCAGGTCTAGCCAATTTGTTAGGATAATAAATTACAAAACACATTTATCATCCTCAAAAGTTTGCTCAAAATAATTTTGAATGTATCATATAAAGGATATTTATACCAGCTTAAAAGCCCTTAGCCCATTTAAATGAATTGCTTACTTTGAAAAAGCTATAATAAGAAGTTGGTCATTTCCCTAATATGCAATTAAAGCAATTAAAAACATTTCCCAAATGCTTATGTGGACTGCTGCTGATACAAACTGCTGTTGTTTGGGAGTTGACTGGAAAGGTCCCACTGATTTCTGTACATGGAAGAAACATACTGTTGACTTGTAAGAAAATCAAGTTATTCAACTTAATGGATCAGTACAGGAAACAAAACTCTGTTTGCCAAGCAGAATATTTCACTGTGTTTATGTTTCTCCTGATCTAAATGTGCTAGCTTTGAATACTGCTTTTAAACTAACATGCACAAGTGGCATTTGATATGGTCTACTTTATTCATTAAAACAAAGTGAAGATTATTATGGAGTCACTTTGAAAGGTAGTTTGGGCTTTCTTATTTAATTAATCCATTACACTTAACCTTCCCGTATTTTACTCCCTGCAAGTCTTGCAACCATTATTAACACTACACAAATATGTTTTGCATTATTAAATTTAAGAATTTAGTACTCAGTAAAATTCTCTGCAGGAATATTGTTATTAAATGAGTTCATTAAACCTAACCACACTAATTAACAGCCAAGTGATGAGGAACATTCATACAAAAGTGAACTATATTCCATCTTCATAACCTCTCTGCTAATTCTAGCAAATGAACATAAGCAATCTCAGGAAAAAAAATCCAGGAAGGTTATAGAAACCACACATACCTCAGTGGAAACCAGCTCCTCCAAAATAAATGTCCAGGCTTGTCTGAAACTTGCTCCTCATCACATCATCTATCAGTAATTTTCAATTAAGTGTACAATGGGGTCTAGCTCCACCCTCCCTTATGCCTGTAATGACATGACTGGAAACGTAGGGCATTTTAATTCTACAACTATTAACCAGTCCCAGCTGGCCACAGCTCAGCATTTTCAGGGGCTCCTACATATAAAATCTTCAACCTCTAGTACAAGGATGATCTCTTAACCACAAGAAAAACAAATGAATCCCAAGTAGAAGAACGTCAATAGATTTTAATGTATAACTAATATCTACAGACCCCTGCCCTCACCCTTATTCCCTGTAGTGGATGCTGGGATGCAGCACCACACCCCTCTTTACCGACTGAAGCATGTGTTCTCTCAGCTGCCAGCAGGGTTGGCTGCAGAAGGCTTATGACTGAGTCCCTTCCTGGGAACTGCTTTCTGTGGAAGGCAGACACTTATGCCCCTTCCCCAGAGACACCCCATATCCAATGACTATATGATATGAGGCTACAAAGGCCTAGCCCTCTTGCCTCAACTCTTGGCTATGCTGAAGGACAATCTTATTTCCAGAACTTCCTGTAAGATCAGCTGAGACATCTCCTGTAAGTCTGTCACAGTTCAACTTCTCCATGTGCCTAATCCTGCTTCCTTCACTCCCTCACAGGTGTTGATCCCAAGTGTAATCCTAGGGAACCCGACTTAAGGCCTCCCCATCTGAAGAACACAATCTCAAGGAAGAATTTAAGGGGAAACCTGTCTACACAGTTTGACTTTCTGTAAAGAAGTAAGTTAATTCCAACTAAACACAGTTGGACTTTTTAGTTTAAGGGTTCAATTCCTCACAGTCCAAAAGACATTAAATAAAATTTAGCCATCTTAATAGAACTGTCTTTGAAGCCCCTAGGTTCACTTATTTTAAAAGAACAAGATTTACTTATCCAGCCGAATTGTTTCCCAGTCTAGCTAATAACCTAGACCTATTAAGGTAATAATGTTGGGTCAGAATTTATATCTGTAATCACACTATATCTAAGTATCCCATTATCCATTAGCTCTCCTTCACCGAAGAAATAGGACAAAAACTTTACATATACTCTTTTTGAGGGGGAGTGTTGTATAGTGAATTGTGTTCCCCTTCCCAAATTCATATGCTGAAGCTCTAACCTCCAATGTGACTCTATCTGAAGACAGGGTCTTTAGGAGGTAATTAATGTGAAATGTGGGTCGTAAAGGTGGGGTCCTAATCCAATTGGACTGTAGCCTTATATGAAGAGACAGAAAGAGAGAGAGAGAGAGAGATCTTTCTCTCTGTGCCATGTGAGGGCACAGGGAGAAGGTGGGTGTCTGCAAGCCAGGAAAAGAGCACATTAGCCAGCATCAACTAGCATCTTAATCTTGGATCTCCTAGCCTCCAGAACCACGAAAAAATTAATTTCTATTATTTAAACCACCTAGTCTATGGTACTTTGTTGTGGCGGCCAGGGCTGACTAAGATAGGGGGTGAAGGGACATGTAATGCAAGTAAACTAAAGCACTTATTCCTCACAGATGCCTCGCTTGTTTTCCTCTTTAGCTCTGCATCACTCCTTTTTCTCAACCTCTTTTCTCCAGGTCCTTTTTCCCCCTCATTCAGTGTTAGTGCCTTTGACTCAAGAGTGGTACACATATTTTCAGGCCCTGGCTAGATCAGTTGGTGGTGTTCTGTTCAGGGTTTCAGAGGCTGCTGGGTCATGGCCTAAAGTCTATCCAGAGAAATTCTGAGGGCACTTCATATAGTGAGGAGAATTTGGAAATAAGGTGGCTGAGAGCTAAATAAGCAAACATATAAATACATGAATGAACAAAGAAACCAACACAGTCAATGACATTAGCAACATATAGAAGTAAAACGTCCTGTGAGATAATCCTGTGGGTGGGAAAACACTGAAACCTAATCAAGGTCACGTCTTTGTACATTCAGGCCTGAAATGCAATCACAACAGTCACTGTGATCTAAGCAACTGCCAGGAGAGCTCATGAGTTCACAGATGGAAGAAACCATGGGGATTAGCCATAGATTTCCCTTCTATGGATCCAAGCAACCTTCTCATTAGAACTTGGTTGCCTGTTTCTCTTCCCCACTCAGGAGTGACAAAGTATGTGTGACTCTGTTAATACATGTGTTCCATTGCACTTGGTAGTCATTTTTTCAACACTAACTTGGAAAAATGGTAGCCTGGGAGGTACACCAATCTTTCATAAGTTTTGTTAACATGAATTAGCTCCACTGAGCTAGGTCATGGCTGACAGAATGCTAAAATCTAATTTTGGACCATGAAGTTCCTAGTAGGGCAGAGCACTAGGTAAAGTTCTTCCTATGTAGATAGTTGGCCTCCCTTAGTTATTTTAGGTAAGCTGGAGCTGTATTAAAGGGGAGCCTTGAATGCTAGACTTAAGATGGGCCTCTATTCTCTCTGCAACAAAGGTCCAGCCCTCTGAGGGTAGAAACATAAGTAAAATTTTATGTTGAGAAGATGACATTGGCAGTGTATGAAAGACAGGCTGGAAGCTAGACAGAGTAAACAGGAAGGACAATTCCTCAGGACAGTTGCTCAGGGTGAGGATTTGAAATGTTCTAGTGGGAATCAGAAAGCATGTATATGAGAGGTAAGGCAAAGAAAGAATCAAGAGGTCTTGCCAACTTTGTTTGTAGGAGGGCATGGAAAAGTAAGTTCTGGGGTCTGGTTGAATGTGAAAAATAGAGATGACAGAAGCTGGTACAGAGGTCAGAGTGTGCTAGTTGGAGGGTGGTCAGCGTGAAGAGACTGCAGATGGAACTGATCATGAGGGCCCGTACTCTGAAGAGAAGCTGGGTTACAGGAATAAGCTTCAGAGTTAATAGTGCAGGGTAAACTTATGGAAATGAGTATGAACACTGAGAGGGGCACATGGAGAATGGAAAGGAGAGGGACCAAGCCTTGTTGAAAGCTAAAATGTGTACGGTAGGAAGAGCAATGGTCTAAAAAGAAAAGGAGCCAGTGGCAACAGAGAAGTATGAGGGAAATTGAGAGCCCTCTTAAGAGGTAGCTATGGTGTCAGAAGAGTAGGAAGTGAGATTATCTGCTGAGGGAGAAAGGAAGGGGAGGAGCTTGAGGTAGTGAAAGGATTGGAGGAGTTTTCCAGTGGATTATGGGAGAGAGTTGAGAAGAGATGAAGAAATGGCTAACTGAACAGTGCTAAGGGCCTAACCAGATTAGTTGCATATGGTAGGTGTATTAGTTTGCTAGGGCTGCTATGACAAAGTACCACAAACTGAGGGGCTTAGACAAAAGAAAAGTAGTGATTTACACTTCTGGATGCCAGAAGTCTAAGATAGAGGAGTTGGCAGGGCCTTTCTCTCTCTGAGGGCACTAGGAAAGGATCTGTTCCAGGCCTCTCTCCTGGGCACCAGTCATATTTGATTAGCATCTCACCCTACTCCAGTATGATCTTAACTAATTACATCTGCAATGACTCTATTTCCAAGCAAGGTCACATCTTGAGGTACAAGGGGCTAGGACATCTACATATAAATGGGGTGGGTGAAGGGCTTCCTGGGGCATTAGAAAGCTAGAGGCAGAGATGCTGTTCAGGGACACCTGAGTACCGACTCTGGTTTCTTCCTGCTCCTGCAACAGGCCATGAGGCTATCGCCTTAGAGGGGTATACCTTGAGGCTGTAGTTTAAAAGCTAACAGTGTGGCCAGGCGCGGTGGCTCACGCCTGTAATCCCAGCAGTTTGGGAGGCCAAGGGGGGGGGGGGGTGGATCACGAGGTCAAGAGTTCAAGACCAGCCTGGCCAACATGATGAAACCCCGTTTCTACTAAAAATACAAAAATTAGGGCGGGGTACAGTGGCTCACACCTGTAATCCCAGCACTTTGGGAGGCCGAGGTAGGCAGATCACGAGGTCAAGAGATCAAGATCATCCTAGTCAACTTGGTGAAACAACGTCTCTACTAAAAATACAAAAATTAGCTGGGCATGGTGGCACACGCCTGTAGTCCCAGCTACTTGGGAGGCTGAGGCAGGAGAATTGGTTGAACCCGGGAGGCGGAGGTTTTGGTGAGCCAAGATCGTGCCACTGCACTCCAGCCTGGAGATAGAGCGAGACTCCGTCTCAAAAAACAAATAAACAAACAAACAAAAACAAAAATTAGTTGGGCATGGTGGCACGTGCCTGTAATCCCAGCTACTCAGGAGGCTAAGGCAGGAGAATTGCTTAACCCAGAACCGGGAGGCAGAGGTTGCAGTGAGCCGAGATCACACCACTGCACTCCAGCCTGGGCTAGAGCGAGACTCTGTCTCAAAAAAAAAAAAAAAAAAAAAAAGAAAAGAAAAAAAAACAGCTAACAGTGTTGGCTCGGAGCTGGAGTGTACCTGGGCTTTAACCTTGGCTCTGCCACGTATTTATCATGTGCTCAGAGACAAGTGACCTAAACTGACTTTACTCAATTTCGTGTCTATAAAATGGGAATAATAATAGGACCCCTCCCATAGGGTTATGAGAACTAAACACATTAATGAATAGCATGCCTAATGAAGTTGTATTATTCTCATTTTATAGATAAAGAAACTGAGACATATAGATTAACCAACTTGCCCAAGATCATTTAGTAGCAGAGTCAAATTCGGTCTATAGAAATCAAAAGTTCATGCTTTTCACTATTGTTACATTGTTTCCAGTATTAGCTGATTCGTTTGTCCATTAATTGGATATTAGCATTTAAATAAAAAGTTGATAAGGAAAAAATAAAAATAAAACATTTTCCTTTGTAAAATTTTCTTCTGGGGGTGCTGGGGAGTAAATTAGCTACAAAATCAATTACAAGGAGAATGATTAAATATAAAGAGTTAAAAACAGGAATATAATTTCCAAGTGCTCTTTTCCAAATATTATCGCTGCAAGGTTTGAACAGGAGAAAGCCAGTAGAGATAAGAAAAATCAAAACTGAATAAACTTGATGTTAAATCAGCTTCTATTTCTTCTTGTCTTTCCTCCCATTTTCTCCAGTTGCCATGCTACTCCTGAGGATCTAGGATAATACTGAAAGAAGCACATATGGGGCACAAGATTTCTAGCACTTTAAAGCTTAATGCTTTAAAAGTATGTTTTGAGGCTTCTTTAAAAGTTTATGGATCTTGCCCAGAGCTGGAGTCGGAGCCCCCGAGGCTGCCGCCGAGAGTGCCCGCGAGCCCGTGGCCCAGCCGAAGCTCTTTCCCGCCGCCTCTCCGCGCCTCGTCCCCGTCCAGCCCCACCCAACCCCCAACCCAGCCTGGTCCCCTGACCCTCAGTCTGGCCCGGTCTGGCCTCCCAGCAGGGTCACGCAACTGCCCCGGGGACGATGAAAGGAGGATAAATGGTGCCCAAGGTGGACAGCGGTGCCTTCCTGCTGCTCTTCCTGCTCTTGCTGTCACTGAGCCGTTGCGGCCAGTGGGGACCCTCTGCTGAGACAGGCTCTGTGTCCAGCACCTGCTCCGGGTCACGCTCTGGGGGAGTAGGAGTCGCACGACTGTCTCAGCCTTGGATTTGACTTTGGCCTCATCCACCTAGGGGCCACGGGAGAACCATGTGGGTTACCAAGTTCAAGGGGAGAGAGAAGAAGCTGATGAAAATAGAGGCTCATCTGGGACTGCCTTCCTTCTCTGGCTCCACCCTTGACTTCTTCAGAGCTTGGGCTTTAAGCCGTGAGCTCCATCTCATTCCCTGGGCCGCAAGAAGCTCACTGGGCCCGCGTCTCTGGAGGCTGTTGGGGGGGCCCTTCCTCTGTCTCCATAGTCGACGGCTTGCTGGGGAAACCCAGGATCTCCGACTGCCTGGACATTTGCATTGCTGTCCCCTCGGGTTTTGTCTCAGGCTGTGCCTGGGGCTGTGCCTCTCCCTCAGGCTCCAGCTTGGTGGCAGACTTCTTGTCAGAGCCAGGTTCGGGGGTCCACAAGGGTTCAGTTCCCCGGGAACTCTCCCCCTCCTTGTTGATGGCCACAGAGGGAGATCCCCGTGCCTTGGGCTGCATCCAGCAGTGGCTGAGGATCTCGTCGATGTGGAGCCGCCGGTTGACGTCGGGCTGCAGCATGTGGTAGATGAGGTCCTTGCACTCGCCTGTCAGGTGCTTGGAGCGTGGGAAGTTGACGCGGTGCTCCTTCTGGATACGCAGCATCTTCTTGATGTTGGAGTCGTCGTAGGGCATGGAGCCGCAGACCATGATGTAGAGGATCACGCCTAGGCTCCAGATGTCGTACACCTTGGGCTGGTAGGGAATGCCCTGCAGCACCTCTGGGGCCGCATACGCTGGTGACCCACAGAAGGTCTTGCTTAATGCCATTCGACCACTGTCATCCCGCAGGCAGCGCTTGGAGAAGCTGAAGTCGGACAGCTTGATGTTGAAGTCCTTGTCAAGGAGAAGGTTGTCACACTTGAGGTCCCGGTGGACGACGTCCAGGTCGTGGCAGTACTTGATGGCCAAGGAAAGCTGGTGGAACTTCTTGCGAGCTTCGTCCTCATGCAGGGCTCCCCGGGTTTTGATTAACTCGAGGAGGTCGCCCTGGACCGCGAGCTCCATGACGATGTAGACCTTGCCATGTGATGTCTCAAAGATCTCGTAGGTCTTAATGATGGAGCAGTGGTTTAACATGGCCAGAATCTCAATTTCCCGGGGAAGGAATTTCTCCAAGAAGTCTGCGGGGGCCTTCTTGCGGTCGATGATCTTGATCGCCACATTGAACTTCAGGCGCTCAGAGTAAGCAGATTTTACTTTTGCATAGGAGCCCTCTCCTAAATTTATCCCCAGGAGGTAGCCTCGTCGCTTGAGGACAGCAGCGTCATCCATGGTGCCAGGAATGCCCAGTGCCTCTGAGGCTGCCCTCTACAGCCCCGAGGCGCATGGGCCAGCAGTGTGCTCATTTACATCCTGGATAGAGAGTCCTTTGGGCTGGCCAGGCCTGCTGTTCCTGCCTCCTAGAGGCCAAGACTCTGGAGTGGAACATTTGGCACTGTCTCCCAGATGACTTCAGCGAGTGAAGTCACAAAGGAGGAGTGCCCTGGGGGAATGAGACCCTGGCCTGAGGCACTTGGACTTGGAATCCTGGAAGGCTGGCCAGTAGGCTGGAGCAGACAAGATGAGCAGAAAGTGGCCTCGTGTCTTGCTGGGACCTGAGGTAGAAGGGGACTGTGTGGGACACATGGGCCTGCCCATGCTTCCAAACCCAGAGCCAGGCATACTTGTGCAGAATTGAGGCCAATTCTTGCAAACCAGGGCATCTGAGGAGGATTTAATAAAGGGACAATTAATAAAGGTGGGAGCAGAGTGTAGGGAACCCTGAGGGTCACACAATTACCCCAAGATAGTAGCAGACCCCTGGCCTGCATAGAAAAGGGTGGGAATGGTCCCTGGAACCCAGAAAGAGTAGTGTAGACAGGACCACCTTGAGAGAGGCAGTGGCCTTCAGGGGAGAAAAAGCCAGCCTCAGTGACCCTACAGGCTGGCAGGGGATGGGAGGAAGTCCCATCCCTGACTTCTTTTTCTCCCCTTCAGCCCTTGATGCTGTCCACACAGGTGACCCTCAGGAGTGCAGAGCAGGGCCAAGAAGAGTGGTGTGTCAAGAAGGTAGACAGCTTCCTGGCCCCGGAGTCACGCAGTTTGAGATGCCTGGATTCTGCCGCCTCCCTATACATCTCTTCCCTTGTCTGAGCCTTTGCTGGCTTCTTACAGCAGCTCTGTAGGAGGACAGCTGGCAGGAGTTCTGCTCTTGGCTGTGAGCTCCCTCCTGGGGACCTGCCCAGCTCACGGCCCTGGCTGGGCTCCCAGGGCATATCTGGGGCTGGGGGCTGAAGGTGGGGCCTGGATGCCACCCTGAGCACTGGCAGCTGCTCTGAGGACATTACAAGCAGCAGGGGAAGCACTGGACAGCAACCATCATTTCTTCTGGCAGTGGAGCCTCTGCTGTGACTGGTTCTGTGTCCAGCACCTGCTCTGGGCCACACCGTCAGGAAGAAGGAGTTGCATGACTGTCCTAGCCTTGGATTTGACTTTGGCCTCATCCACCTAGAGGGAGTGAGAACTCCTTCCTCACATGAGCCAGGTGGAACCCTGGGCCCTTCAGGAGTGAGTTAGTAGAGCTGGATGTCGCTCAGGCTGGGTTGGGTCACCACCAGCTGTGGCCCTTCTCCCTTTTCTCTGCTCCTTCACCTTGTTCCCCAACTCTGACTGCCCACTGCCAGTCCTTTGTGCGTGGTTGGTGCTCCTTCCTCCAGACAGCCTCCTTCTCCTTCCTGCTGGGGAAACCCCAAGTGCTGTCTCTTGGAAACCAAAAATAAAATTCTAATCTCCCCAGCCATCTGAATGGACCCCTCTTCTCAGCCAAGGCCATTCCAAAATTAATCTGAAAAACTAGTTCAGGCCATGATAGAAAGTAGGGGTCAGGCAGGCCTCATCATCCCTCCTCCCTTCAGGTTTCAGGCACAGCTGAGCAGCAGTAACATCGACACAGAGACCTGAAGACTGACAACAGACTCTGGCAGTAAGATACAGCAGGCTCTGAAAGAAACTGAAGTATTTTACTATCAAACAGATTTCTTTGACATATTTTGAAATAGCTCTGCAAAGCTGTCTCTTATGAGGAAAATCTACATTCTGTGAAGAATCCCCTTCCCTTTCTAGCTCTTTTCTCCTGAGATAATTAACTAGAGTCTGATAAGAAACATTTAACAGTGTGTTTTTTCTGAAGCCTGATACCTGGAGGCTTCATCTGCCTAAGAACCTTGGTCTCTACAACCTCTTACCCCAGAGACAGTCCCTTCTATTGATTCCAGGTCTTTAGATAAACTCTCTGAGCCAATTGCCAATCAGAAAATCTTTGAATCCACATGACCCAGAAGCCCGCCTCCCACTTTCAAGTTGTCCCTCCTTTTCTGACTGAACCAATGTATACCTTACATACACTGATTGATGTCTCGTGCCTCCCTAAAATGTATAAAACCAAGTTGCAGCCCTATCCCTTTGGGCACTTGTTGTCAGGATCTTCTGGGGCTGTCCTGGGCCATTAGTCACATATTGGCTCAGAAGAAATCTCTTCAAAAAAAAAAAAAGTTTATCTATATTGCTGTCTACAATGAAAAATATCCAATGTTATGTTTACTCTTTGTAATTAAATGCTAAAAAATTTATTTTGGTCCCAATGCTGTTTTCTTTATTGAGTTATCCTACAAAGGCAATAGGGAAAGATAAGCAGAGGCAAATGCAAGAGAGAGCAGGGAAGACAGCTTCTTGCAAATTGGGCTTTCTCATTTGTGTGTCCCCTGGCTGCCCTCAGCACAGAGCTTTACACACAGTCATAAACACTGGCTGAGTGATCATCGCAAAGAAAGGGAGAGAAAAAAAATTCATTTTCCTCCATTGCTCCTTTACCCCTGTTATGTTCTATGTCTTCCAAGGATAAAGACAATGAGGTATGAGGTATTCACTCAAAATGATAATTACCTTGGGATTATGTAGAAATATTGTATCTAAAATCCTAAACTGACAGGATCATTTATTTGCATTTTACAAAAATCTGGGCAACAGATGATACACATACACTCACACATAGACATACAAAACACCTGGAGATGAAGGAGAAATAGTGCTGCACTTGAATTATTTCTATTTTGGCTCAAAATTCCCTGAGATATATTTCTAAAATCTACTCGGCAGTTTCTCCCACCCCCTTTTTGTCTTTTGATTCTTTAGATGCTTTAAATTCAAAAGGCTCCTTATCTATATCCCAGATAGTTGAGTTATTTGAAAGCCCTGACCAAGGCATTTTATTATGGATTTGGTTGCTCTTGGGTAGAGTGAATAGGTAAATATATGCTGTACAGGGAATTTTGGCAGGAGTGGTAAAGGGCTCCAGCTCCCTGCTTCACATCTCAGGTCTGCTCCTTCAGTGCCATGTGGGATTCTCTTTGGATACCATCCCATAGGTTGGGAAGGCATCCTAAAATCGATGCTGAAGTTGTCAGTATCACCAGTCTATGGGACCTAGTGAAAGAGCAAGCAGAACTCTGAGAATCTGGGAAGAAAAGCAGTTTTCTAATGCAAAATGCATGAGAGGAGAGCCAATCCTTGGTCCTAGGGCTCTGACAACTCATTTTGTGACCTTAGGCAAGTGACCTGTGTTTCTTTCCCCTAACTTTCCTTATTTTTGGGTTGTGGGGGGAGTCTTTAACTAGAAATTGTTAAGGTCCTATAGAATGACACCTAACTTTTTTTATTCTATATCTAAAGACATGTTATCAAGGGTTCCATCTGCCGTACGGTGAGTTGTAGGAGCTGAGGCAATTAAGAGCATCAGACACGGGGCAGATAAATCTGGTTTTAAATCCCAGGGGCCACATCTTATTAGTACAGTGTGACTCTCGGAAAGTAACTTGATCTGTAAAATAGATGAAGTTATCTAATTTACCTAGTTATCTTACAGAGGCAATAGGAAAAGTATATAAGGAAAAAAGGTATGCAAAATAGGTATGCACTTTAAAGTGATTGTGAGGATTAGACATGGTGATTCCTGGTATATCACCTCTTATGACATCATAATGGTCTAAAGCAGAGGCATTCTACTCCATTGGGCCCAAGTTATGTACAAAATAATATTCAGTATAATATAGATCTATTATACCTTAGAATATCCCAGACGGGATCCTGTAAACTATTTTCTAGTATCTGTTAAATACTTTTCTTAACACTACTAAGCACTACAGGGAAGCTAAAAACACTACGACATGGCATCACCTTCTAAAAATTTGTTATTTAGTTGAAGAAACCACTAGAATATAGATATGAATGTCATAATATATAAAATATGAAACTTAAGTAGATTTTTTAAAGTACTGATTTTGCAGTAAATTGCCTAAGCTTATGGGAGAGAAAAAAAATCAGAGGGCTGGGGTTGCCCAGGAAGGTGTTAGAGCTTCCTTGGGCAGGATCCCCTGGCTGGGAGGTCACCCAGGATACGGTGTTGAGGCAGTGTCTTCTAAGAGCACAGTTCCTGAAACCAAAGGACACCAGGAACATAACAATGCAGGGTCAAAGTCTGAGCTAAGGAAACAAATTTTGAAAACCAGGTTGAAAATTCCAAGAGATCAGACAGAAATGTTTCCATGGTTTAATTTGGAAAAGGTATAAGGAGCCTGGGTTGCTGACCAGTTAGGCAGGCCAAAGCTGGAGTGTCGGGGAGCAAGTCTGGTGGTAAACAGCAGGCTCAGAGTGAAGTGCCAGTCAAGTCCTAGACCTGGTTGTGGAAGCATGCTGAGTACATTTCAAGTGGCTCACAAAGGACAATTGGAGGGTTTCACAGAGGTGATGAGACACACGAGGCCTTGAAGCAAAGGTAGATGTACATAGGTGATACAGGAAAGGGAAATGGCATTTGAACAAAACACAGAGAAATGAATGAATATGGCCAAGAACAAACCTTTATTAGATGACAAATGCCTTGGAAAAGATAGAGATGAATATAACATGGTCAGTACCCTCAGAAGGTCTCTCAGTGTCCTAGCCTACCTCACAACTTGAAGCACTAGGAAGCAAAATCCAATGGCCAGTCGTAAGTTTTCTGCTAGAGACTCATGTCACTGAAGATAGCTGAGGAGGCAAAATCCTAGCCTGTGGTGGTTAATCTTATGTTGTGACAGTTAATAACTCATTCAATCTCTTTGAGCCTCAGTATGTACATTTCTAAAATAGGGACTATAATAGTTTCTAGCTCATGGGATTGTTGCAAGGATCCAAAAAGATAATGATATATAATACTTAGCAAAAGGCTAGCACACAGTGGCTACTTAGCAAGTGTTGGCTTTTATTACTATTATTAATGGTCATTTTATTTTATTTTTACAGACAGAGTTTTGCTCTGTTGCCCACACTGGAGTGCAGTGGCATGACCATACCTCACTATAGCCTCAACCTCCTGGCCTCAAGACCTCACTGTAGCCTCAACCTCCTGGCCTTAAGGGATCCTCCCACCTCAGCCTCCCAAAGTATTGGGATTACAGGCTTGAGCCACTGTGCCTGATCTATTAGTGGTCATTTTATTACATCTGAGCTATCATTGCTGCTTTAGTGCATACCCTCATCTCTTCTCACCCAGTTGCTATGAAAGTGCCCTTACTGGTCTCTCTACTTCCAGTCTGGCATTTCTCCTCATTGCAGCCCAGTGCTCCTTATTAAAGATCAATCAGGATATTTTATTCCCCTGCTTGAAATTCTTGAGTAGGCTCTCATGGCCCTTAGAAAAAAGTAGACGTTCCTTCAGAATCTGAGGCTCTTTATCATCTGGATCCTGCTACTGTCTCCTGGCTCCCTCAGACACTCTACTTCAGTTACACCCTCCACCCACCCCCAGGCAGACCCACAACACCTTGATCTCATTTTGTCATGGACACACCACTCTATAGTGTATTTCATTTAATTCCAACCAAGTGTTTCCATGGCAAACGTTGCATCTTATTGGTCTTTGGATTCTCAATGCACAATGCTCTATAGGTACTCAATAGATATTTATTTAAAGAAAAGAAAAAAATAAGAAAGTAAAGAAGAAACGGAAGGAGAAAGAGAGGGAGGGAAAGGAGGAGAGAGAAGAGGGAAGGAATAAGGAGGGAAGGAAAAAACAAAGGGTGAGAAAGAAAAACAAAGCTAGAAAGAGTGATGTCTATATCCTTTAAGGGAACAGGTAAGAAACTAATTTTCAGTAGATCTGTTGGCAAACGAAGAAAGAAGAGGAGGAAGAAGGAACAGGAAAAAGAGAAGAAAAAGAAAGAAATCGGGGATTATATCAGAAGTTTAACAATGCATATAATTACTATGGCTGATAATGAAAGATCCACCTGACTTTTTATATTACCGCTGGAATCATAGTGTGACAGGGACAACCATTAATGTGTATGTGTTCATAGCATTTTCTCCTCCTTTCTACCCCCTATACTCACTGTGTATTTGCAGATTAGGTTAATAAGGCAGATAAATAAACAGAAAAGACAGACGCAGAATTAGAAAAAAACAAGTTCTGTCAAGGTGTGGTGGCTCACGCCTGTAATCCCAACACTTTCGGAGGCTGAGGCGGGCAGATCACTTAAGGTCATGAGTTTGAGACCAGACTGGCCAACATGGTGAAACCCTGTCTCTACTAAAAATACAAAAATTAGCCAGGTTTGGTGGCGGGTGCCTGTAATCCCAGCTACTCAGGAGGTTTAGGCAGGAGAATCTCTTGAACCCAGGAGGCGGAGGTTACAGTGAGCCCAGATGGTGCCACTGCACCATCTGTTGCCTGAACGACAGAATGAGACACTGTCTCAAAACAAAACAAAACAAAACAAAAAACAAGTTCTCTTTATAGTAGAGAAAAGAGAATGGTGTAAAACTGGGGTTGGAAAACATTTTCTATAAAGAGCTAGGTAATAAATATTTTAGGTTCTAAGGGCCGCATGTGGTCTCTATCACTTATTATTTTTTGTTTTGTACAGCACTTTTTTATTATACTCAAGTTCTGGGGTACATGTGCGGAACGTGCAGTTTTGTTACATAAGTATACCTGTGCCATGGTGGTTTGCTGCACCCATCAACCCGTCACCTACATTAGGTATTTCTCCTAATACTATCCCCTCCTCTAACCCCCTACCCTGGACAGGCCCCAGTGTATGATGTTCCCCTCCCTGTGTCCACATGTTCTCATTGTTCAACTCCCACTTATGAGTGAGAACATGCGGAGCTTGGTTTTCTGTTCTTGTGTTCATTTGCTGAGAATGACGGTTTCCAGCTTCATCCATGTCCCTGCAAAGCACATGAACTCATTCTTTTTTAAGGCTGTGTAGCATTCCATGGTGCCACATTTTCTTTATCCAGTCTATCATTGGTGGACATTTGGATTGGTTCCAAGTCTCTGCTATGGTGAATAGTGCTGCAATAAACATACATGTGCATGTGTCTTTATAGAATGATTTATAATCCTTTGGGTATATACCCATTAATGGAATTGCTGGGTCAAATGGTATTTCTAGTTCTAGATCCTTGAGGAATCCAGAACTAGAAATACACTGTCTTCCCCAATGGGTGAACTAATTTACACTCCCATCAGCAGTGTAAAAGCTTTTCTATTTCTCCACATCCTCTCTAGCATCTGTTGCTTCCTGACTTTTTAATGATCCCCATTCTAACTGGCATGAGATAGTAACTCATTGTGGTTTTGATCTGCATTTCTCTAGTGACCAGTGATGATGAGCATTTTTTCATATGTTTGTTGGCTGCATAAATGTCTTCTTTTGAGAAGTGTCTGTTCATACACTTTGCCTACCTTTTGATGGGGTTGTTTTTTTCTTGTAAATTTGTTTAAGTTCTTTGCAGATTCTGGATATTAGCCCTTTGTCAGATAGATAGATTGCAAAAACTTTCTCCTATTCTGTAGGTTGCCTGTTCACTCTGATGGCAGTTTCTTTTGCCCTGCAGAAGCTCTTTAGTTTAATTAGATCCCATTTGTCAATTTTGGCTTTTGTTGCCATTGCTTTTCGTGTTTTAGACATGAAGTCTTTACCCATGCCTATGTCCTGAATGGTATTGCCTAGGTTTTCTTCTAGGATTTTTATGTTTTTAGGTCTTACATTTAGGTCTTTAATCCATCTTGAGTTAATTTTTGCATAAGGTGTAAGGAAGGGATCCAGTTTCAGTTTTCTGCATATGGCTAGCCAGTTTTCCCAGCACCATTTATCAAATAGGGAATCCTTTCCCCATTGCTTGCTTGTGTCAGGTTTGTCAAAGATCAGATAGTTGTAGATGTGTGATGTTATTTCTGAGGCCTCTGTTCTGTTCCATTGGTCTATATAGCTGTTTTGGTACCAGTACCATGCTGTTTTGGTTACTGTAGCCTTGTAGTATAGTTTGAAGTCAGGTAGCGTGATGCCTCCAGCTTTGTTCTTTTGGCTTAGGATTGTTTTGGCTATGCAAGGTCTTTTTTGGTTCCAAATGAAGTTTAAAGTAGTTTTTTCCAATTCTGTGAAGAAAGTCAATGGTAGCTTGATGGGGATGGCATTGAATCTATAAATTACTTTGGGCAGTATGGCCATTTTCACGATATTGATTCTTCCTATCCATGAGCATAGAATG